>NC_000007.14:99173445-99476475 GCF_000001405.40 Homo sapiens | reverse complement strand
CCCTGGCTGGTGGGAACATGGCTTCCACGGCCTGGTCTTTTGCAAGGGGTGGGATCCTGGACGTCTGGCTGAGCTGGAGAAGAAAAAAAGTCAGTAAGGCCAGCCCTAATTTGAAGCTCTCTTGGTTGGCAGATCTGGGACCCGGAATTCCAACGGGGCACACAGACAAAGCTTAATACAAAGTCCCTGTGTTTGGTGTTGGAACATGTGATGAAATGCATGAGCCGCTACAATAAGTCTAGTAATTTCAATTTCCCAAGCTCCATCCAAGAGAACCTGCAGCCCTGCCCTCCCCTTCTCCCTAGAACATGTCATACTCTGCACCTCATATACAAAGGGACAGCAGATAGACCACATATAAACATAGCACTCTGGCCAGGCACGGTGGCTCACGCCTATAATCCCAGCACTTTGGGAGGCTGAGGCGGGTGGATCACGAGGTCAGAAGATGGAGACCATCCTGGCCAACATGGTGAAAGCCCTTCTCTACTAAAATACAAAAAATTACCTGGGCGAGGTGGCAGGCACCTGTACTCCCAGCTACTTGGGAGGCTGAGGCAGGAGAATCGCTTGAACCTGGGAGGCGGAGGTTGCAGTGAACTGAGATTGTACCACTGCACTCCAGCCTGGTGACAGAGCAAGACTCCATCTCAAAAAAAAAAAAAAAAAGAAAGAAAAAATAGCACTCTGATCCACACCCTGCAGCAACCAGCTCTGGAAGCCAAACCATAGCCTCTGAGGCATGGGCCCCAAATCAGGACTTGATCAATAACAGCTTTATCCAAAATTTTGCTCCCCACTCCCTTTAATTTAGGACCAACAGGAGAAAGCCAAATGCTCCCCTCCCCTATCACACAGGATGTCCGAGTCTAGTTATCCTAGGGATTCCAGTTCACCAGCTTTTCTTTCTCTAAATCTACTTACGTATTTCCAACCCTGCTCCTACAGCCAGCTCCACCTGCTGACAAGCCCCCTCTGAAAGTGTTCTAAAGGGGTCACTCAACCCTCACCTCTAGCCTGGTGATTTGCTAGCAGGATTCAGCAACAGTAACAATTACAGACTTGATTTTTTTTTTTTTTTAAACAGAGTTTCACTCTTGTTGTGCAGGCTGGAGTACAATGGTGTGATCTCTGCTCACTGCAACCTCCGCCTCCTGGGTTCAAGCGATTCTCCTGCCTCAGCCTCCGGAAGTAGCTGGGATTACAGGCACCCGCCGCCATGCCCAGCTACTTTTTTGTATTTTTAGTTGAGATGGGGTTTCACCATGTTGGTCAGGCTGGTCTTGAACTCCTGATCTCAGGTGATCCACCCACCTCAGCCTCCCAAAGTGCTGGGATTACAGGCGTGAGCCACTGCGCCCAGCCTACAGACTTGCTTTCTAACTCAGGATGAATTTTAATGAAATTCACTTTCATTTTAATGGATGCCCCTCAAACACAGTTCACCTTCCCTGAAAACAGTTTAGAAGACCCTTTGCCTTTCTTTTTTTTTTTGAGGAGTCTCCCTCTATCACCCAGGCTGGAGTGCAGTGGTGTAATCATGGCTCACTGTAGCTTCCAACTCCTGGGCTTAAGCAATGCTCCTGCCTCAGTCTCCTAAGCAGATGGGACTGCAAGAGTGCACCACCACGCCCAGTTGTTTGTAGTTCTTTTGTAGGTGGGGCCTTGCTATGTTGCCCAGGGTGGACCCTCTGCCTTTTAAGCAAAGAGGTACACTCTAAAAACTATCCTGATCAATGGCTCCAAGGCTGGAGCAAAGGCCTCATCCCTTTCATTCTCTACACCAAACTTGTCCAAACCTCAGCCTGTGGACCGCATATGGCCCAGGACGACTTTGAATCCAACCCAACACAAATTCGTAAACTTTCTTTTTTTTTTTTTTGAGGTGGAGTCTCGCTCTGTCGCCCAGGCTGGAGTGCAGTGGCGCGATCTCGGCTCACTGCAAGCTCCGCCTCCCGGGTTCACGCCATTCTCCTGCCTCAGCTTCCCGAGTAGCTGGGACTACAGGCGCCCGCCACCACGCCCCGCTAATTTTTTGTATTTTTAGTAGAGACGGGGTTTCACCGTGTTAGCCAGGATGGTCTTGATCTCCTGACCTCGTGATCCTCCCGCCTTGGCCTCCCAAAGTGCTGGGATTACAGGCGTGAGCCACCGCGCCCGGCTCGTAAACTTTCTTAAAACCTTATGAAATTGTTTTGCGATTTTTTTTTAGCTCATGAGCTATTTTTAGTGTTTGTGTATTTTATGTGTAGTCCAAGACAATTCTTCTTCCAATGTGGCCCAGGGAAGCCAAGAGATTGGACACCCCTGCACTATATTTACTGAATGTGTTTGTGAAGGCTGTGCATCTGAATGTCAGACTTGCTAATGAAAAATTAAATGGAGTCCATGTTTTGGGTACGGCCCTAGGCCAACCACCCACAGCCATGTAAGGCATTTAAAATACATTGATTTCTCCCTTGAGTTCAGGAGTTGGAGACTGCAATGAGCTATGATGGCACCACTACACTCCACCCTGGGTGACAGAGCAAGACCCTGTCTCTCTTAAAAACAACAGGCCGGGCGTGGTGGCTCACACCTGTAAATCCCAGCACTTTGGGAGGCCGAGGCGGGCGGATCATGAGGTCAGGAGTTCAAGACCAGCCTGGCCAACATAGTGAAACCCAGTCTCCACTAAAAATACAAAAATTAGCCGGGCATGGTGGCGCGTGCCTGTAGTCCCCGCTACTCGAGAGGCTGAGGCAGGAGAATCGCTTGAACCCGGGAGTTGGAGGTTGCAGTGAGTCGAGATTGGCCCATTGTACTCCAAACTGGGCAACAGAGTAACACTTCGTCTCAAACACAACAGCAACAACAATTCCTTATTTCCCTGAAAAGTGTGCGCTGACCAGGAAAGAAGCTTTTTTCTCGTCCGCATGATAAACTGAACCAATCAGCTACAGATGCGAGGCTGATCCAGCTCGACTTACCCTAGAAGGAATGCAAGTTGATAATGGCCAATTACAATCAAGATCACTGCACTTCCTCATTTAGCTTTCCAAGCTGCCATTGGAACAATTTGCCAGCTGTTCCTCTGCATGCACAATAAACTCTTAAAACTTTAACTGGAGGGGACTGTTAACTTTTGACAAAATCCAAAATGCCGCTTCACAATCACGTGAACACCTTCCACTAACAACCACGGCTCATCTCCCACTCTAACAAAACCAAGTCCAGGCGTTCACCATCCATTCATTCTTCGGACTTTGCTCCTCTCGCTGCCGAAGACTTGACACCGCCAAAAATACTCAAAAGCTGGTGCCACAGGCCCCGAGAGCCGCCGCACAAACCCGGAGCGTCCCCTGCGAGCCGGGGGTGTGCGCAGTGGCCTACCCCCCGCACCCACGCCCCCCACAACACTCGTTTCCTTCTCCCCAAACCTGCTGACGGCTCCGAATCTCCGCCAAGCCGCCTCCACCAGGGGCTGGGCTCTCCTCTCGGGGTTCCCGGGCCTGACCCGAGGTCTGTCTGGTCCGCGCCCCTCGGCGAATCACCCCTTACCGGAGGAACAGACACAACCACTCTGGCAGCCTCAGAGCCTCTCGCTGGCTCCACCTGCGCGCGCCGAGCGAAGCGTCCCAGCCAGCGGCCCCTCTAGGACCGCGGAGGCTTCACGACTCTCTTGTCAGACAAAGAGAGTGGCGCCCGCGCGAGTGGGCCCGAACCAATCAACGGCCGCCCTCCCCGCCCAGGCCAATCAACGGCCGGAGACAGCACCGAGAGAGTCACGTGATGGACAGGGCCCCGCCCCTCCTGTTTAATCGTAACATAATTTAGAATTATTCTATGATTCAAGAGCGACACAATTCGTTTCTTTGGCTGTGTGTTTGTGGAGGGGAGTAAGGTTATCAGATAAAAGAAGAAAAATGGGCCAGGCGCGGTGGCTTACGCCTGTAATCCCAGCACTTTGGGAGGCAGAGGCCGGCGGATCAGGTCAAGAGATTTAGATCATCCTGGCCAACATGGTGAAACCCCTTCTCTACTAAAAATACAAAAAAATTGCCGGGCGCGGTGGCTCACGCCTGTAATCCCAGCACTCTGGGAGGCCGAGGCGGGTGGATCACCTGAGGTCGGGAGTTCGATACCAGCCTGACCAACAATGGAGAAACCCGTCTCTACTAAAAATACAAATAAAATTAGCCGGGCATGGTGGTGCCTGCCTGTAACCCCGGCTACTCGGGAGGCTGAGGCAGGAGAAGCGCTTGAACCCGGGAGGCGGAGGTTGCGGTGAGCCGAGATTGCGCCACCGCACTCCAGCCTGGGTGACAGAGCGAGACTCCGTCTCAAAAAAAAAAAAAAAAAAAAAAAAATTAGCTGGGCATGGTGGCGGCGTGCCTGTAGTGCCAGCTACTCGGGAGGCTGAGGCAGGAGAATCACTTGAACTCGGGAGGCGGAGCTTGCAGTGAGCCGAGATCCCACCACTGCACTCCAGACTGGCGACAGAGCGAGACTCTGTCTCAAAAAAAAAAAAAAGAATATTAGATCTTAATTAAAAGGATAATTGTGTGGCTTATGTAAATTACCCCCAAAATACAGTTTTAATGTGAGTAAGGGGTTAATTTTTTTTCTTTTTTTTTTGAGACAGTCTCGCTCTCGCCCAGGCTGGAGTGCAGTGGCGCGATCTCGGCTCACTGCAAGCTCCGCCTCCCGGGTTCACGCCATTCTCCTGCGTCAGCCTCCTGAGTAGCTGGGACTACAGGCGCCCGCTACCACTCCCGGCTAATTTTTTTTGTGTGTGTGTTTTTAGTAGAGACGGGGTTTCACCATTTTGGCCAGGCTGGTCTCGAACTCCTGACCTCAAGTGATCCGCCTGCCTTGGCCTCCCAAGTTTTGTTTGTTTTTTATTTCTTCTAAACAAAACAAAACAAACAGGATACACGTGCAGAACGTGCAGGTTTGTTACATGTGCCATGGTGGTTTGCTGCACCTATTGACCCATCCTCTAAGTTCCCTCCCCTTACCCCCGACTCCCCAAAAGGCCCAGGTGTGTGTTGTTCCCCTCTCTGTGTCCATGCGTTCTCAATATTCAATTCCCACTTATGAATGAGAACATGCTGTGTTTGGTTTTCTGTTCCTGTGTTAGTTTGCTGAGGCTGATGGCCACCAGCTTCATCCATGTCCCTGCAAAGGACAGGATCTCATTCCTTTTTGTGGCTGCTTAGTATTCCATGGTGTATTTGTACCACATTTTCTTTATCCAGTCTACCACTGATGGGCATTTGGGTTGGTTCCATGTCTTTGCTATTGTAAATAGTGTTGCAATAAACATATGTGTGTTGGCTGAGTGCAGTGGCTCACGCCTGCAATTCCAGCACTTTGGGAGGTCAAGGCAGGCAGATTACCTGAGATCAGGAGTTCGAGACCAGCCTGGCCAACATGGTGAAACCCCGTCACTACTAAAAATACAAAAATTAGCCGGGCTCGGTGGCAGGAGTATGTAATCCCAGCTACTCGGGAGGCTGAGGCAGGAGAATCGCTTGAACCCAGGAGGCGGAGGTGGCAGGGAGCCGAGATTGTGCCATTGTACTCCAGCCTGGGTGACAGAGTGAGACTCTGTCTCATAAATAAATAAATAAAATAAAATAAAAAATAAAAGAGATGGGGTCTTGCTATGTTGCCCAGGCTGGTCTCAAACTCCTGGGCTCAAACGATCCTCCCATCTCGACCTCCCAAAGTTCTGGGATTACAGGCATGAGCCATCGCACCTGGCTCCTGTTGGCTTTAACAGAAAACAGGAACACTCAGTACTCCAGGTTCAAGACATTTGAACATAGGGAAGGCAGTGAGGTCAGGCCTGGCCACCCCTAGGGAGAGGACAAGGAACTCAGTCCAGCAGGTCGTTCCAGGAATACGAATGTGGGGAGGGAGCCGGATGACACGTCAGGCCAGCGCAGTCCCATAGGAGCGGCTCGGGGAAGACAACTGACTTCCTCCTCATTTGTTTTGAATAACGCTTTGTGCTAGTGGTGCTGGAACTTCAAATGCTGGAGATCAGGCTGCACCACCAATGCTTCTCCAAGGATAGCAGCCCCCAGGGTGGGCAGGTAGTTTTTGGATTGGGAAGGCAACTATTTCCCGAGCTCTGAACCGTTTTATTTATTTTTTCATTTAGAGACAGTGTCTCACCTTGTCACCCAGGTTGGAGTGTAGTGGCACAATGATAGCTCACTGCAGCCTCGACCTGCGCTCAAGGGATCATCCCGCCTCAGCCTCCTAAGCAGCAGCTGGTACTACAGGTATGCACCACTACACCTGGCATTTTTGCTTTTGCTTTTATCGTTGTTTTTTGTTTGTTTGTTTGTTTATTTTTTTATTTTTATTTTTTTTTTGAGAGACGGTTTTGATACGTTGCCCAGGCTGGTCTTGAACTCCTGGGCTCAAGCAATCTGCCCGCCTCAGCCTCCCAAAGTGCTCCTGCACTGTTTTAAGGTCCTGTCTGAAGTCCTGTGAATGTACTGTCTGAGGCACAGTCCTGATAAATCCTGCTACAGATGTGAACAGCACGACCTAAGTATTGGTTCTGAATTTTTCCTCACACTTTAGCTAAGGTGCCGGTCCACTGCTGAAGTACCTACGCAAATAAATCTTTAGGGCTAAAGAACAGAAAATACAGTGTCCAAGGTTGAGAGTTACCGGCAAGCTATAACTCCTGTTGGCTAAAGAAAGGGATGATCACATGTTTGACCCCGACGTGATTTGAACACGCAACCTTCTGATCTGGAGTCAGACGCGCTGCCGTTGCGCCACGAGGTCTTGGAAACCTAACTTTTTTGTGCTTTAGATGGACCCTAAAGAGTTCTTTTTCCCTTTTGTAATTCAGAGGGAAGTGTAAAAGTAAACGAAACAGGATAGAAGCAGACGCCACCACGGGGTTCGGGAATAATCCTCTTGTCATTCGGGAAAATTCACCTGCCTCGGGCTGTGTAGTCTCCTAAGGAGACACGTTTGGGAAGCCACAGTGGAAAATGTTTCACGCAGCTTAGCAGAGAAGGCTGGGGCGGGGTTGTCAGGGATCCGGATTCTCTTCTCCCCAGCCCTCTGCTTGGGGAGCACTAAGAATTTGCACGAGGGCCAGATCAACGAAAGAGTACTATGTTCAAGCTGGGGGCGGTGGCTCACGCCTGTAATCCCAGCAGTTTGGGTGGCCGAGGCTAGGCGGATCACCTGAGGCCAGGAGTTCGATACCAGCCTGGCCAACATGGTGAATCCCCGTCTCTACTAAAAATATAAAAATTAGCCGGGCGTGGTGGCGGGTGCCAGTAATCCCAACTACTCGGGAGGCTGAGGCAGAATCGCTTCAACTCGGGAGGCGGAGGTACAGGGAGCCGAGATCGCGCCATTGCACTCCAGCCTGGGCGACAGAGCGGGACTCCGTCTCTTACCAAAAAAAAAAAAATTATCTTTGGAATAATCTGCTCCCTCCAACCCACCCCCACCTTCCCCGAAACAACCCCAGTTCATTAACTAAAACGTTGGCATTTATACATATACAAATCACAGCTCCTGCGCCCTCAGTCCTTCCATCCACCCCAGGGGATCGGGCATTGGCGTAGCTTCCCTCCGGCCTCTTCCCGGGGCCTCCCTGGATTCCAGTGTGCGGATCCTGGGCTCCGGCGGCTCTGCGTCCCCGCGAGTGTCCGGCCTGGGGAAGGGGCGGGGGCGCGGGTGCCACTGGCCACTCCTGCCTTTTGCTGCTCTCCTGCACGTCCCACGGAACAGCGGCCCCCTCAGCTTCCCCTGCCCCAGCCCTCAAGTCCATCAGCTCCCGGAGGCTGCCTCTGCCCGGACACAGTGCAGTCGGGTCTCTTCGGTCCCTCGTAGTCTTCCAGGTCCCATACTCGCACCCTGCAGGAGGATTCCCTGGGTGGACCAGGAAGGTCCCCAGGCCGATTCCTGCCCCACGGAGGACCTGACACCTGGGGTCCGGCAGACCCCATCCCTGATCCTTCCTGCGGGGCCCTCTGCCCCAGCCCTGGCATCTGCCCCAGCCCTGGGGAGTGGGAGTTACATAGGCCCTGGTGCAATGGGCAGGGTTTTTCCTGGGGGTTCAGTTGCTTAGGGACGCAGCCCAAGGCGGGTAATAAACTCCTAAGACTACATTATACCCGCATTATACCGTGGATGGTCAACACACACCGCAAGGAGCAAGTGAAATAAACTTTGAAGACAGAGAGTTCAAGGGTGCAAGGAACCGTTGAGAACACTCCTACCGCAGTACACTACTATATTTGCTGGGGTTGGTTGGTTTGTTTGGAGACAAGTTCTCACTCCATCACCCAGGCTGCAGTGCAGTGGCCCCATCTCTGCTCACTGCAACCTCCGCCTCCCAGGTTCAAGCAATTCTCCCGCCTCAGCCTCTGGAGTAGCTGGAATGACAGGCGCATATCACCACGCTTGGCTACTTTTTGTATTTTTAGCAGAGATGAGGTTTTGCCATGTTGAGGAGGCTGATCTCGAACTCCTGATCTCAGGTGATCCGCGCACCTTGGCCTCCCAAAGTGCTGGGATTACAGGCGTGAACCACCGCGACCAGCCTGGTTTTTTTTTGTTTGTTTGTTTTTTGTTTTTTTTGAGACAGAGTCTTGCTCTGCCGCCCAGGCTGGAGTGCAGTGGCTTGACCTCCGCTCGCTGCAACCTCCACTTCCCAGGTTCAAGTGATTCTCCTGCCTCAGCCTCCCAAGTAGCTGGAATTGCAGGCACCTGCCACCGCGCTCAGCTAATTTTTTTCGTATTTTCACCATGTTGGCCCGGCTGGTTTTGAACACCTGACCTCAAGTGATCCGCCCACCTCTGCCTCCCAAAGTGCTAGGATTACAGGCGTGAACCACCGCACCTGGCCTGTTTGTTTTGTTTTGTTTTTTTAACCATTTTTAATTCCCACTGGCGATGCTGGCCGTGCTTTCACACACCTATAATTGTATATGCGATTTTCACTGCCTGGGGAGAAGGGAAGCAGACATGGAGGAGCCCCACAATGCCACCTCTGAAACAAGAAATGTAGCAGAATGAACTGAACGAGGGTGGCATTTATTTGGCAAGTTATGACTACAAGACCTGCTCTCGAGGTTGTTTTAAAAATCGGAGGCCCGGCGCGGTGGCTCACGCCTGTAATCCTAGAACTTTGGGAGGCCGAAGCGGGTGGATCACGAGGTCAGGAGATTGAGACCATCCTGGCTAACATGTTGAAACCCCGTCTCTACTAAAAATACAAAAAAATACAAAAAATTAGCCAGGCGTGGTGGTGGGCGCCTGTAGTCCCAGCTACTCGGGAGGCTGAGGCAGGAGAATGGAGTGAACCCCGGAGGTGGAGCTGGCAGTGAGCCGAGATCGCGCCACTGCACTCTAGCCTGGGTGACAGAGCGAGACTCTGTCTCTAAATAAATAAATAAATTAATTAAAATAATCAAAATTGAAGTAGCCCGGGCAGTGTGGTTCATGCCGGCAGTTCCAGTATTTTGGGAGGCCGAGGTAGGAGGAACGCTCGAGGCCAAGAGTTTAAGAGCAGTCTAGGCAACATAGGGAGACGCCTTCTCTACAAAATATAATTAGCTGGGCGTGGTGGCGTGCACCTGTAGTCCCAGCTACTTCGGAGGTGGAGGAAGAACGCTTGAGGCCAGGAGTTCAAGACCAGCCTGAGCAAAATAGAGAGCCTCTACCCCCACTCCTCACCACACTGTTTCCACCAAAAAAAAAAAAAAAAAAAAAAAAAAAAAAAAAAAGCTGGAAGTGGTGATGTGAGCCTGTAGTCCTAGCTACTTGGGAGGCTGAGATGGGTGGATCGCTTGACTCCGGGAGTTCAAGGCTGCAGTCAGCCGTGATCAAGCCACTGTCTGAAAAGTAAATGCTCGTCTGAAAAGTAAAAAATAAAAATAAAAATAGACTGGGCGCGGTGGCTCACGCCGGTAACCCCAGAACTTTGGGAGGCCGAGGCGGGGGGATCACGTGAGGAAAGGAGTTCAAGGCCAGCCTGGCCAACATGGTGAAACCCTGTCTCTACTAAAAATACAAAAATTAGCTTGCTGTGCTGGTGCACGCTTGTAGTCCCAGCGCGGCCTCTTCCCACCTTTTAAGGTAGAGAGCCCAGGCTGAGGCGCCCCTCTCTCTAACTGCAGGACCCTCGGATTTTTGCTGTCCAGGCACCTCGCCCTTCGCTTCATGGCCTTCTAGTAGTTCCAGGGTGTTCGCAGTTGTGACCTGCTTCCCGTGAGCCTCTGCTCTACGCCCCTGGATGGGGCGTGCATTCCCTACCCAGCAGCCCTCGCGCGGTCCGGCACAGCGGACACCAGGACTCCAAAATGGCGTCAGTTGGTGAGTGTCCGGCCCCAGGTAAGGCTGTTTGGACTCCGTGGTGGAAGCAGGAGCCAGGGTCCAGGGTCCAGAGCCACACTGGGAGAGAAGGAAGCTGCGGAGCTGCCTGCCCTTTGCTCAGGCACTTCGCCACGACCTCACTTGAGGCGCGCCAGACCCCGCTCCGCCTGCCCAGGCGCGCCTTCCTGCTGCCCAGGGCCTGCGCCAACCGGGTTAGGCGTGGAGGGTGAAGGCATCTGGGGCACGCGCTTCTGGGCCTGGGAATGCGCCGCCTTGGGCCACTGTTCCTCTTTCCGCTAAGAAATAGCCGCTTCCCTCTCCCGCTGCGACCCAGTTGCTTTGCACTTGAATGTTAGGCGCAGCTTTTGCCCTTTTTTCCCAAGGCTTAAGCTCAGATGAAGCTCCAGGAGGAGCTCAGGACTAGGACTGTACCTGATACCATGTAAGGTTCGATGCATATATGTTGAATCAGAGAGGCGAGGTGACCTGTTCAAGGTCACAACTCGTGCGAGGGCTGAGCTGGTATTCAAACCTGAGGATTCGTGGTAAATGAACTTTATTCTCTAGGACGGCCTTATGACTAGCAGGCTTTTCCGAGACACCCATGTGTAAATCGCTACATTCATCCCGCTGTGCACACTGATGATTTTTGTTTGTTTGTTTTTGAATAGTTAGCCCTAGATGCTCCATAGTAGCCTTGTCAGAGAGTCCTTGTTGGGAAAGTCGATTCCATTTTACAGATGAGGGAAATAACTGTTCGGGATGTGGTGTGGCCTCTCTGAGGTCACACAGCCTGATAGTGGCAGAGTTTTGATTAACACATGTGTGTCTTAGCTCAGTTTCTGGTTTTTTTTTATCATTTTTTTTTTGAGATGGCGTTTCGCTCTTGTCGCCCAGGGTGGAGTGCAATGGTGTGATCTCGGCTCACTGTAACCTTTGCCTCCTGGGTTCAAGCGATTCTCCAGCCTCAGCCTCCGAGTAGCTGGGATTACAGGCGCAGGCCACCATGCCCAGCTAATTTTTGTATTTTTAGTAGAGACGGGCTTTCACCACGTTGGCCAGGCTAGTCTTGAACCCCTGACCTCAGGTGATCCATGTACCTCGGCCTCCCAAAGTGCTGGGACTACAGGTGTGAGCCACTGCGTTTCTGTATTCTTTTTTTTTGACATGGAGTCTCACGCTGTCGCCCAGGCTAGAGTGCAGTAGCTGATCTCGTCTCTGCAACCTCTGCCTCCCAGGTTCAAATGATTCTGCTGCCTCAGCCTCCCAAGTATCTGGGATTACAGGCACACACCAGTACCTACGCCCGGCTAATTTTTTTTTGTATTTTTAGTAGAGATGGGTTTCGCCACGTTGACCAGGCTGGTCTCAAACTCTTGACCTCAAGTGAGTCACCTGCTTCGACCTCCCAAAGTGTTGAGATTACCAGCGTGAGCCACTGCGCCTGACCTCTGGTTTGTTTTTTTGAGATGGAGTCTCGCTCTGTCGCCCAGGCTGGAGTGCAGTGGCGCGATCTCAGCTCACTGCAAGCTCTGCCTCCCGGGTTCACGCCATTCTCCTGCCTCAGCCTCCTGAGTAGCTGGGACTACAGGCGCCCGCCACCCCGCCCAGCTAATTTTTTGTATTTTTAGTAGAGACAGGGTTTCACTGTGTTAGCCAGGATGGTCTCGATCTCCTGACCTTGTGATCTGCCCACCTCAGCCTCCCAAAGTGCTGGGATTACAGGTGTGAGCCACTGCGCCCGGCCTCCGGCCTCTGTATTCTTAATCTCAGCCTAGAGAAATGAAGAGGGGTTCAGAATAGATGAGAGGGAAGCTGTTTTCCCCTCAGTAAAATGGGCATAATAGCATTCGTCGTACACGGTAGTTGTGTTAAGGAGACAACCTGTGAAAAGTGAACACTGGGGCATTTTGTTTAAGCATAGGGCTGTGGTCAAGAGCTCTGAACTAAGGATCAATCGATTTAGCATGTGAAAGACACTTGGAACGCTGCGTGGCCCACAGTGAGTACTCAGTCGGTGTGAGCTGGTCATCCCAGCCTTTACTTTGTGACCTTTAGGCAGGGTCATGTCACATGCCTGGCCTATTCAGCATCACCCCCGGTGAAGAAATTGGAGTCCATGTCTCTTAGGTATTGATGATCTTTTAGGTAGTGTCTGTCACCAGAGGACAAAGACAGTATTTCATGAGCACATAAAGTGAGGGAAATATGAATTAGCAGCAGTAGATAAGATCGCGGTTGGCAAACTATGGCCAGTGAGTTGGATTTCGTGTGGCCTGTTTTTGTCTGGCCATGAGCTCAGAATGGTTTTTTTGTTTTTATATTTTATTTTTATTTATTTATTTATTTTTTGAGATGGAGTCTTGCTTTTGTCGCCCAGGCTGCAGTGCAATAGCACGATCTCAGCTCAGTGCAACCTCCACCTCCCAGGTTCAAGTGATTCTCCTGCCTCAGCCTCCCAAGTAGCTGGAATTGCAGGTGCCCGCCACCACACCCGGCTAATTTTTGTATTTTTAGTAGAGATGGGGTTTCGCCATTTTGGTCAGGCTGGTCTCAGACTCCTGAGCTCGTGATCCTCCTGCCTTGGCCTCCCAGAGTGCTGGGATTACAGACGTGAGCCACTGTACAGGGCCTAGAATGGTTTTTTGTTTTTATTTTATTTATTATAGAGATGGGGTCTCAAACTCCTGGCCTCAAGCAGTCCTCCCATCTCGGCCAAAGTGTTGGGATTACTGGCGTGAGCCACTGCATTGGGTCATTTTCTGTTTTTAAAAAGATTGTTTAAAAATAAAATAGACTATGCTATGAAGACCTTATGTGGCCTGCAAATCCAAAAATCTTTATTCTCTGGACAACCCCCAGGTTGGATTTAGCACTCAGGAGAGACTTGCTATTTCCATGTGGCTTCATAGTAATGAACAGTATGTTTCCTCTCGAGGATCTGTGGTTCTACAACCATTACTGAGAATCTGTCGTGTACCAAGAAGTGGTGGGGATATTCGCACCTTCAGGTAGCTCATAACCAGGCAGAAAGGTGGTAATAGTTCTCATTTACATAGTACCTAGGGCCAAGTACCAAGGATTTCACAAAGGAGGAAACTGAGAAGGAGTAGTACCTTGCCCAAGGGCACACACCTACAAAATGGCATTAAACCCAGAATGGCACTAGACCCAAGGGTCTGCTCTGTCTCTGAACTCTACTGGGTCTCTTTATGTGACCCAGTGATTGCAGATGGAAGCTTCAGTGCTGCAGAGGAGCGGGTGTGTGTAGAGTTGGGGTGGGAGTTCCAATAGGGCAACCAAGGACTGAGGCCTTCCTTTGCCTTCCAGTGAAAGAGAAATTCGTGGAATAAGTATAGATGCATCTTGGATGAACTGGATAGTCCCTTGCAGTGGCACGATCTTGGCTCACTGCAACCTCTACCTCCCAGGTTTAAGCGATTCTCCTGTCTCAGCCTCCCGAGTAGCGGGGACTACAGGCACACGCCACCATGCCCAGCTAATTTTTGTATTTTTAGTAGAGATGAGGTTTCACTATGTTGGCCAGGCTGGTCTTGAACTCCTGACCTCGTGATCTGCCTGCCTTGGCCTCCCACAGTGCTGGGATTACAGGCGTGAGCCACCGTGCCCTGCCAAATGTGTTAGGTTTTTGTTTGTTTTTGACACGGATTCTTGCTCTGTCACCCAGGCTGGAGTGTAGTGGCACAATCTCAGCTCACTGCAAGCTCCGCCTCCCAGGTTCACGCCATTCTCCTGCCTCAGCCTCCCTAGTAGCTAGGACTACAGGCGCCCGCCACCACACCTGGCTAATTTTTTTTTTTTTTTTTTTTTTTTTTTTTTAGTAGTGATGGGGTTTCACCATGTTAGCCAGGATGGTCTCGATTTCCTGACCTCAGGATCTTCCCGCCTCAGCTTCCCAAAGTGCTGGGATTACAGGCGTGAGCCACCGTGCCCGGCCCCTGATGTGTTGGTTTTAAGGAAACACCCTTGTCTTCATAATACAGAGATAGAACTAGGAAGAAAAACAAGTTGTAAATTGTTGCCTTTTTTCTCCTGTGATGTGCCAGGCTCCATGCCAGCCCCTGAACATGGTAATGAGATGCAGAATATGTCTGCATAGTTTATGTGAATGTGAAAAAATGGCTTCACTGGATCAGGAAGTGAGTTTTCTGGCCTGGTGCGGTGGCTCATGCCTGTAATCCCAGCACTTTGGGGGGCCGAGGTGGGCAGATCGCCTGAGGTCAGGAGTTCGAGACCAGCCTGGCCAACATGGTGAAACCCTGTCTCTACTAAAAATACAAAAATTAGCTGGGTGTCGTGGCGCATGCCTGTAGTCCCAGCTACTCAGGAGGCTGAGGCAGGAGAATCGCTAGAACCAGGAGGTGGAGGTTGCAGTGAGCCGAGATCATGCCACTGCACTCCAGCCTGGGCAGGTGCAGTGGCGTGATCTCATGGTGCAGTTTCACCATGTTGGCCAGGCTGGTCTCAAACTCCTGACCTCAAGTGATCTGCCTGCCTCGACCTCCCAAAGTGCTGGGATTATAGTGTGAACTACTGTGCCCTGGCCTCCCTCAGCAGACTCTTGAGGCTGGTCCTGACAGAGCCTTAGTCTTTCCTTTGATCTCAAAATGGAGAAGAAACCTTGGGATTATTTAATCTGGCTCCTCTTGTGGTTATCTTTGAGAAGGCACCGTGGTCCTAGACTCTTTGCCCTCAATAGGACATCTGCTAAAAGCTTTTTAAAACTTATCATTAGCTGGGTGTGGTGGCACACACCTGTAGTCCCAGCTGTTCAGGAGGTTGAGGCAGGAGGATCACTTGAGTCCAGGAGGCTCAGTGAGGCTGCAGTGAGCTGTGACCACACCTGTGAATAACCAGTGCACTCCAGCCTGGGTAATGGAGTGAGACCCTGTCTCTCAGAAATAAATAAATAAATCTTTGCAGGGAGAACAGGGGAGACGATTCCTTTCTTAAATGCATCTCCTTGACGCCCACAGGCCCACCCACTCCCTGGCCCTCCATAGTCTCCTCCTGGGCCCAAATGTGAGGACAGTACAGCCTCAGCCAGGAGCCCTTCTGATTCCTTGTTCTCAGACTCCCATTGGAATACGATCTGGGGCCGTTCAGTCATTTGGAGTGGTTTTTCGTCACTTGACTTCTCGGAATGTGTTATCTCTTATTTTTATCTCTGGAAATTGTTGGTGTCCGTGGTCCCAGGATGCTGGAGGTGGAAATTCCTTGGGTTTCTTTCATTATACTTGCTCGGGCTGGCCCATCTGGTGAGTCTGCCAGCTGTGTGAACCCAGGTGCTGTTTGAAGCCCTTCCCCAGTAAACAAGTGCGTCAAGTCTGAGTGAGACACTTGGCACCGTCACACCGCTCTCCTTCCACATCCCCTCTTGTACGTTCTCCAGCGACACATCCCCAGGGTTGGACAGGGCACCCTCATATTGGCTTCAGGGACATAGGAGGGCCAGTCCTGACCCCACGTTGTGTGTGTGACTTTGGTCACGTGGCCCAACCTCTCTGAGTCTATCCCCCCTCCCCTCCTTTAAGGTAAAGACATGAAGTGCTTGTTGTGAAGATTAAATAAGCTAATAATGTCAAGTAAATGTTAGCTTTGCAGTAATCTTTCCTGTCCGCCACGTTACTGCTTTTTTCGAGACCCTTTTCTGGAGTTACTCCCAGCAAGCTGTTACTCAGACGTCCTGTTGGTTAATAAAGCTGTCCCTGCAGCAGTTCTGCTATTGTATAGACTCAGTCTTAAAATAGTGGGCTTGATGTGACATATTTCTTCATAATATTGTGTATGTGCAGCCTCTGTGTAATTGCATTATGCACCTTTATTGCATAGTTGAAGCAGTGGCAGGAAAGGATGCCATATGTGTTACTGGGAGATTATTCAGTGGGTATTTTTTCTCACTCTTCCGTTTCAGTACCAGTGAAGGACAAGAAACTTCTGGAGGTCAAACTGGGGGAGCTGCCAAGCTGGATCTTGATGCGGGACTTCAGTCCTAGTGGCATTTTCGGAGCGTTTCAAAGAGGTCAGAGCCTTGTGGATGTCTGTAAATGAAAGCAAATCTCTGGGTCTTCAGATCTCTTTTTTGCCATGAATTAATTTGGGCAATGAAGGCCTTGTTGTCTGAAAGCAGTAAGTTATGTAGAGGATGACAGGGAGGGATGCTAGGCCTTGGACTTCTGTGGTTGATTGGCCCTTTCAAAGGCTGGCTCTGAGATATTACAGCCAAGAACATGTTTCCTGTTGCTTGGAATCAGTATGTCTGCCTCTGTCTTAGAGAAATCCTAAGACTTCTTTAAGAGGAAAATGAATTGGAACCGTAGTGGGCATTAGTCTATAATATGATGCTCTCCTCCCTGCCAGAACTTCAGGACAAATATTTGAAATGGCCTATCTTGGCCTGGTGTGGTGGCTTATGCCTGTAATCCCGGCACTTCGGGAGGCCAAGGCTGGAGGATTGCTTGAGCCGAGTTTAGACCAGCCTAGGCAATATGGAGAGACCCCATCTCTATAAAAAAAACCACACAAGAAAAATTAGCTGGCTGTGGTGGTGCATGCCTGTAGTCCCAGCTACTCAGGAGGCTATAAGCTCACAGCCAAAGGGGAGAGGTGGAATCCAGGTAGGCCTAGTTCAGGAGCTGGTATGTGCTTATAGTTCAGGCTATGGGGATGAGAGACCTTACTGGCATTTGTGCTTGTCATCTTTATCAGCCAGTGAATGCAGGGCGAGGGGCTTAAACAGCCAGAGCAGGACTAGGTCCCTGAATGTCAGCCAGACTCAACTGTGTGCTCAACTTCACTCAAATGTGAAGCCCAGCAGGGCAGTGAGCGCCTCTTGCGTTTGCAGGTTACTACCGGTACTACAACAAGTACATCAATGTGAAGAAGGGGAGCATCTCGGGGATTACCATGGTGCTGGCATGCTACGTGCTCTTTAGCTACTCCTTTTCCTACAAGCATCTCAGTGAGTGCCTCTGCGGCGTCTTGCCTTTAGTTCCCATGAGAGGGTGGTGGTGACTGATTTCATTAGATACAGCAGCCCACCTTCTTCTGAGGCTGAGGGACCTTTAGTTAAAGTTCCTTATGTTTCCACCTAAAAGAATTGGAGGGACCTATCAGAGTACAGTATGTGGGATATTGTTTGAAATGAGAAAATTGTGACAAAGAGAACACAGGAAAATCAAGATGAAGCCAGGGTAAAGAGAGTACTTAGAAGCATTCTTTAAAATACAGCACACTGTGAAAATTTGGCTCGATTTTCCTAGTAGCCAATGCAGAAAGAGAAATGAGTTGAGTGGGATAATCTGGTACCCCAGAAAAGCATGGCTGTTCCGGCTCTGAGGCTTGAGAGGAGCTTGTCTGGTGGGAGATTGGCGGGAGGTGTCGGTGGCAGCCTCTGACTAGGCTGTTTCTGACAGTGTAGTGTACACCCCCTACCCCCACCTCACTCCCATTCTGTGGCACCAGGGCGGTCCTGCCTCTGAAGGACGGGTTCTCTGGGGCTGTTTGTCTGAGCGTGTGTTCCCTCTGTTCCTTCTGGAAAGAAAGTGGTTGGCCAGGTGGCAGGTTGGCTCCTGAGGTGTCTTTGTGCCCCCCGGGTCTGCTGATTCTGCAGAGACACCGGCAGGCGGGTCATGGGTCATCTCTGAAGGGAATTCTCAGGAAGGCTTTGTGTGATCTCAGCCTGCTTCCTGCCATGCTGTGCCTTCACTGTAACCTTTTAAGATACTTACCATCTTGCCTTCCTGACTTCAGAGCACGAGCGGCTCCGCAAATACCACTGAAGAGGACACACTCTGCACCCCCCCACCCCACGACCTTGGCCCGAGCCCCTCCGTGAGGAACACAATCTCAATCGTTGCTGAATCCTTTCATATCCTAATAGGAATTAACCTCCAAATAAAACATGACTGGTACGTGTGCTGATTGCCTGCCTGTCTGCCGTAGCCATTATCCCATGTTCCAGGGGCTCCTGTGGCACAAGGTGGGGGGAGGTCGTCTTTCCAGGCCGTTGACCGGTGAAGGCCTTTGTGGACTTCCCAGACCACCACTCTGGTCGTGTCCCAGCTCCCTGGAGGGCAGGGTGTCATCCAGACCTTCCCGAAGCAGCAGTGCCGAAGTCCGTCCCTTGCCATGAGTGCTGTGGGCAGGTGCATTTGCAGACATTCTGGCCTTTAGTTGGCTGGCCCTTTATGGTGTAACACAAAGGCTTGCGTACCTGAGAGCGCCAGATCCCACCCCGGCTGTCCTGTGGCTCCAGGCAGGGATGGCCCGCATCCTGTGTTTCTGCATCACCCTGGGGCATCAAGGGCTACAGGGTGAGGTGACCCGGCACTGTCTGGAGAGACCTCAGGCAGCACTCACGCCCAGGCTGCAGGGATTGTGGCCCTCCGGCTGAGGCGGCTTCTCTAACAGGAGGCTTAGTGGGTTGGGGGTGATGGGGAAAAGTGAGGGGCTATGGCGGCCCCTCCCTGCTTCCTCTTCATCAGAGCCTCATTGGGGGTGGGATACTGTGCCCCAGAAATAGGTGCCACCAGACATCTGAGCTGAGGTGGAGGACCTGCCTGCTGGCTCCACAGATCAGACTCCCAGACTTGACCAGCTGCTTGCAGGCCTTCTGGGCAGCTGCACTTCCCTTTGTGAGGCTGACATTTGTTGAAAGGGACAAGAAAGCTACGCCGTGATTGCAGCCAGTGTAAAAGGGTTGGCATGAGACCCTTAATTAATGAGACATGGCTTAAAAAACAAGCTTTAATCCATTTCATAAAAATTGTTCTTGCAATTGAACACAGCCAGGCCCACATGCCCAGCAGGTTGCAGGAGACAGTTTCACATTTTCCAGGCTCAGGACAGGGCAGTCTCCTCCACATGCCACAGGTGTCTGAGTGACAGTGTAGACGCCTGATGGGCAGGAGGTAGGCACAGATGATCTGAAGGGGTCATCTATTTAAAAGTCTGCAACTCCAGTTCAACGGACACCTTAAACACTGTCAGGCACGTACCCCAAGAGAAAATTAAGCCCAGAGAAGAAAACCTCAGGCTTGAGAGCCCTGTACCCCTCCTCAACCGCTGCCACCTGGGACCAGGGCCAGCCTGAGGCAATGGGGGCACCTGAATTTGCCCCAAAGGGCTCCCTCATTCAAATCACAGATATAGGCACAGCTTTAGGATTCAGCAGGGCAGGGAGGGAGGAAGCAGGCGTGAGCTGGCCACAGCTTTGAATGACCTACCAGCCCCTGGCGTCACCAAGAACTGGTGTTTAATGAGGGGAATGACCACCGCCACACAGAACTACCTAGCCAAGCCCCTCCCCAGCAGCTGCCTCCCTCCCTGGATGAGGGGAGTTGTGCCGGGAGTCCCAGAAAGGAGGCATCGATGCCCAGCCAAACATGATGTCGACTGCAGGGACCCACAGGACACATGTCCCTTTTTCAAAAAATACTAAGGCAAAATGATAGGAAACTAACAGACGTGGCCCCTCAGAGTGATGAAACCCACGTGTCTGCGGGCCAGCTCGAGCCACAGTCGCGCCAACAAGCGCATGAAACAGTTAAATGCACACTCCCAACAGCGGGGCCCCCGGGCTGCTCGGAGCTGGCTCCAGCTGCTGTCACTGTCCACTGAGAAAGGCCAAGTGCCCTTTGGTGCATCTGTTGGCGTAGTGTCCTTTCTCGCCACACTGGGAACAGCAGGAAGTGGGGGAAGAGGAGAGACAGACAACAACACTGTTCAAATGCAGTTTTCAACTAAGGGAGTGCCCACCAAATCCCAAATCATCCACCAAGTCCCCAGTCGGGACATGACTCTGAAATTCTCAGTGGTACAGAGTTTCTTTCAAATTAGAGGGTGAGGGAGCTCAGGATGGAAAGTGCAGTGGTGCAGAAACTAGCCAGCAACTCCGCAGATGCAAGGGAGAACAAGGCCGCCAGAAGGCGACCTGCTAGCGACCTGCTCTTTCAGGCCCACAACTCTCCCACCTGGACACATGGCCTGCCCAGGGAGGGACTCCCAAGTGGGTAGCAGGACAAAGAGAAGCCCGTGGCACCTGAGCTCCGCCACCCCGTCTGGGGACCAAGCCCTTCTGCACCACAGGCCAGTCACTTACCTCTGAGCCAAGGTCTGGGGTTCCCTGGCAGGAGATGGGAGGGAACAGCATCAGAAGTGTCCCAGCCTCCCCTCCCTTGGGGAGCCACTGCTGGGGACAGAGGGTGGGCTGTACCCAACGTTTTCCCTCGTGGCTGTGACACACCTAAGCTACCTTGGGGACAGGTTTTGATTACAGGATCAGAGAGATGGGACGATGCTTAGACTTGGGTAAGGGGAGCCTGCAGAGCCACATGACAAATCCAGCCCTGACCCTGCCTCATCCCAGTCCTGATTATCCAGGCCCTTCCATAGCTTCTCTTTACTCTATGACTCCTAAAACGGCAGCCTCAAGCACTGAACAAAAGGGTCAGGAGGCAGCTGGGGGCACTGACTCTGTACTGACACCCACCCCTGAGTCCCTGCTGCCCTGAGGGGCTCTGCCCAGTTGGCACCCAACACTCTTGCCAGCTCTATTCCCTGGCTCTGCAATTCCTGTTTTCTTTCTTCTATGTTGGCCAGGATGGTCTCGAACTCCTGACCTTGTGACCTGCTCCCCTCGGCCTCCCAAAGTGCTGGGATTACAGGCGTGAGCCACCGCACCCAGCTGTCCCTGTGTTTTCAACTTTGTCTGATCTGCAGGTGTGACTCTGTATGGAGAGGCTGCCGATGGGCTGTAGGGCTAACATGATGGCTGGGGGAGGGACCACACACCCTGCTCACGGCATCTGGCATGTCTGTCGGACCCCACAGCTGACTCTGGGGAATCCAGGACTTACATGAAGTGTCTCTGACATTAATGGGGTGACAGGCTGTGGACAGGGGCGGTCAGCCCTACCTTTCTAAGGCTCCAGGACTTAAGGGCGCTTGCTGCACAGAAGTGGCCCCGCTTAACAGGCCTGGAGGGTGGCAAGATAACAGCTAAGTCTGCTCTACACAGTGCCCCACTTCCATGCTCTTTTATTTTTTTGGAGACAAAGAGTCTCAGTCTGTTGCCCAGGCTGGAGTGCAGTGGTGCAGTCATAGCTCACTGCAGGCTTGACCTCCTGGGCCCAAGCAATCCTCCCATCTAAGCCTCCCCAGTAGCTGGGACTACAGGCGTGCACCACCACACCCAGCCTGTTTTGTGATTTTTAATCTGGACTCATTCTTCAGAACTCCAGCTGTAGGAATTGTGTGCGCCTTGGGTTGAGAACATACTCTTCAAAGAGTACTGGGGGTTACTCCTGCCACGTGCCAGGGACACACCAATCCTGGGGCGATTTTAGATTAGAAAACTTAGTTTGTAACTTTCCAGCCTTAACCAAGGACATGAATACAGGCCTAGACTCACATAAGGGCCCATTAATAACGTCAAACTATCAAGAGATTTTCCTCCCCTTTCCCCGCTTCCCACAGAGCCAGGAGTGAACAGGACAGTTTTCGAGGAGGTTTCTTGAAGCTCACCCTTCCTGAGTCCCATTTTATGTACTGGGGGAGGGGATGGGGACAGGGGTGCTGTAACCCAGTGTCCTGTTTTCTCGGGTGTGCCCTGCAGGATCCAAGGATGCCCCCAGGACAGCCAGCGGCTCCAAGGGCTCACCCTTCCCTGGATCAGTGTTTCTATTTTGTTCCCGGCCTCTTGGGGGCTTCCCTCACCTGCCTGCAGGCCCCGTCCATTCACTAGGCAGGCGTTCTCACCATCCTTTACCGTGCCTCAGTGCAGTGTGGTAGGAAATAGGACAGTCTCTAGCCCACCACAGTGGATGGTAACTAGACTGTAACTTTATGCTTACAATCAGCAAAAATGAATGTTTTCATTTTTCTCATTTCACCAAACACATGGGGCATGAGGGAATGGCCACTGACGGTAAGGGAAGACCCCACCCTGTCCCCCAGCCCAGGGACTCACCTTGTAACAGGTGACCTGCTCCAGTGGCCGGGGTCCCCGGTTGCCCGCGCTGCTGTTTTGACTCTGCATGACCCCGATGACCTGCGGGGTTCTCTGCTGATTGGGAGAAGAGTTCTGACTCGTTAACTGGATCAAGGAGGACGACCTTTGTAATGGCGGATTGTTACTTTGCTGGAAAGAGTTACACAACACGGTTTTACTGTGGAAAACACGTGCACGCAGACTACCGATGGGGACAGGAAAAAAGAGGGCGGGACTCGTCCCGCAAACGGCAGGAAGCAGGGCTTCCACGACGGCCCACCTCAGGACAGTGGGCAGCAGAGAAACATGTGGTGATGATGGCAGAAGCCACTGCCCGAAAAACACCATGCAGACACACAAAAACGAAAAATAAAATAGAAAACAAAACATCAAAGAGACAAGAGGAGGTCTCTGGGGCAGTGGGGCGAGGGCATGATCAGGCCTTACTTTGGTTTCTGAGGTTCTGGCTTCAGGTCAGGATGAACGCTTGGTTCAGCCAGATGTTTAGCAGCCTACACGGCGAGCAAGTCACAGAAAAACAGTTGGAGCCTGACACACTGAGCTGCGTTCTCGGGCTGAGAGGACCCTCCTCTAGGGAGCCCCACCAGGAGGAGGGCCAGGGCTCCTGGGGTAGGGATTCCACAGCAGGGCCTCCTCCCCACCAGGTGGGCTCCTGGCTCTGGCCCGTAAGTGCAGAACCCGAGCTAGAAAACCCCCAGGTTGGCACGGCTGCACCTACACCTGGAATTCCCGGCTTTCCCCATCAAGAGTTCAATGTGATTGGCGCCTCCACGCAGCTACATCCTCCGCATCCTCTCCTGGCTGTTCAGCCTCTAGCACTGAGCGGGGCTGGTGGGGCTTTGGCAGCCAGTCCAGAGCCCAGCAGGGTAGGAGGTGAGGCATTGGGCTCAGGAGGTGGTTGGGCTTGATGGGCCTGTTGGGAACCCTGCCTGATGCCCGCCCTGCCTTGACGCCAGCCCTTCCTCTTGGCTCAACTCCCGACTCCCATAACCAAACTCAGGGTGCCCTTGGCATTGAGAGGCTGCTGCAGATCCCCATGTGTCTACAGCATTTCCCCCTCTCCTTGTGCTTGAGGGGACGGACCAGCTGCTTGGCTGTGGGGCCCCTCATCTAGAAAACTGGAGCCAGCCGGGCCTGTTCTCGCGCCTCCTCCCAACCTCCACTCCACAGGAGCAGGGGCGGTGCTGGCCAGAGTGGTCAGTTCTGCTGCCACACCTGCTCCTGCCCAGTGGTGTCACCTCAGGCAGGTCCCTCCCTCTGGTAGTCTCGGTTTCCCTATTTGCAAAATAAAGGGTCTGACCCAGGAGCAAGAGCAGCAGACACGGTGCCCAGGCCGCCCTCCATGCCAGCCCCAGGGGCAGACGCTGCTGAACCAGGTTAGCCCCATCTCACAACGGGTGGCCAGTTGCACGGCGCCTGGACTGTGTCTGCTGCTGCGCTTGGCCTTGCTGAGGTTCTAGGGCAAGAGGCCCTCCGTCTCTCGAGGGAGATATACACGGCTTTGCTCCTGACTTTTCTTCGGGAACTTGGGAGACTCCCCTCCTCTCCCAAGTTGTCCAGCGGGGTCTAAGGCAGACCACACCCCTGGGGGACACTGAGGTTCTCGCTGTAGAAAAGGCACTTCCTTCCTACCGAGGAAGGCCAGGCACGGTACCTTTGCTGGAGGCTGTGTCTGCTGCGGCAGTGGGGGCTGCTCGGTGGTTCCCATGGGCAGTTCAAATCGAGGGCTGGTCACCAGCAGCCAGAGGGGATGAGAACAAGAGAAGGAGTGGGGTCAGGGGATGAGAAGAGAAGCCAGGCCATGCTCTTAAATTCCAGCCCTAGGAAAATCACACTCAGCTGCCCCAGCACAAAGTGACTGACACAAGCTGCATGGATGGGGTGGTGGCTGGCACTCAGCTCTGCTCCTGGGAGGCCACAGGAGTGGCGGGGAGAACAGAACTGACTTGCCTGGGCTCAGACCCAACCCTGCCTACACCGAGCTGGGAGACTCATGGCCAGTGCTTCTCGGAAATGACAAAGGCTGTGCTGGTGCGTGCCTGCTGCGCCACAGGAGCTGTACACAGGGAAGCCCCCCTCCCCGCAGGGTCTTACTCTGGCGTCAGCCCCTCCTCCCATCACTTGGTGACGGTCTGCCCCTGAGCCACCTGCAGGTGCCTGCACTCTCATTCAGGGAGTGAGACCCAGTGACAGCACCGGCCACTTCCCTGCAGTGAGAAGCAGGGACCAGGGTTCCCACAGACCTGGAGACTGTTATCCTGCTGTAGGTTCAGCAGTGTGGGCGAGGCAGCCGGGAGGAAGGGAGGCTTGTCTGTGGCCCCAGTGCCACCCCAGGCAGAAGCCCAGGTCCACAACCAAAGTGACAGATGGGCACTGGGCTCCAAGGACAAGAAAATGGAGCCACAAGAGGGGTGCTAACCCCACAGAGCAAGAATTAAAACCCGTCTTCGGAGGCTCACAGACTTGCTATTTATTTATTTTATTTATTTAGAGATGGAGTCTTGCTCTGTCACCCAGGCTGGAGTGCAGTGGCACGATGTTGGCTCACTGCAACTTCCACCTCCTGGGTTCAAGTGATTCTTTTGCCTCAGCCTCCCAAGTAGCTGGGACTACAGGCACGCGCCGCTACACCTGGCTAATTTTTGTATTTTTAGTAGAGACGGGGTTTCACCATATTGGCCAGGCTAGTCTCGAACTCCTGACCTCGTGATCCGCCTTCCTCTGCCTCCCAAAGTTATGGGATTACAGGCGTGAGCCACCACACCCAGCCCAGACTTGCCTTTGACCAGGTGCCACCACCTGCTACCATGTGCCCTTGGCCAGGGACTGAGCCCTGTGCCTCAGTGTGCTGCTGTGTGAAATGGGTGCGTTCTCTCCTACCCTCACTGTTAGACGACTACTTATTCTATGTGAAACCCCAAGCTCAGGGTTTCCTGAGCCTCCACATGGGAGGCTCTGAAATTCTTTCCTTTAGGGCACAGGTTCTTAACTGGAAGTCCCCAAATTCCCTAAATGATATGCAAGGCTACATGTTTGTCTGTATCCCACAGCTTCCATTACATTACCAGATGGCCCATGACCCAAGAAAGATCAGCTCCTGGTCTAGGCAGAGCCACCTGCGGGCTCAGGAAGCATTGGTGGCCATAAGCAGGGATTACTTCCCCATCTCCTGCCCCCACCCTTGGCCCTGGTACTGACATCACCCAGTGACCAAGGCCCAGTTGGCCCAGGGAAGATACGGAGGGCAGCAGGGCCTGGGCCGGGAGCTGGGGTAGAGGGCGGAGCAGCTGGCTACTCACTGCATGAATTTACACGAGGGCCCCTCCGGGCAGAATCCCACGAGGTAATTCACACAGATGACTCTCCGTGTGTGCCGGTGCCTGCAGAGGGGACCTGCAGAGCCAAGTGTCCGGTCACTTAGATGTCCCCTCTACCAGTTAGAGAGCTGGAGCATGGTTTCAAATGCTGGCTGTCCCCCATTCATGGGAGACGGGGCAGGGACCTCACCTCCCAACACTGGCCTCCTTATCAAAAAAGCGGGTGGACCACCACCCACCCAGCATTCTTGGGAGAGGCAAGGGAGATGAGGAGTGTGAGAAAGCCGCTAGCTGCAGAATGTCAGGTTTTGCTGGGACAGGTAGACCAGCTGGCAGCCTCCAGGGTCGTGGGCAGAGAAGGGAGGACTGGCTTCTTGCCCGGGGCCCAGCCCACCCTGGCACCTACCGTGCTTGCAGAAGCCACGGTCATACCAAGGACAGTCCTTGATCTTGGACTCGGGGTCGATGTGCAGGAAGGGACATTCCTTGTTGCTGCACTCCCCTGCAGGGAAACTCAGACGTGAGACCACTGGGAAGGCCGGGGCCAGGCCCACCTTGGCTTCATCCAAGGAAAAGAGGTTCTGGTGTCCAGTTTTGGCCTGACGAGCCCTGAGAGCCAGGGAAGAGTGTTTCTGAGCCCCAGCTTCCTGTGCAGCGGAGCTGTGATGGAAATGCACCCATTGAGACCAGGAAGTTCCATTCTGATTGGCTCTTCACATCTAAGAGCTGGGACAAGGGTAGGGGAAGCACTTGTGGACCTGGCCCTCTCCAAAGCAGCGGACCCCAGGGACCACCAGCACCAAGAACCGCCTTCCTGAGTAGTTGCCCGCTTCCAGGCTCACCTTCTCCAATCCATGTTTACAACTGTGCTCAAAATCCAGAGGAAATGCAAACTCCTTCCCCAGGCCCCTCCGCAGGCTCAGCCTCTGCCACCCCCCAGCCACATGGGTCCCCCTGTACCAGGACCAGCCCCTTCTTAGTCTTCCGCTTCCAGCTCAGGAATCCCCTCATCCTTGACCACTCAGCCTAGAGAAGGTTCTGGTCACGGTTTCCTTCCTTCAAAGCACTTGTCACAAGCAATTTCTTCTCTGTTCGTCTCATGGCCTATCAGCTACCTCTTTCCCTGGACCACAAGAGTGAAGGCTTCACAGGGCAAGGACCTCTTCACCATTGTCCCTCCAGTGCCTGGAAAGGGGGCCCTCAACCCAATGTCTGTGGTGCAGGTGACAGAAGCTGCAGACAGTGCGTCCTGCACCAGGGCTGTCAGCAAGGAAGGAGCGACCCTCAGGCCACTTGTATAGCGGTGCCTTAAGAGCCTGCCCAGGAGAGCCAGCTGCTGCCTCTGGGGACAGATGGGAGGCCACTGCCCCATCCCAGTGCTGCCCCAGTGCTGCTATGGGCAAGGCATCGGGGGGAACATGCTACATTGCACAATGACAGGGACAGCACTTGGGGAGCTGGGAAGCTTGGGTCCTATTTCTTCTCAGCTTATGCCACCTCCACAAAACAAGCCACAGCTCTCATTGATAAGCCAGCAGGCCACGCCTGATGGGATGCTGAAATAATTAATGTCTCCTCCAACAGCAGTGCTTTGAAAGCATGAAGCATACCCTGCACTCCCTGGCTCCCTGCAGGATTCCAGCCTCCTGCCGGGCTCCCTGCACAGGACCAGAGCCAGCCTCACGCTGACCCACAGAGCTGCTTCCCGGGAAACCTGGAAGTGCAGACCTGAGCGGGGACCCTGGGGACTCCTTCCAGCAGGGAGCACATCTCTGCCAGACTCCGTGCCAGCCCCACTGACTCCACCCGGGCTCCCGCTTCTCCACGCAGGCCACTCAGGACAGCTGAGGCCACGCATTCTCTAAGCAGGGCTCAAGGCAAGTTTGTTGCTACCAGAAGACACATCTGAGGCTGTTATTTTGAAGGGCTATTTAGGATGGCTGAGATGTCACCAGGATCATGGCTCCTGGAGAGAAGGAACCAGCTCGGGCCTGAGAGGCAATGCCCACGCTGGAGGGAGAAGTGGGTTTCAGGGAGAAGGTGGACGTGGACAGAAACCAACCACGGACATAATGCAGCCAGCTGCACAACTCGCTGCTTCCGGGTCACCCTCGTTAGCCTCAAATCCGAGTGATTGAAAGAGCTCCAAACACTGAAGCACTCCAAAGTGATGCGCGGGGCCAGGCGTGGTGGCTCACGCCTGTAATCCCAGCACTTTGGGAGGCTGAGGCAGGCAGATCACTCGAGCCCAGGAGTTCAAGACCAGTATGTGAAACATAGCGAGACCCTATGTCTTTAAAAAAAAAAAAAAAAAAAAAGAGATGAGCAGAAAATAGCCACACTGTCCCCTAAAAGCTGGCTGAGGCTGGCAGGTTCTGCCAGAGTTCTCCTCTGAGAATAGAAAGATGGGAAAAGCAGGCAGAGACAGTGTGGGCACTGAGCAGCCAGCGGACCCCTCTGCACCCTGGTTCTCAGCAGAGCCTCCAGGGCTCCAGGCGCCTTACCGAACTTGGAGTAGAAGTAGCACTCGGGCATCTTGGTCATGTCATACTCATGCAGGAACTCACACTGGTCCCCTTTCTTGCATAGGCCACGCAGCCAGTGTTTGCACACAACTGTCTTCTCACCACTGATGTGGCGAAACGGACACATGCCCCCTGCCGGCAAGATAGGGACAGGGTGTCAGCAGAGAGGCCACCCTGAGCCTGGGGGACACGGCCTGAAGAAGCTGAGGTACCTTCACTTCCTAACTCCTGGAGCCACCTGAAGGCATCACGTCCTGGAAAGGGGCAGAGGTCCCCCTCACAGAAGGCAACATGATTTGAGGTACTACACTGACAGACATTTTACATTTTAATAGTTACTCATGGCCGGGCGCAGTGGATCACGCTGGTAATCCCAGCACTTTGGAAGGCCGAGGTGGGCGGATCACAAGGTCAGGAGATCGAGACCATCCTGGCTGGCACGGAGACCATCCTGGCTGTCACGGTGAAATCCTGTCTCTTCTAAAAATACAAAAAATTAGCCGCGCATGGTGGCTGGCGCCTATAGTCCCAGCTACTCGGGAGGCTGAGGCAGGACAACAGCGTGAACCCGGGAGGCGGAGCTTGCAGTGAGCAGAGATCGCGCCACTGCACACCAGCCTGGGCAACAGAGCAAGACACCTTTTCAAAAAAAAAAAAAAAAAAGTTACTCATGATCTCACAGATATTACTGTAAGATGGAGGAATTAAAAGGGGGGAGGTGCTGGGAGGCTGAGGTGGGTAGATCACGAGGTCAGGAGTTCGAGACCAGCCTGGCTGACATGGTGAAACCCCATCTCTACTAAAAGTACAAAAAAAATTAGCCCGGCTTGCGGGTGGGTGCCTGTAATCCCAGCTACTTGGGAGGCTGAGGCTGGAGAATCGCTTGAACCCAGGAGGCGGAGGTTGCAGTGACCGGAGATCACGCCATTGCACTCCAGCCTGGATGACAAGAACAAAACTCTGTCTCAAAAAAAAAAAAAAGAAAAAAAAAAAGAAAGGAACTTGGCCGGGTGTAGGAGCTCAAATCTATGATCCTAGCACTTTGGAAGGCCAAGACAGGAGAATCACTTGAGCCAAGAAGTTCGAGATCAGCCTGAGATCTTGTCTTCACTACATAAATAAATAAGTAAGTAAGTAAGTAAGCCAGCCAAGCAAGCTTGGGGACCAGGCACAGTGGCTCACACCTGCAATCGCAGTAGTTTGGGAGGCCAAGGCAGGTGCATCACCTGAGGTCAGGAGTTCGAGACCAGCCTGGCCAACATAATGAAACCCTGTCTCTACTAAAAATACAAAAAATTAGCTGGG
The DNA here is from genome assembly GCF_000001405.40 of Homo sapiens. NCBI lineage: Eukaryota > Metazoa > Chordata > Mammalia > Primates > Hominidae > Homo > Homo sapiens. The sequence goes on along the minus strand of NC_000007.14, from coordinate 99,446,947 downwards.
CGTGGTGGTGTGCACCTGTAATCCCAGCTACTCAGGAGGCTGAGGCAGGAGAATTGCTTGAACCCAGGAGGCAGAAGTTGCAGTGAACCAAGATGACACCACTGCACTCCAGCCTGGGCAACAAGAGCAAAACTCCGTTAAAAAAAAAAAAAAAAAAAAAAAAAAAAAAAAAAAAAGCTGGGTATGGTGGTGTACACCTGTAGTCCTGGCTACTGAGGAGGCTGAGGTGGGAGGATCACTTGGGCCCAGGAGGTCAAGCTTGCAGTCAGCTATGACTGTGCCACTGCACTCCAGCCTGGGTGACAGAGTAAGATGCTGCCTCTTTTTTAAAAAAAAAAAAAAAGGAAAGACCAATTTCAGAATTGAGGAAATGTGATGTATACACATGGAGGGACGTGTCCCTTCTGGGACAGGACCTGATGGGACAGAGCCAGCCTCTGGGGATGTGTGAGACTTCTAACGGGTGGCCTGGCAAGACCACCATGGAGGTCCGACCAGAATGAGGCCGCTGTACACTTCTGCTGTCCAATATGGCAGCTGCTAGCCCCATGTGACTACTGAGCACTTGAAATATGACTAGTGTGTCTGAGAATTTTGTTTTAAATGTGATTTGATTTTACTTAAATTTGAACTGCCACATGTGACTAGTGGCTACTGTATTAGTCAACAGAGAGACAGAATGCCCTGTGTTAGGGATGGCTGTGCTAACAGAAGGTGGCTGGTCAGAAGGGCAGAATTACTGAGCAAAGACATGGGAATGAGACCAGAAACTCAGTGGAGGTAATGACGTTCTGACTGGACAGTGTGAAGGTGGCCTGGCTGATCTGCCAGAAAGTCTCCTACCTCAGTGGTAAATGACTACGTTATAGAAGCAAAACTCACCAAAACCATTCATTAAAACCAGCCCTTTGCTCTGATTCTCTGCTCTCTTTTTCAAGCTTCTGATTAATATTTAAGTCTCCTAAATAAATTTTCCTACAGGGAGAAAAATGCCCAGACCATGGAAAGTTTAGGTTGTACCTAGTGATACTTCTTTCTTTCTTTTTTTTTTGTTTTGTTTTGTTAAGACAGAGTCTCACTCTGTTACCTAGGCTGGAGTGCAGTGGTGCGATCTTGGCTCACTACAACCTCTGCCTAACAGGTTCAAGTGATTCTCCTGCCTCAGCCTCCCCAGTAGCTGGGATTACAGACGGGCGTCACCATGCCCAGCTAATTTTTGAATTTTTAGTAGAGACGATGTTTCACCATGTTGGCCAGGCTGGTCTCAAACTCCTGACCTCAGGTGATCCATCCACCTCGGCCTCCCAAAGTGCTGGGATTACAGGCGTAAGCCACCACGCCTGACCCCTAGTGATACTTCTGATGGATTAGCCCGGCCCACATACAATTATTAAAAGAGCACAGCCAGAGGGGTAACAAGATGGCGACCAAGACAGTGGAGCTCCATAAGCTGAAGCTTGCTGAACTAAAGTAAGAATGAATGTCTTGCTCGTGGTTTGGAGACGAGCAAATAAAGCAAGATTTTTTTTTTTTTTGAGATAGAGTCTTGCTCTGTTGCCAGGCTGGAGTGCAATGGCACGATCTCGGCTCACTGCAACCTCTGACTCCCTGGTTCAAGGGATTCTCGCACCTCAGTAGTTTTGTGTAGTCTGTGTTGAGGGCTGGTTATCGAGAACAAGACCCCGCAAGATGGGTTATCATGGGGTGTTTCGATGGGAGGCCACAGAAAACCATGAGCCAGTGGAAACTATGGAATGAGAAAGACCTGGGTTCAGACACTGGGCTCTGCCGCTTATTAACTCTGTGACATTGAGAAAGTTCCTGAGTGTCTCAATGCTGGGGGCTTCTCTCCATGTCACAGGTCAGCTTGTGGCCACGGGGAATGCGAAGTGATAAGGCAGCCTTAGAGCCAGGTTCAGTCCTGCGTTTAGGTTTCAGGTGGAACACCCCATCAGGGTCCTAGCCTGTCCAAACCAGTTTTATCTACAGAGATCGTTAGTCTGTAGAAAGCAATGTAAGCCAGAGACCTGGCGGCCTCCAAGTCTGCCGGGGAGAAGGAGGTGGGAGGGCGCCTCCGGAGGCACATCAGGGAGCCCGGAGTTTCTTACCTTTGCCGCAGGCAGCTTTCAAAAAGAATTCACAGACAGCAGCGCCCGACTCTGTAGAAAGGAGAGAAAAGGAGAGGAATCAAAGAGGTGCAATTTGCTATTGACAATGTCTGAAGACAGTGGGAGGGAACCCTTCTGACCTCTGACCCACCAAGGGTTCAGGGTACAGGAAATAAAGTAGCAAAAATTTGCAAAGCCCAACCAAGCAAGGAAGAAGCTGCTTAAGTTAGTCACGCCCTACAAAATGAGACACATACATTGAGAACAGTCATTACCCAGTGCTTTGAGAGCCTCCTGTATATAAGATCCTTTCAAGGAGTTAAGAGTGGGTGGGGAAAGGAAGGCTGGAGTACGAGATCACAGAAATAATTTTTTTTTTTTTGAGATGGGGTTTCGCTCTAGTTGCCTGGGCTGGAGTGCAATGACGCGATCTTGGCTCACTGCAATCTCTGCCTCCCAGGTTCAAGCAATTCTCTTGCCTCAGCCTCCCAAGTAGCTGGGATTACAGGTGCCTGCCACCACGCTTGGCTAATTTTTGTATTTTTAGTAGAGACGGGGTTTCACCATGTTGGCCAGGCTGGTCTCGAACTCTTGACTTCAGGTGATCCACCCACCTCGGCCTCCCAAAGTGCTGGGATTACAGGCGTTGAGCCAAAGTGCCTGACACACAGGAATAAATTAACGGCCCCTAGCTCACACCTTCCTCCAGGAGGGCGAATTCACAGATACCTTAACATGAGGCAGAGGGAAGGAATGATCTCACAGACGTACAGACAATCAGGGCCTCTGAGGAGGGTCAGGCTTCAAGGAAGAGGCAGTGCCTCTGAGATGCTAGTCCAGGGGGAAGCACATTAAGTGCAGAAACAGAGGACTGCTTTTAATATGCAACATCCGTACACAATTTTTTTTTTCTATTTTTTTGAGACAGAGTCTCGCTCTGTCGCCCAGGCTAGAGTGTGGTGGTGCGATCTTGGCTCACCGTAACCTCTGCCTCCTTGGTTCAAGAGATTCTCCTGCCTCAGCTTCCTGAGTAGCTGGAATTATAGGTGTACCATCATGCCTGCCCAATTTTTTTGTATTTTTAGTAGAGATAGGGTTTTGCCATGTTGGCCAGGCTGGTCCCAAACTACTGGCTTCAAGTGATCCACCTACCTTGGCCTCCCAAAGTGCTGGGATTATAGACGTGAGCCACCACACCTGGCCCACATACAATTATTACAGGCTGGTCTCGAACTCCTGACCTCGTGATCCGCCTGCCTTGGCTTCCCAAAGTGCTAGGATTGAGCCACCGCACCCCACCCCACATACAATTATTAAAAGAGCACACCCGGAGGGGTAACAAGATGGTAACTGAGATGGTGGAGCTCCATAAGCTGAAGCTTGCTAAACTAAAGCAAGAATGTCTTCTTGTGGTTTGGAGACCAAGGGAATAAAGCAAGATCTTATCCACAGACTCCAGGCATATCTTGAAGAACATGCTGAAGAGGAGGCAAATGAAGATGTACTAGGAGATGAAACAGAAGAAGAAAAAAACCCCTTGTCAAATAGGAAGAACCCCCTGAAAAAAACTGTTGATGTGGCAGCAGAGAAGAAAGTGGTGAAAATTACATCTGAAATACCACAGGCTGAGAGAATGCAGAAGAGGGCCGAACAATTCAGTGTACCTGTGAGCTTGGAGAGTAAGAAAGCTGCTCAGGCAGCTAGGTTTGGGATTTCTTCAGTTCCAACAAAAGTCTGTCATCTGAACACACCTATGGTTAACTTGGATAAGCCGAAGGAAAGAGCTCAAAGATTTGGTTTGAATGTCTCTTCAATTTCCAGAAAGTCTGAAGATGATAAGAAACTGAAAAAGAGGAAGGAGCGATTTGGGATTGTCACAAGTTCAGCTGGAACTGGAACCACAGAGGATACAGAGGCAAAGAAGAGGAAAAGAGCAGAGCGCTTTGGCATTGCCTGATGAAAGGTTCTTGATACTTTCTGTTCTCCAGTGTTTTCCACTTCTCTCATTCTTCTTGGTCACATATATACTAAATGCAGTCTTGCCTTGCAATGAGGGAGCAGGTACCCCAGGTAAAACTGTGAACTGCCGCGGCAGTTTGACTTATTGCTGTTTCAGCTTTAAGGTTGTTGTGTTTTTGTTTTTGATTATATTGCTTGTTTTTTGTTTTTTTTTTTTTTTTTTTTGAGACGGAGTCTCGCTGTTGCCCAGGCTGGAGTGCAGTGGTGTGATCTCGGCTCACTGCAGGCTCTGCCCCACCGGGGTTCACACCATTCTCCTGCCTCAGCCTCCCGAGTAGCTGGGACTACAGGCACCCGCCACCTTGCCCAGCTAATTTTTTGTATTTTTAGTAGAGACGGGGTTTCACCGTGTTAGCCAGGATGGTCTCGATCTCCTGACCTCGTGATCCGCCCGCCTCGGCCTCCCAAAGTGCTGGGATTACAGGTGTGAGCCACAACGCCCGGCCGATTATGTTGCTTGTTAATAAAAAAGAAAAGAAAAGAAAAAAAAAGCACAGCCTTTCATTCCCACAGTCGGAGTGTGCTGGAATTCAGTGGGCTCCAGGGACCAGCTGTTCTGATGAGTCCAGGAATTCACCAGCCCCAGCTGCCAGACTAAACTGACCTTGGCATCAGAAACAGTTTCCTCTACAAGTAACCATTTTAGAATTGCTGAAAAACCAATGACAGCATCTCTGAAGCCCACTTAACATGCCTCCCCTTGCTAAATCACAAAAGATTCCTTGGCTTCTTGGAAGCAAGCAGATTTTGCTAGGACACAGCTGAGGTTATAGAACTTATGGCTGTCACAGGGAGGTCACTCCATTTGCATCTCAAAAAGTCTGAAAGTGGCCAGGTGCGGTGACTCACGTCTGTAATCCTAGCACTTTGGGAGGCTGAGGCGGGTGGATCACTTGACATCAGGAGTTCAAGACCAGCCTGGCCAATATGGTGAAACCCCATCTCTACTAAAAATGCAAAAATTAGTCAGACATGGTGGCACGTGCCTGTAATCCCAGCTACCTGGGAGGCTGAGGCAGGAGAATCACTTGAACCCAGAGGCAGAGGTTGCAGTGAGCCAAGATCGCGTCACTGTGCTCCAGCCTGGGTAACAGAGCAAGACTCTGTCTCAAAAAAAAAGAAAAAAAAAATTCTGAAAGTACTTCTGGTCTCTCTCTTTAGAGGTTAGAGTTGCTTCTGCTCAGAAATACACAGTTCTGGGAACTGAGTCTCATGTGGATAGGATGAGTATGCCTTATGGGCAAAGTGACAGTTCTTCCCAAAACTCAGATGGGGATGAAGAGGAGGGATGGGTGAGGAAGGGCTGTGGCCTCACTAGGCTTTAACTGAACAGGATATGGACAAGCAGCGAGTGTGGAGGGTGCCTACCGACTCTGAAGCCCTGGCTGGAGCAACACCCATGGCTAGGTGTGTCCCGGGCCTCAGGAACAGGTATGTGGGCCCCTCGCCACTGTACCTCCCCTCACAGGCTTGTGGATGTGTCAGATGGCAGAAGGGTGGGAGGAAAAGAGCTGCCCTGCGTGGGTGGTTCCATGGTCTCAAGCTAGTGCCATCAAGACAGGAAAAGGCCGGCTGGGCACAGTGGCTTATGCCCGTAATCCCAGCACTTTGGGAGGCCGAGGCAGGTGGATCATTTAAGGTCAGGAGTTCAAGACCAGCCTGGCCAACATGGTGAAACCTCATCTCTACTAAAAATACAAAAATTAGTTGGGCGTGGTGGTGGGCGCCTATAATCCCAGCTACTCAGGAGGCCAAGGCAGCAGAACTGCTTGAACCTGGGAGGTGGAGGTTGCAGTGAGCCGAGATCGCACCATTGCACTCCAGCCTGGGTGACAAAAGCAAAACTCTGTCTCAAAAAAAAAAAAAAAAAAAAGACAGGAAAAGGCCACATGTGCAGGGATGATCACAAGAGTCGAGGGGTAGGTAAGAGGGGGTGTGTGTGTGTGAATTTGAGCAGCTGCTTTTTAGGGAGTGTACAGTGGTGATGGTGTTTGTGCCTGTGTCAAATAGGGTGGTCTGATGATGTCTCCTTATAAGCACTATCTTGTCTTCTTGAAGACTTAATTAATTTCCAATGAAACTATCTTGTACAGAACTATCACCATGTAAAGTTGTGGGACAGGCAGGAAAAAAAAAAAAAAAAAAATATATATATATATATATATGCCAGGTGCAGTGGCTCATGCCTATAATCCCAGTACTTCCGAAGGCCGAGGTAAAAGGATCACTTGAGCCCAGGAGTTCAAGACCAACCCTGGGAAACATGATGAAATAGTGTCTCTACCAAGAAATACACACAAAAAAATTTGCCAGGCGTGTTGGTGCATGCCTGTGGTCCCAGCTACTTGGGAGACTGAGGTGGGAGGATTGCTGGAGCCTGGGAAGTCGAGGCTGCATTGAGCCATGATTGCGTCACTGCACCCAGCCTGGGCGACAGAGGGGCCCCTGTCTCAAAAGCAAACAAACAACAACAACAAAAACACATAAAGGGACAGACTCAGAGGTCACATGTGCATGAGAAGGTGTGACCGCCTGAGGGGAGTGAGGCTGCTGGGAGCGGTGGGAGACCCCGCTGGTAGTTGTGGGCGACAGCACACAACACTGGAGAGCTTGCCCGCCTCTGCTATGCACTGAGTGATTGTCAGCAAGTCCCTTCCCCCGCTTGGGTCTCAGTTTCCCCATCTGTGGATTGAACTCAGTGACTTCCACAAGCCCCCAAACTTTAAGGTTATAGCATTAGATTTCAAGTATGTCCAGATAGGAAAGAAGACACAAAGAAAACTACTGGTTTCTTTTAAAGTACAAGATATCCCACCGAGTAGGAGGTGGGAAGCCAGGAGCCACCATATGAAGGGGAGCAGTGAAGGGAGTTCAGGCCAAGGGTCCACACCAGCTGCTGGGTGTGATGAATAACTCAGAGTTGGGGTCCAGAAAAAAGTAGGGACGGGCCAAAAACTAGGGATGAGCTCCCAGGAGAGTGAGTCCTAGAAGGGAGTTTGAGAGTCTAGCTGGGGTCTCCTACAGAAAGGTGGTCCTTCCCTCAGCACATCTCCTCCAACCGCCTAGTTTTGATGAAATCAAGAAGAGACGCTCAACGTAGCGGGTGTGATATCCTAGTACTCTCCTGCAGTTGGGAGAGTGTTGAGGGAGAGTTCCAATCCAGGATAACCCACCCTTATTCAAGAATTAAGCGAACAGACAAGGTCTACCCTCCTACAGATTACCTTTGAACAGCCGCAGAGGGCCAAAGATCCGAGGCAGTGAACTCCTGAGTCCGAGTGAGGGTAAAAGGAGTCCCCAGACGGTGGAAATGGGGGCCTGGGAGTCAGGAGTCCTGAAACCAAGGGGAGCGTCCCGGGATCCAGAAGAGGAGGTCTCAGGATGGAGTGGGAAGAGTCTCGGGACCACAGATGAGGGAGTTCGGTAACTAAAGGGGAGGATCCCAGGACCCGGAGGAGGTGGGAGGGACTCTCAAGACCTAGAGGGAGGAGTCCTGCGACCAAAGGGGAGGGGTCCCAGGATCCAGAGGAAGCCGGGGGAGGTCTCAGGACCGAGGCGAGGGAGTCCCGGGATCACAGAGGAGCGGGTCCCGGGTTCGAGTCGCTCTTGCCCTCCCGCCCGGGCCCCGCGCTCACTGTCCATGCCGGGGAAGGGCAGCGGCTGCGCCCCCAGCTGCTGCTCCACCGCGATCTCCAAGTCAAACTTGATGTGGTCCACGCTGGCGATGATTTCCTGCATGGCGGCGGCGGCGGCCCCACCGGCCCGGCTCCCCCTCGGTCTCCTGCAGCCTTCTCGCCTTTACCCGCCGCCGGCCCCGCCGCACACACTCCTCCTTCGCTTCGCCTCGCCGCCGCCGCCGCCGCCGCCCGAGGGATGCCGGGAGCGCCCGGAGCCCGCGCCGGCCCTTGCGCCTGTCCAGGCACTGCCAATCGAGACTCCGCCGTTCCGCTAGTCCCAGCTAGCCGCCAGCCGAACACCGGCCTCGCCAGAAACCTGAAACCAGCCGCGTGAGTCGGCGACGCGGATTGCGCCTGCGCGCTTGGGGAGAGGGGGACCCGAGGAAGAGACTGGTTCGCCGCGGGGACCGGGCAGGGCTCCCCGTCGGAGTGCACTGCGCCGGACACTTCAAGTGAGTTCCTGTGTGATCCTCGCAGGAGCCCCGGGACCCGGGCCAAGACACGCCAGAGGGGAAGGAAGTGCCCGAGCCGGGATTGGAGCCGGGGGCGTCTGAGGAGGGAAACTGAGGCTGCAGAAGTCCGTGTGGAGAGGGGTCGGCGTTGGCCTGAGGGTCCGGGTGGGCCTCTGAGGAGGGGCGGGTCTCTCCGAGGAAGGACGGCCGCAGCGTGTCTCTAATTCAGGGTTTTTTCTCGCTCTGTGGCCCAGGCTGGAGTACAGGGGTACGATCATAGCTCACTGCAGTCAACTTCTCAGACTCAAGCGATCCTCCCACCTCAGCCTCCCGAGTAGCTGGAACTACAGACGCTGCACCACCACACTTGGCTAATTTTTAAAATTTTATTTTTAATTTTTGTAGAGACGGCGGGGTTGGGGGGGCGGGTGGCGGGTCTTGCTATGTTGCCCAGGCTGGTCTCGAACTCCTGGCCCCAAGCCCAAAGCGATCCTCCTGCCTGGGCCTCCCAAAGTGCTGGAATTGCAGGCATGAGCCACTATACAGCCTAATTCAGGGTTTTTTTTAACCAGGGTGGGGTAATGAGCTTGTGTAGGAACAAAATGCACCCCTATTTTTCTCTATGTGAAGTATAGCATTTCCTTTCCTGATTGCTGGAGCAGCCTTAGCAGTGCCTGAAACTGTGAGGGTGAGTGTAAATGATAGTTCCAGATAACAGTTTGTGCAGGGCCAGGCATGGTGGCTCACACCTGTAACCTCAGCACTTTGGGAGTCTGAGGCGAGAGGATCACGTGAGGTCAGGAGTTCGAGACCAGCCTGGACAGGATGGCAAAACCCCGTCCCTACTGAAAATATAAAAATTGGCCTGGAGTAGTGGCGCGTTCCTGTAATCCCAGCTACTTGGGAGGCTGAGGCATGAGCATGGCTTAAACCCGGGAGGCAGAGGTTGCATTGAGCCGAGATTGTACCACCCCACTCCAGCCTGGTGACAGAGTGAGACGCAAAAAAACCCAGTTTGTGCAGCAACTACAAGGTGGTATCTTAAGCTGTCACTTACATTTATTACTGCTTTGAAATTATGATAGAGTCGGCCGGGCGCGGTGGCTCACGGCTGTAATCCCAGCACTTCGGGAGGCCGAGGCGGGCGGATCACAAGGTCAAAAGATCCAGACCATCCTGGCCAACATGGTGAAACCCTGTCTCTACTAAAAATACAAAAATTAGCTGGGCTTGGTGGCATGCGTCTGTAGTCCCAGCTCCAGGGGAGGCTGAGGCAGGAGAATCGCTTGAATCCGGGAGGCGGAAATTGCAGTGAGCCGAGGTCACGCCTGAGGACAGAGTGAGAGACTGTCTCAAAAAAAAAAAAAGAAAAGAAAAGAAATTATGATAGGGTCTTGTTATTTCATGCATTGAAAATAAGCATCTATACTAGTATAGCAGAAATTTGTTTTTAAAGCATTTTGATGCCATTTCAATATCATTGCTTTTTGTTTTGTAATTCTGTGTATTGTAATTAATGCACGTAAGGCAGGGCATGGAGGCTTACGCCTGCAATCCCAACACTTTGGGAGGCCAAGGCTGGAGGATTGCTTGAGGCCAGGAGTTCTAGACCAGCCTGGCAACATAGGGAGACTCCATCTCTACAAAAAAATACAAAAAATTAGACAGGTATGGTGGTGTGCACCAGTAGTGCTAGTTAATTGAGAGGCTGAGGTAGGAGGATCACTTGAGCCCAGGAGTTGGAGGTTGCAGTGATTGTGCATTTGCACTCCACTGTGCCATCGCACTCCAGCCTGGGCAACATGAAGACCCCATTCCACAAAAAAGAAAATTACATAAACACCATGCTTGTAAGAAGGAGTGGCAGGGCTTGCCAGATGCAGAATGATAAAGGCCCCCTGCACTAGTTTCACAAAAGGTGCTGGTCAGGACAATCATCAATGCGTTACATGGACCTGAGTTCAAAGCCAGCCCAGCCCAAGCTGGCCAGTCTCACCCACTGCACTGCTGCAGGACCCCAGCAAGTCTCTCCCCTTGCTGGGCCTAGTTTTTTGTTTGTTGTTGTTGTTGTTGTTTTGAGATGGAGTCTTGCTCTGTCGCTCAGGCTGGAGTGCAATGGCGCGATCTTGGCTCACTGCAACCTCTGCCTCCCACGTTCAAGTGATTCTCCTGCCTCAGCCTCCCAAGTAGCTGGGATTACAGGGGCACGCTGTCACGCCCAGCTAATTTTTATATTTTCGGCAGAGATAGGGTTCACCACGTCAGGCTGGTCTCGAACTCCTGACCTGAGGGGATCCACCCACCTTGGCCTCCCAAAGTGCTGGGATTACAGGCGTGAGCCACCGCTCCTGACCTACTGGGCCTAGTTTTTAATCTGTTCAATCTGCCATCACTTGTAAGACTTTTCCAATCGCAACCTTCTAATATAACCAGACTCTAAAATACTTTAGGCTGGGCATGGTGGCTCATTGCTGTAATCCCAGTGCTTTGGGAGGTCGAGGCGAGAGGATTGCTTGAGTCCAGGAGTTCAAGACCAGCCTGGGCACATAGCAAGACCCTGTCTCTACCAAAAAATAAAATTAGCCAGGCATAGTGGCTCACACCTGTAGTTCCAGCTACTCGGGAGGCTGAAATGGGAGGATCGCTTGAGCACAGGAGGGTGGGGCTGCAGTGAGCTATGTCTGACCTGAACCTAGGCTTTCTAACCTCTGGGCCCATACTTCTTATTTTATTTATTATTATTATTTTTTTTTTTTTCTGAGACAGAGTCTCACTGTCACTCAGGCTGGAGTGCAGTGGCGCGATCTCAGCTCACTGCAAGCTCCGTCTCCTGGGTTCAAGCGATTCTCCTACCTCAGTCTCCTCAGTAGCTGGGATTAGACGTGTAGCACCACACCCAGCTCATGTTTTTTGTATTTTTAGTAGAGATGGGGTGTCGCCAGGCTGGTCTTGAACTGATCTGCCCGCCTCGGCCTCCCAAAGTGCTGGGAGTGCAGGCATGAGCCACCGCCCCTGGCCTGTTCTTTTTCTTTCTTTCTTTTCTTTTTTTTTTCGAGACAGAGTCTCACTCTGTCACCCAGGTTGGAGTATGGTGGCGCAATCTCAGCTCACTGCAAGCTCCATCTCCCAGGTTCAGGTGATTCTCCTGCCTCAGCCTCCTGAGTAGCTGGGATTACAGGCGCACAGCACCAAGCCTGGCTAATTTTTGTATTTTTCATAGAGACGGGGTTTCACCATGTTGTCCAGGCTGGTCTCAAACTCCTGACCTCAAGTGATATGCCAGCCTCGACCTCCCAAAGTGCTGGGATTACAGGCATGAGCCACCGCGCCTGGCCTGGGCCCATACTTGTAACCACTTCTTTCTTTCTGCCTTTTGTTACTAGGAACTGAGTTGACTCTCTTATTTTTCCTGATATATTCCAGGCCCTGGAGGGACAGGAAAGCCAGAAATGGACTTCGTGAGACTCGCTCGACTGTTCGCCAGGGCCCGCCCCATGGGACTGTTCATCCTGCAACACCTGGACCCCTGTAGAGCCAGGTGGGCAGGAGGCAGGGAGGGGCTGATGCGGCCAATGTGGGCGCCCTTCAGCAGCTCCTCCTCTCAGCTGCCCCTCGGCCAGGAGCGTCAGGAAAACACGGGCAGCCTGGGCTCTGACCCGAGCCACTCCAACTCCACGGCCACGCAGGAAGAAGACGAGGAGGAGGAGGAGAGTTTTGGGACCCTCTCTGACAAATACTCCTCCCGGAGACTATTCCGCAAATCCGCAGCCCAGTTCCATAACCTGCGGTTTGGGGAACGGAGAGATGAGCAAATGGAACCGGAGCCCAAATTATGGCGAGGCCGGAGAAACACCCCGTACTGGTACTTCTTGCAGTGCAAACACCTGATCAAGGAAGGGAAGGTAAGGGGCACTTTGGGTTCTGTGGCTCCTGGCTTCTTTCCCCTGGTGGCTCAGTGTTTTGCAAGGGGTCACCTGACTTTCCCAGCCTCTAAGTTTTGGGCCTACCCTGTTGAACTGCCAGCCTTATGGCTGTAAGTATCGCAACCCTTTGCCATCCTCCACCGCAGTTTTATTTTATTGTATTTTTTTTTTTTTGTAGAGACGGAGGTTGCACTGAGCTGATCTTACCACTAGACTCCAGCCTGAGTCACAGAACAAGAGTCTGTCTCAAAAAAAAAAAAAGGAAAAAGAAAAGTGAATCCTCCACACCCTTCTAGCACTCCCTGCTTTAGGTTTTTTTTATAACAGGATCTCACTCTGTCGCCCAGGCTGGAGTGCAGTGGCACGATCTTGGCTCACTGCAGCCTCCGCCTCCTGGGGAATTCAAGCAATTCTCCCATCTCAACATCCTGAGTAGCTGGGATTACAGGCATGTGCCACCACACCTGGCCAATTTTTGTATTTTTAGTAGAGATGGGGTTTCTCCATGATGGCCAGGCTGGTCTCAAACTCCAGACCTCAGGTGATCCGCCCGCCTTGGTCTCCCGAAATGCTGGGACTACAAACATGAGCCATTACACCTGGCCGCTGCTTTAGTTTTGTTCGTACCACCTGTCATCACTTGATATACTGTGTGTCTTTCTTAATTATCCCATTTCATGTCTGTCTGGTTTGTTTTTTTGTTTTTTTTTTTTTTTTGAGATGGAGTCTTGTACCGTCACCCAGGCTGGAGTGCAGTGGTGAAATCTTGGCTCACCGTAGCCTCTGCCTCCCGGGTTCAAGCAATTCTTCTGCCTTAGCCTTCCAAGTAGCTGGGATTACAGGTGTGTGCCACCATGCCTGGCTAATTTTTGTATTTTTAGTAGAGACGGGGTTTCACCATGTTGGCCAGGCTGGTCTCGAATTCCTGACCTTGTGATCTGCCCGCCTCAGCCTCCCAAAGTGCTGGGATTACAGGCGTGAGCCACTGCGCCTGGCCTCATGTCTGACTTTCCACACCAAAACATGAGCTCCAAGAAGGAGCTCTCTCTTGTTCCCAGCCGTATATGCAGTGGATAGACCTTGTCTGGCTCATTGAAGCACTCAGTAATTATTGTTTGAATGAACAGATGAAAATAATGAAGGAATAAAGGAATGAACTGAGGCTTCACCGGGGAAATGGTGTGAGGTGAGGGATGGGGCAGAAACAGCTGGGGGCCCAGGGGGTTTGCAGTCACCCAGGGCCGCCGTTCTCCACCATTTTAGGAGGGTCCCTCAGCTTCAACCTCCCTCTCTCTGCTGAGGGTCTCTGGGGCCATTCTGAGCCCCTGCCCTGTTGCCTCTTCCCTGCAGCTGGTTGAAGCCCTGGACCTGTTTGAGAGGCAGATGCTGAAGGAGGAGCGATTGCAGCCCATGGAGAGCAACTACACGGTGCTGATTGGGGGCTGCGGGCGGGTTGGCTACCTGAAGAAGGCCTTCAACCTCTACAACCAGGTGCATGTGGGCGCAGGGCAGCCGGGGTGAGGCTCTGAAAAGCTGGGGGCGGATCCCAAGTGTGCCACTTGCTAGTGCTTTACACTGGGCAGGTGACTTCACCTCCCTGGCCTCAGAGTCATCTCCTTAAAATGGTGGTGATTGTGGGTGATAAACGAGATGACATGGAAAGCCCTTTAGCACCTGCCTGGACTGTGGCGGTCCCCATGTTCCCTTTCTTTTCCCTTCAAAAAAAAACAGAGGGAGCCTCACTCTGTCACCTAGGCTGGAGTGCAGTCATAGCTCACTGCAGCCTCCAACTCCTTGGCTCAAGAGTTCCTCCTGCCTCAGCCTCGCCAGTAGCTGTGAGCACAGGTGTGTAGCACCATATCTGGCTAATTTTTAAGTTTTTTGTAGAGGTGGGATTGTGCTGCTTTGTCTAGGCTGGTCTCTAACCCCTGGCCATCCGCCTCAGCCTCCCAAAGTGCTGGGATTACAGGTCACAGCCCAGCCACCGCATCTGCTCCTCTGAAGGGGGCCAGCCCCTCCACACCTGTGGGCGTTTCTCGTCAGGTGGGACGAGAGACTGAGAAAAGAAATAAGACACAGAGACAAAGTATAGAGAAAGAACAGTGGTCCCCTGGGACCGGTGCTCAGCATACGCTCAGCATCCCGCATACGGAGGACCTGCGCATACGGAGGACCTGCGCTGCGCAGGCACTGGTCTCTTGAGTTCCCTCAGTATTTATTGATCACTATCTCTACCATCTCGGAGAGGGGGATGTGGCAGGACGATAGGGTAATGGGGAGAGGGTCAGCAGGAAAATATGTGAGCAAAGGTCTCTGTGTCATAAATAAGTTTAAGGAAGGGTGCTGTGCTTTGATGTGCACCTACACAACATCTCGTGCATCAAAGAGCAGTATTGTCTCCAGCAGGTCCCACCTCCAGCCCTGAGGCGGTTTTCGCCTATCTCAGTAAATAGAACACACAATCTGGTTTTACACCCAAGACATTCCATTCCCAGGGACGAGCAGGAGACAGATGCCTTCCTCTTATCTCAACTGCAAAGAGGCCTTCCTCTTTCACTAACCCTCCTCAGCACAGACCCTTTATGGGCGTCGGGCTGGGGGACAGGCTGGGAGACAGTCAGGTCTTTCCCTTCCCACGAGGCCATATCTCAGGCTATCACATGGGGAGAAACCTTGGACAATACCTGGCTTTCCTGGGCAGAGGTCCCTGCGGCCTTCCGCAGTGTATTGTGTCCCTGGGTACTCGAGATTGGAGAATGGCGATGACTTTTATCAAGCCTACTGCCTTCAAGCACTTTTTTAACAAAGCACACCCTGCACAGCCCTAAATCCATTAAACCTTGAGTCAACACAGCTCATGTCTCTGCAAGCACAGGGTTGGGGCTAGGGTTACAGTTTAACAGCATCTCAAGGCAGAAGAATTTCTCTTAGTACAGAACAAAATGGAGTTTCTTGTGTCTACTTCTTTCTACATAGACACAGTAACAGTCTGATCTCTCTTTCTTTTTCCTACAGTCCTTTTTTTTTGGAGACAGAGTCTCGCTCTGTCGCCCAGGCTGGAGTGCAGTGGTGCGACCTCGGCTCACTGGAACCTCCGCCTCCTGGGCTCGAGCAGTTCTCATACCTCAGCCTCCCGAGTAGCTGGGACTACAGGCGCACATGCCACCATGCCTGGCTCATTTTGTTTGTATTTTTAGTAGAGACAGCATTTCACCATGTTGGCCAGGCTGGTCTCTTGACCTCAAGTGGTCCACCCGCCTTGGCCTCCCAAAGTGCTAGAATTACAGGCGTGAGCCACCGCACCCAGCCCATTACATCTATTTTAAAAAACTATTATTTTTGGCCAGGTGCGGTGGCTCACACCTGTAATCCCACCATTTTGGGAGCCCAAAGTGGGCGGATCACGAGGTCAAGAGATTGAGACCATCCTGGCCAACATGGTGAAACCCTGTCTCTACTAAAAATACAAAATTTAGCTGGGCGTGGTGGCACGTACCTGTAGTCCCAGCTACTCAGGAGGCTGAGGCAAGGGAATCACTTGAACCCAGGAAGTGGAGGGAGGTCGTAGTGAGCCGAGATCACGCCACTGCACTCTAGCCTGGCGACAGAGTAAGACTCCATCTCAAAAAAAAAGAAAAAAAACTAATATTTTTATTGTTTTTATTTATTTTATTTTATTTATTTATTTTTTTGAGACGGGAGTTTTGGCTCTGTCACCCTGGCTGGAGTGCAGTGGTGCGACCTCGGCTCAATGCAACCTCCACCTCCCAGGTTCAAGCAATTCTCCTGCCTCAGCCTCCCGAGTAGCTGGGATTAAAGGCGCCCACCACCATGCCTGGCTAATTTTTTTGTGTTTTTTGTAGAAGACGGGGTTTCGCCATGTTGGCCAGGCTGGTCTCGAACTCCTGACCTCAGGTGATCTGCCCACCTCAGCCTTCCAAAGTGCTGGGATTATAGGCGTGAGCCACGGCACCCAGCCTTGTTACTGTTTTTGGTGACTCACCTGCAGTGTGTCTCCCTTCTTGAGTGTAAGCTCAGTAAGGATAGGCTGTGCCCGCTCTGCTAACCCCAGGGCTGCTGCTGGGCAGGTAGTGAGTTGTCAGTGCACCTCTGTGGAGTGCAGCAATACACGCAGAGCTTACATCATCCTCAAAGTAGGGACTGCCCTCTTTGCTTTTCAGATAAGGAAACTGAGGCACAGAGAGATGAAGGGACATGTCCAAGGCCACCCCACTTGAATGCACCGGGGCTGGGATTTGAGCCCCAGATGGCCTGACTCTAGCAGGGTTCTTTCTGCCGCTGAGCTGCCTATCGCCTGCCTTTGTCCAGATGGCCCTTCTCTGGCCAATAGCGAGTGCTAGGCTTCACCACGGATTGTCAACCCTGAGCACATGCCTTAGTCCCCTGGAGGCTCAGTAAGCTGAGTGTCACTCAGCTCCGGGGCTTGTGACTTACCAGATCAGGTGGCCCTGAGAATGTGCATTGTGCCACTGGTTCGGGGCCACCCCTAGAGCACTGCAGTGCATCCTCCCACTTGCCACAGGCATGCCTGGTTTCAAGGTGATGGTGTCATCCCCATTTTCGCGAGGAAGTGCTAACTTGCCCGGGAGCCCTCAGGTAGTAAGCACTACAGGCCCTTTCCCCTTGACGGGGTGGCCTGAAGGTGGGGACATCAGGAAGACCTTGCTGCCAGGACCCCAGGCCTGGAGTGGGCTGACAAGTGCCCAGGGCAGGGTAGCTCCTGTTTGGTACATCTGGGTGTGTGGGCTCAGTTTTCAGAGTCCCTTCAATGTGTCTGAGTTTGGAGAGCTGGGCTCTGATGTGTCCATGGCTCTGCCTTAGAGCCTGGCCTGGTGGATGCAGTGACGGGGTCCTCTCCAGCCTCAGCCTCCTCTGGGGCAGCTGCTCACCTGTGCGTCCAGCTGATCCCGGGCCACCACTGAGCTTCTTCCATCTCCACAGATGAAAAAGCGGGACCTGGAGCCCTCGGACGCCACCTACACGGCCCTGTTCAACGTCTGTGCCGAGTCCCCCTGGAAGGACTCAGCTCTACAGAGCGCCCTGAAGCTCCGGCAGCAGCTGCAGGCCAAAAACTTCGAGCTCAACTTGAAAACATACCACGCGCTGCTGAAGATGGCTGCCAAGTGCGCAGACCTTAGGATGTGCCTCGATGTGTTCAAGGTGGGGCTTCCCCTGCCGTCCTGCTCCCCTTCATGGGGCTGGTCCCACGTGTCAGGGGCAGGGCTGTGGTGTCTGTCTCTCCTCATGTAGGAAGGCTTAGGGAGGATGAGACAGCCGGTATTGGGCCCTGGGGTTCACAGATGGATCTGATGAGACCTTACTGGAGATTGTGTATGCCACCGTGTGCTGTGTCCTGCTTTGTGCACTCGAGGGAAGGCTTCCTAGAGACAGGGTCTTGCTATGTTGCCCAGGCTGGTCACAAAACTCCTGGCCTCAAGTGATCATCCTGCCTTGGCCTCCCAATGTGCCAGGATTACAGACATGAGCTACCATGCCCAGCCTGCTGCAGGTTCTCAGTGGGACGTCTTTGTTCCCTCCCCCAGGAAATCATCCACAAAGGGCACGTGGTCACAGAGGAGACCTTCAGTTTCCTGCTCATGGGCTGCATCCAAGACAAGAAGACAGGCTTCCGGTACGCCCTCCAGGTATGTCCCTCCCACCCCACCTTCCTGCCCTGCTTCCCCGGTGCCAGAGGTGCAAAATGGTGATCCTGTGAGCACCCACGATGGCCCTGTGCTGAGTATTTTTATATCTGTGCTCTTTTCTGAAAACCCAGCAGCCACTGTAGCCTCCATTCTACAGATGGCAGGGAGAGGAGGCCCTTGGAGATGGAATGAGGGTGGCCCCCGCCCCTCCCACCCTGCTTTGCAGTCGGCTTAGCCCCTCTAAACTCACCTTCCTTGAAAGCCTGCCACACACTCACCTGGGGACTTGTTCAACCCTCCCACACCCCCATTAGCACTTCTGCAGGTGCAACCCAGGAGTCATTCATTCATTCATTCATTCATTTATTTTGAGATGGAGTCTCACTCTTGCCCAGGCTGGAGTGAGCGATCTTGGCTCACTGCAACCTCCGCCTCCCAGGTTCACGCGATACTCCTGCCTCAGCCTCCCGAGTAGTTGAGATTACAGGCGCCCGCCACCACGCCCAGCTAATTTTGTATTTTTAGTAGAGACGGGGTTTCACCATGTTGACCAGGCTGGTCTTGAACTCCTGGCCTCATGTGATCTGCCCGCCTGGGCCTCCCAAAGTGCTGGGATTACAGGTGTGAACCACAGCTCCCCGCTGGAGAGCTTTTTTTTTCTTTTTCTTTTTAATGTTTTTAATTTTTTTTTTTTTTTTTTGAGATGGAGTCTTGCTCTGTCGCCCAGGCTGGAGTACAGTGGCATGATCTCGGCTCACTGCAAGCTCCACCTCCTGGGTTCACACCATTCTCCCGTCTCAGCCTCCTGAGTAGCTGGGACTATAGGCGCCCACCACCATGCCCAGCTAATTTTGTTTTTGTATTTTTAGTAGAGACAGAGTTTCACCATGTTAGCCTGGATGGTCTCGCTCTCCTACCTCGTGATCCGGCGCCTTGCTCTCCCAAAATGCTAGTATTACAGGCGTGAGCCACCGCGCCCGGCCAATTTTTTTTTTTTTTTTATTGATCATTCTTGGGTGTTTCTTGCAGAGGGAGATTTGGCAGGGTCATAGGACAATAGTGGAGGGAAGGTCAGCAGATAAACAAGTGAACAAAGGTCTCTGGTTTTCCTAGGCAGACGACCCTGCGGCCTTCTGCAGTGTTTGTGCCCCTGGGTACTTGAGATTAGGGAGTGGTGATGACTCTTAAGGAGCATGCTGCCTTCAAGCATCTGTTTAACAAAGCACATCTTGCACCACCCTTAATCCATTTAACCCTGAGTGGACACAGCACATGTTTCAGAGAGCACAGGGTTGGGGGTAAGGTCACAGATCAACAGGATCCCAAGGCAGAAGAATTTTTCTTAGTACAGAACAAAATGAAAAGTCTCCCATGTCTACTTCTTTCTACACAGACACGGCAACCATCCGATTTCTCAATCTTTTCCCCACCTTTCCCCCCTTTCTATTCCACAAAACCGCCACTGTCATCATGGCCCGTTCTCAATGAGCCGCTGGGCACACCTCCCAGACGGGGTGGTGGCCGGGCAGAGGGGCTCCTCACTTCCCAGCAGGGGCGGCCGGGCAGAGGCGCCGCTCACCTCCCGGACGGGGCGGCTGGCTGGGCGGGGGGCTGACCCCCCCCACCTCCCTCCCGGACGGGGCGGCTGGCCTGGCAGAGGGGCTCCTCACTTCCCAGTAGGGGCGGCCGGGCAGAGGCGCCCCTCACCTCCCGGACGGGGCGGCTGGCCGGGCGGGGGGCTGACCCCCCACCTCCCTCCCGGACGGGGCGGCTGGCCGGGCGGGGGGCTGACCCCCCCACCTCCCTCCTGGACGGGGTGCTAGCCGGGCAGAGGGGCTCCTCACTTCCCAGTAGGGGCAGCCGGGCAGAGGTGCCCCTCACCTCCCGGACGGGGCGGCTGGCCGGGCAGGGGGCTGACCACCCCCACCTCCCTCCCGGACGGGGCGGCTGGCCGGGTGGGGGGCTGACCCCCACCTCCCTCCCGGACGGGGCGGCTGGCCTGGCGGGGGCTGACCCCCACCTCCCTCCCGGACGGGGTGGCTGCCGGGCGGAGACGCTCCTCACTTCCCAGACAGGGTGACTCCCGGGCGGAGGGGCTCCTCACTTCTCAGACGGGGCGGCTGCCAGGCGGAGGGGCTCCTCACTTCTCAGATGGGGCGGTTGCCAGGCAGAGGGTCTCCTCATTTCTCAGACGGGGCGGCCGGGCAGAGACGCTCCTCACCTCCCAGACGGGGTCGCGGCCGGGCAGAGGCGCTCCTCACATCCCAGACGGGGCGGCGGGGCAGAGGCGCTCCCCACATCTCAGACGATGGGCGGCCGGGCAGAGATGCTCCTCACTTCCTAGATGGGATGGCGGCCGGGAAGAGGCGCTCCTCACTTCCTAGATGGGATGGCGGCTGGGCAGAGACGCTCCTCACTTTCCAGACTGGGCAGCCAGGCAGAGGGGCTCCTCACATCCCAGACGATGGGCGGCCAGGCAGAGACGCTCCTCACTTCCCAGACGGGGTGGCGGCCGTCTTGGCACTTTGGGAGGCCAAGGCAGGCGGCTGGGAGGTGGAGGTTGTAGCGAGCCGAGATCACGCCACTGCACTCCAGCCTGGGCACCATTGAGCACTGAGTGAACGAGACTCCGTCTGCAATCCCGGCACCTCGGGAGGCCGAGGTTGGTGGATCACTCGCGGTTAGGAGCTGGAGACCAGCCTGGCCAACACAGCGAAACCCCGTCTCCACCAAAATAATACAAAAACCAGTCAGGCGTGGTGGCGCGCGCCTGCAATCGCAGGTACTCGGCAGGCTGAGGCAGGAGAATCAGGCAGGGAGGTTGCAGTGAGCCGAGATGGCAGCAGTTACAGTCCAGCTTCAGCTGGGCATCAGAGGGAGACTGTGGAAAGAGGGAGAGGGAGACCGTGGGGAGAGGGAGAGGGAGACCGTGGGGAGAGGGAGAGGGAGAGGGAGAGGGAGACCATGGGGAGAGGGAGGGGGAGAGGGAGAGGGAGAGGGAGAGGCCCGGCCAATTTTTTAAATGTTTTACAGTTGTTTTGAGACACTCTCGCTCTGTCACCCAGGCTGGAGTGCTGTGGCATGATCACGGCTCACTGCAACCTCGATCTCTGGGTTCAAGTGATTCTCCCACTTCAGCCTCCTGAGTAGCTGGGACTGTGGGCATGCAATACCACACCCAATAATTTTTGTATTTTTAGTAGAGATGGGGTTTCACCATGTTGGTCGGGCTGGTCTCGAACTCCTGATCTCAAGGAGTCTGCCTGCCTTAGCTTCCTAAAGTGTTGGGATTACAGGCGTGAGCCACCGCGCCTGGCGTATTTTTTTGAGGCAGGGTCTTGCTATGTTGCCCGGTCTTGTCTCGAACTCCTGATCTCAAGGGATCCTCCCATCTAAAACTCCCAAGGTGCTGGGATTCCAGGCGTGAGCCCTGCGCCCAGCTGCTGAATGGGAGCACCCAGCTGACGTTTGTCTCTTCCGTGGCAGGTGTGGCGGCTGATGCTGAGTCTAGGGCTACAGCCGAGCCGGGACAGCTACAACCTGCTGTTGGTGGCAGCTCGGGACTGTGGCCTAGGGGACCCCCAGGTGGCCTCAGAGCTGCTTCTGAAGCCCAGGGAGGAGGCGACTGTGCTTCAGCCCCCAGTGAGCAGGCAGCGGCCAAGGAGGACAGCCCAGGCCAAGGCAGGCAACCTCATGTCAGCCATGCTGCATGTGGAGGCCCTGGAGAGGCAGCTGTTTCTGGAACCTTCTCAGGCACTTGGGCCTCCAGAGCCTCCGGAAGCCAGAGTGCCCGGCAAGGCCCAACCAGAGGTGGATACTAAGGCAGAGCCCAGCCACACAGCAGCCCTCACCGCAGTGGCCCTGAAGCCACCTCCCGTGGAGCTGGAAGTCAACCTCCTGACCCCCGGGGCCGTTCCCCCTACAGTGGTCTCCTTTGGAACGGTGACCACCCCAGCTGACCGGCTGGCCTTGATAGGGGGCCTGGAGGGCTTCCTGAGCAAGATGGCAGAGCACAGGCAGCAGCCCGACATCAGGACCCTCACGCTACTGGCCGAGGTGGTGGAGTCCGGGAGTCCTGCAGAGTCCTTGCTGCTGGCCCTCCTGGATGAGCACCAGGTAGAGGCCGACCTGACATTCTTTAACACGCTGGTGAGAAAGAAGAGCAAGCTGGGAGACCTGGAGGGGGCCAAGGCGCTGTTGCCGGTCCTGGCAAAGAGGGGCCTCGTCCCCAACCTGCAGACATTCTGCAACCTGGCCATCGGGTGCCACAGGCCGAAGGACGGTCTACAGCTTCTCACAGACATGAAGGTGAGTGGACTCGGGCCTGGGCAGGACACCCATGGTGCTCAGGAGCACTCTGCAGCTCAGGAGGAAAGTTTGAGGGGTCTGCAGACCCCCCACCTGGAGAGGATGAACTGTGCATGGGGCAAAGAGAGTGGGGTCAATGACCTTCTGGTCTTTGGTCCCATTTTGGGGGAAGCAGACCCCAGTGAGTGCTTCAGGGCTGGGCGTAGAGACACACGGATGTTCCCATCCGGAAGAAGGTGGCCGTGGGTTGACACAGGGCTGGGCACAGGCCTCGGCCCCAACACTCTAGAGGTATGGCAGGGATTCTCAGAATTCCTGAGGGGCCGTGGGCAGTTTTCAAAGCCCCCGAGGTCTGTGCCTCCCACCTAACCCCCATTGGAAGTGCTGCGTGGATTTCATCCGACCACAGCAGAGGCTGCGTCCTGGGTTGTCGGTGTCCCCAGGTCCATCATCCTCTGGCTGTTTTCCTGGACCCTACCGGGCTCACCCAGCCAAGGCTTGCACTTTTCTAGGCCAACCACCACCTGGTGACCGTGCGTCACAGGAAGCCCACCCCAGGGAGCAAGGAGGTGGTGTCTCCCACATCATTTTCTGCCTGAGTCAGTCGGTGTCTGAGAGCAGCACGAGCGTCCTTTTCCGCAGCTTCTTTAGGGCTGAGCAGAGGGGCTGGGCTTGGCTTTCCTGCTGGAGAGGGATATTCAGCACATTGTTGCTGCCAAGTTTGCCTTGCTGGCCCTGGCCGCTGGTCCCGGGAGCCAGCTTGATTGACAGAGGGTGGGAGCTGCTGGGTCCCAATGGCTGCCATCATCTTGATTCTACGATGTCCCTGTGTTCTAGAAGTCCCAGGTGACCCCCAACACTCACATCTACAGTGCCCTCATCAACGCGGCCATCAGGAAGCTGAACTACACCTATCTCATCAGCATCTTGAAGGACATGAAGCAGAACAGGGTCCCGGTGAACGAAGTGGTCATCCGCCAGCTGGAGTTTGCAGCCCAGTACCCTCCCACCTTTGACCGGGTGTGTGCCCCAAGCTCAAAAGCTCATCAGCTCCTTCACCATTGCTACCCCCTCCCCCCACCACCCAACCCCGGTTCTGGCCCTTGGGATTGTGTTGCCATGCTTGAAACTGTCCAGCAGCTTCCCTTAGGAGCAGTACCCAAGTCTGTAGACCACAGCCTGCGAGTCCCTGTCTGCGTGGCTCATCTCATGTCTCAGCCTTGCGTTTGCTTTCTCTGTCTGTCCCAGTGGCCTTCTGTCAGTTCGCAGAGGCCACCAACCTCTTGCCTGCTTCGGGATTGGTGTTCCCGCTGCCTCAGGTGGCACCCACTTTTCCTGGAGGTCTCTGCTTAAGTGGCCCTCAGACATGCCCAGCTGGCTGCCGCTCTGACCTGGGATGAAAGTCTCCCCTCCCCCTTCCCACTCTGTTCCTTTATGCCGTGTCCTACAGTCTTGGATCATGTGCTCATGGGCAGCCCTGGCCTTCCCTGTATCAGGCTTCTGGAGGCAGAGGCTGTCTGCTGTGCTCATCTGGGTCCCCAGCACCTGCACGTTGCTGGGTACTCCAAACAGGTTGTCGCTTGCTCAGGGACTGGGCAGGCAGTGAAGTGGTGTCATTGTCTGGGGTGAATACCTGAGATTTGTTGTGAGCCAAGATCGCGCCACTGCACTCCAGCCTGGGCGATAGATGGAGACTTGGTCTCAAAAAAAAAAAAAAGAGGTTAAGAGCTGAAGTTTAATAGGCGAAAGAAAGAAGAGCTCTCGCCCGGTGTGGTGGTGAAAAAAAAAAAAAGAGAAGAGCTCTCTCCTTGCAGAGAGAGGTGCCAGAGAAGTGGGTTGCCACTTCCATAGTGTAATGCAGAGGTTTTGTAGATGAGCTTGGGGAGGTGGTGTCTGATTTACAGAGGACGCAAAAGATTAGTTGGACCAGGTGTGCCATTTACATAGCATGTATAAAAGCTGGTGCCCCACCCTAACCTTTTATTATGCAGACAGGTGGCCATCGCCATGTTGCCTGGTTCTTTACTGTACACATGGCAACAAAGAAGGGAAGATGGGGCCCCCACGTTGAACATATCTGGCTCCCAGGTAGCCCTTTTCTGTTGGCACAGCCGCCAGCATTTACCCCTGCAAGCTTCCAGTTTGCTTATCTATGTCTGCAGCTCGATTTTTCAGGCTGCTCTTTGTTAGAAAAGAAATTATTTGGGGGCTGCTTTTTATTAAAAGGGAAATTTCGCCAAGGACTCTGTTGCCCTTATTATCTGCCTAAATAATTTCTTTCAACCTCCTGTATCAGCAGGAGCAGGGCAGAGTCATGGAATCTGCTTTGTCACGGCCACAGCCTCTCCCTGCTGTTCTGAGGCTATCAGGCTCTGGGGTTTGGCTTTTGGGTCCATCGAATCACACTCTGTGCTGAGCATCTCCGGAGCATCGAGAGCCACTATGGCTTGAAGCACAGCCCGGATGGGGCGGAAACAAGTAAATGGGCAGGGACACACACAGCTAGAGGGTGCGGGGTCAGGAACGCCGTGCAGGTGTCACGCCTGAATGCCATTTTGAGGGCTTCCTACAAATAGGTGGGACAGCAATGGAAATTGTGTCTGGCTGAAGGCATAGCTGGGCATTTTTGAACTGTGTCTGTGCTTTGAACTGTTGGTTGCAAGCCTTTTCTCATTGATTCCAGGGTTTTTTATATATTCTGGGTACTGGTTTTTTGTTGATCACATGTTGTGCATATCTTCCTAGTGGATTGTCTCTTCCCTCTGGCGTAGGGCTCACTAGGGGTTCAACTCGACAGTCACAAGACTATCATAGACCTAAAGCATATCATATTTAAGTCACAGACAGATGTCCCTGACTTAAAGATGATTCTACACAGGATTTTTCAACTTTGCAATGGTTTTATCAGGATGTAACTCTGTAAGGATCGACTTTGTGCGGGGTTAGTTTCTACTGAATGTATATCACTTTTGCATAATTATAAAGTCAGGACCCTCTGCTGTGTTGCCAGCAATAGATGCATTTTCCTTTTGTTTTTTATGAGATGGAGTCTCACTCTGTCACCCAGGCTGGAGTGCAGTGATGCGATCTGGCCTCACTGCAACCTCTGCCGCCCAGGTTCAAGTGATTTTCCTGCCTCAGCCTCCCGAGTTGCTGGGATTACAGGAGCCTGCCACCACACCAGGCTAATTTTTGTGGTTTTTTTTTTTTTTTTAGTAGAGACGGGGTTTCACCATCTTGGCCAGGCTGGTCTTGAACTCCCGACCTCGTGATCCACCCACCCCAGCCTCCCAAAGTGCTGGGATTATAGTTGTGAGCCCCCATGCCGTGCCGCATTTTCTTTTTTCTTTTTTTTTTTTTTTTTTAAAGAGACGGGAATCACTCTGTTGCCCAGGCTGGAGTGCAGTGGCACGATTATGGCTCACTGTAGCCTTGACCTCCCAGGCTTAAGAAGTCCTCCCACCTTAGCCACCTGAGGAGCTGGGACTACAGGCATGTACCACTGTACCCAGCTAATCTTTTAGATAGGGTTTCACTATATTGCCCAAACTGGTCTGGAACTCCTGAGCTCATGTAATCCGCCTGCCTCGGCTTCCCAAAGCACTGGGATTATAGGAGTGAGCCAGCACACACAGCCAGATTGATTTTTGATTTACGATGGGTTTTTGGGGGGCGGAACCCTGCTGTCAGGAGCATCTGTACTCATATTCCCTCATGATGGTGGACTTGTTTATATTCGTGATTCTGTTGAGTTTTGCTTTCTGTGCTTTCAGGCTCTATCCGGCACCTTAAGGTTTAGAATTGTCCAGTCTTTTGAGTCAAACCTTTTTTTGTTTTTGTTTTTTTTTGAGATGGAGTCTTGCTCTGTCGCCCAGGCTGGAGTGCAATGGCGTGATCTCAGCTCACTGCAACCTCTGCCTCCCGGGTTCAAGCCATTCTCCTGCCTTAACCTCCCAGGTAGCTGGGGCTACAGGCATGCACCGCCACATCCAGTATTTTTAGTAGAGATGGAGTTTCACCATGCTGGCCAGGCTGGTCTCGAACTCCTGACCTCAAGTGATCTGCCCACCTCGGCCTCTCAAAGTGCTGGGATTACAGACGTGAGCCACCGCACCCGGCCAAACCTTTTGTCATTGTGTGGTAGTAGCTGTATGTTGGATAGCACTTTTTGGCTTTTTTGGTATATTCCCCTACCAGCTCTCAGTTTGTGTCTGGTGTGTCTTTGCTTTTTTCCCCATATCTCATGGAGCCTATCTTGGCAGTGTTGAGATAATGGTCAGAGGGAGGTGGCTTTGATGGGGAGGGGCTCGGCAGGCTGTGGAGGCAGAGCTGGTGGGACCCAGTGATTCTGGCTTGGGGGCCTGGGGTGGCAACTGCGGATGGAGGAGCACAGTGGTGCCTATTTGGGAAGAACGCCATTGGGCAGATGGCTCTGGGCCTGCCCCAGGGTACCCAGCGGGGACCTGTTTCTCTGAAGTAAGCTAGTCCCATAGTGCGTGTTCACAGCTTTTCTGCCCTGTCCTCTGCAGCCACCTGGAAGGGAAAATGGCAGCCACCAGCTTCCCTGAGGCCTGAGCCAGCTGCCGAGGTTTGGGATTAGCTGTAGGTAACAGGAGTGATTCTAGCCTCACTTTTCTAATTCTAGTACCAAGGGAAGAACACCTACCTGGAGAAGATTGACGGCTTCCGAGCCTATTACAAGCAGTGGCTGACAGTGATGCCCGCAGAGGAAACCCCGCACCCCTGGCAGAAGTTCCGGACCAAGCCCCAGGGGGACCAGGACACCGGCAAGGAGGCTGATGACGGATGTGCCCTTGGGGGCAGGTGATGGGAGCACAGCTGGAACAATGTGCTCGGCCCCCAGTGCTCTGTGGGAGCCCCAGGACAAGTGAGCTGGTGTCACCTCCTGCCTGGGGGAAGAGCCAGGCCCTGAGGAACAGCCGCAGCGTGTCACAGGTGTTGGTGAGGACACACACTAGGCCCAAGGTGCCTGTGCTCCCAGCAGGTCCAAGTGCAGCTCCAGCCACCTTTGCGTGTCACCTTCACGGGACTTCCAGCTCCAGCTACCTTTGTGTGTCACCTCACACACCACAAGGGGGCTGGGGCATCTGGTCCCTGGGGCCTGGGCCGCCCCGCCGGGTTCCATAGGCCGATGCTCTGAAAGAAGAGACGTGGGGCTCGAGAGATTTAAAGATTTTATTTTTACAAATCACAGCTGATAGACAGCGAAGCCTTCCCCATAGAGACCGTGCTCCAACTCGGGCCTGGGGCACTGCTCGCTGCTCCCAGGAAGGGGGTGGCGTGACAGGCAGGAACCTGCGAAGTCCAGAGTCCAGGGTGGAGCGCGCCAGCCTCAGCCAGAGCAGCCACGACAGCCACAGTGTGTGCACTCGATGATGCGGCCCTGCAACGGAGGAGGACAGTGAGACGATGCCACTGCGCCACGCTCGCCCCTGCACACTCACATATGTGGCAACCCTCCCACGAAGGACCTGCCACCATGCCATATAGGGACACACCTCAGAAACCCTTCCTTGACAGCTCTGGACAGGGAAAATTTGGCTCCCTCATGAAGGTAGAACCAGCTGCTGTTGACACCGAGGTTACATCTGTATGTCTATTTATAATATGTTCTGCAAATCCAACACACGTTTGCCAATCAAGAAAAAGAAATCGGTGTGAATGAGTCTCGTTATTCTGCTAAGTGAGCATGACAGACCCTGCGATGAGCAGACGTGGCTCTGCTACTGTTTGGGGACTTCAGGGGGGCCTCTGGGCTGGTACACTCTGGTGGGGGAAGAGGGCAGGAGACTATGCACTTGAGTCACACCCTTCTGGCCCAGAGCCCCCCAGAAAGAAGGGTCTTGTCCCCCAGGCCTGGTGCGGCCCAACACTTGGCCAGCCAGAAAGCCCTAGAACAGTGGCTTGTGTTTATTTTACTTTTTCAAGTTCTTTTTTTGGAAGAACAAGACCATAGTTTAAGTAAACAGGATCCTCTGGTGAAACCCAGGTAAGTCTACAGCGGGCTGTTTTGGCCACAGGGCTGAAGCAGCACCCCAGCCCACCAGCCCCTGACCTGGACTCCTTGTGGAATCTGGGCACTCAGAGGAAGGGGGCTTCTGCCACTCTGCCACCTGTCCCTGCCTCCATCAGAAAACCAACACCCCAGTCTTCCGTCGGGGAGGCGGCCCTTGCTCGCCCCCACTGCTCAGTACCCAAGTCCTCAGCATCCAGCCACAGCTCTCCATTGTCAGTCTCACTGCAGCATAAAGGGGACTCATGTGAAGAGGCCCCTGTGTGGAGCTGGGGAAAAGAAGGCCAGGCTGGCAGATGGGCGGTGGGGCCAACAACTGTGCTGAGGGGCTGCACTGAGCGGCCACTGCTGTGACTCTGCCTCGGGCCACAGCTGCCTTTCAGAGGGGCTTGGAACCGGATGGAGCTCAGCTCCTGTCCCTCAGCACCACTCCTGAGGCGCCTGGCCTAGGAGTGGTACTTGGAACAGAAAGTTCTGAAAGAAGAAACACAGTGGGCTGGGCGCAGTAGCTCATGCCTGTAATCCCGGCACTTTGGGAGGCTGAGGCGGGTGGATCACCTGAGGTCGGGAGTTCGAGACCAGCCTGAGCAACATTGAGAAACCCCGTCTCTACTAAAAATACAAAATTAGCCAGGCGTGGTGGTGCATGCCTGTAGTCCCAGCTACTCAGGAGGATGAGGCAGGAGAACCGCTTGAACCCGGGAGGTGGAGGTTGCAGTGAGCCAAGATGGCATCACTGCACTCCAGCCTGGGCGACAAAGCAAGACTCCGTCTTGGGGGGGCGGGAAAGATAGTGATGGTAATGTTAAAGTATCACTGTGAGGACTGAAAGGGACAGGAACTCACTGGTTGTCCTTCCCTGATGTCACCCTGCCACCACCTTGGGATTAGGGCTCCCCACCACCATTTCCTAAGTGAGGAAAGGGGTTCAGTAATTTGCCCAAAAGTGGAGTTGAGATTGACCCCAGACCTAACAAACACACAGCCACACGCTGCCTCACATGGATTCCTGAATACAGGGACCCACTCCCACGAGGGAGAGCCAGCAGGACATCCAGGGACAAAACGACATTCCAGCCCAACCAAATAACATAAGATCCCTTGCAGTCGACTAAGGCAGAATTTTGAGCTGAAAACAACACCAAGCTTGAGTGTCAGACATTACCACTTCCAGCTTGCTTTTGGGCACGCGGCAGATGCAGTTCGTCCCGAAGTTGGTGTCCCGTGTCTGAATGCACCGCAGGCAGCACAAGTTCTCATATCCTTGCTTTTTCCATTTTGCAATCAGGTTTTTGTCTGCATAGCCTTCTTTAATACAATATTCATAGAGTTCTGTCAAAAAGATGGGGAAAGAGCATCAGGCCATGGTCTAAAAACCTTCCCCACCCTTGATCAAAAAAAGCATTCAGGCCGGGTGCAGTGGCTCACACCTGTAATCCCAGCACTTTGGGAGGCCGAGGCAGGCGGATCACCTGAGGTCAGGAGTTCAGGACCAGCCCGGCCAACATGGTAAAACCCCGTCTCTACTAAAAATACAAAAATTACTCGGGCGTGGTAGCAGCTGTAATCCCAGCTACTTAGGAGGCTGAGGCAGGAGAATCACTTGAACCCAGGAGGCGGAGGTTGTAGTGACCTGAGGTCGTGCCACTGGACTCCAGCCTGGGTGACAGCGAAACTCCATCTCAAAAAAAAAAAGGCATTCAGTATTGCAACGGGACAGTCCTTGGAGGAGGAACAAAAAAAAAAAGTACTTAGGCCAGGCAAGGTGCCTCACACCTGTAATCCCAGCACTTTTGGAAGCCAACGCCAGAGGATCATTTGAGTTAAGAAACCAGCCTGGGCCAAGGGCCCATCTCCACAAAAAATTTAAAAATTAGCTGGGTGTGGTGGTGCACACCTGTAGTCACAGCTACTCAGGAGGTTGAGGTGAGAGGATCCCTTGAGCCCAGAAGGTTGAGGCTGCAGTGAGCCATCATTGCACCACTGCACTCCAGCCTGTGGAACAGAGCAAGACCCTGTTTCAAAAAAAAAAAAAAAAAAAAAGCCAAGAGCGGTGGACCACGCCTATAATTCCAGCACTTTGGGAGACCGAGTCGGGTGAATCACCTGAGGTCAGGAGTTCAAGATCAGCCTGACCAATATGGTGAAACCCCATCTTTACTAAAAATACAAAAATTGGCCAGGTGTGGTGGCAGGTGCCTGTAATCCCAGCTACTTGGGAGCTGAGACAGGAGAATCGCTTGAACCCAGGAAGTGGAGCTTGCAGTGAGCCAAGATTGCGCCACTGCACTCCAGCCTGGGTGACAGAGTGAGACTCCATCTCAAAACAAACAAACAAAAAACAAACACACACACAAAACTCAGCCAACGTTGGCTCCCCCTAATTTTCGTGGTAAGAAAAACCATGACTTGCACAGGTTGCGAGAATAAGGATTGTGGTTAGTTCAGTAACTCCAAAAGTGACGCGAGCTTCAAAGTCCAAGAGAGACTGACTAATTACCTCTGCTGATGGCTTTCCGCTTGTAAAAGAGGTCGAAGATGTAGCGGGTTTTCTGGTGGTGGATCCTGAAGATGGGCCACAGAGATTCCACTTTCCTCTTTCCCTCATGCGGTTCTGTTTCAGCTGGGGAGAAACAAAGAGTGTGTTTGGGGGAATAGGGTCGGTCTGCGCAGGATTTTCTTTTTGTAAGTAACTACTGATAATGAATAAATACCACTTTATACCCACTAGGATGGCTGTGGGTGGCAAGCCACCCAGGTGCCGAGGCAAGAAACCGAGGGCACGAGCTGTTCTAGTATAATAAAATAAATAAAATAAGAATAGTTATACTAGATATAGATCTTAGATATGATTATATATGAATATCATTAATCCTTAGTTTGTAGCAATTACTCTTTATTCCAATATTATAATAATCCTCACTCGACAATCATAACCTAGGAAACACCAGGCTATACAGAGATGGGAGCTGAGGGGACATAGTGAGAACTGACCAGAAAACGAGTGCAAGCCTTCTGTTATGCCCGGACAGGGCCACCAGAGGGCTCCTTGGTCTAGCGGTAACGCCAGCATCTGGGAAGATGCCCGTTGCCAAGCGGACCTTGGTCTAGCAGTAGCGTTAGTGTCAAGGAAAAACACCCGCTACTTAGCAGACCGGGAAAGGGAATCTCCCTTTCCCCGGGGGAGTTTAGAGAAGACTCTACTCCTCCACCTCTTGTGGAGGGCCTGACATCAGTCAGGCCCGCCCGCAGTTATCCAGAGGCCTAACTATCTCCCTGTGATGCTGTGCTTTGGTGGTCACGCTCCTAGTCCGCCTTCATGTTCCATCCTGTACACCTGGCTCTGCCTTTTAGATAACAATAGCAAATTAGTGAAAGTACTAAAAGTCTCTGATAAGCAGAAATAATGGCATAAGCTGTCTCTCTCTCTCTGCCTTGGTGCCAGGCAGGCAAGGGCCCGCTTTCCAGTGGACACGTGACCCATGTGGCCTTACCTATCATTGGAGATGGTTCACACTGCTTATCCTGCCCCTTTGTCTTGTATCCAATAAATATCAGTGCAGCCTGGCATTTGGGGCCACTACCGGTCTCCGCGTCTTGGTGGGATTCCCAGGCTCAGCTGTCTTTTATCTCTTTGTCTTGTGTCTTTATTTCTACGCTCTCTCGTCTCCACACACGGGGAGAAACCCACCGACCCTGTGGGGCTGGACCCTACAGATGACTATAATCAAAATTATGGCACAATAACAAGTGTTGGGAAGGATGTGGAGAAATTGGAACTCTCCTACGTTCCTGGTGGGAATGTAAAATGGTGGAGCCACTGCAGAAGAGTTAGGTGGCTCCTCAAGAAGTTAAACAGGGCTGGCCGGAATCGGTGGCTCACACCTGTAATCCCAGCACTTTGGGAGGCTGAGGTGGGCAGGTCACTTGAGGTCAGGAGTCTGAGACCAGCTTGGTCAACATGGTGAAACCCCATCTCTACTAAAAATACAAAAGAATTAGCAGGGCATGGTGGCGCATGCCTGTAATCCCACCTACTTGGGAGGCTGAGGTGGGAGAATCGTTTGAACCCAGAGGCGGAGGATGCAGTGAGCTGAGATCACACCACTGCACTCCAGCCTAGGCAACAAAGCAAGACTCCCGTCTCAAAAAAAGAAAAAAAAGGGAATGAAGTAAGTACTGATATATTCTACAACACAGATGAACCTTGAAACATCAAACTAACTGTGGCAATGGTCGTACAACTTTGTGAATATACTAAAAACCCCTTAATTGGATAATTTAACAGGTTCACTTTTACAGTATATGATTAATATCTCAATAAAGCTGTTATTTAAAAACAGAATAAGCCGCCGGGCATTTTGGGAGGCCAAGGTGGGCGGACCACGAGGTCAGGAGATCGAGATCAGCCTGACCAACGTGGTGAAACCCCATCACTACTAAAAATTAAAAAATTAGCCGGGCGTGGTAGTGCACGCTTGTAATCCCAGCTTCTCAAGAGGCTGAGGCAGGAGAATTGCCTGAACTCGGGAGGTACAGGTTGCAGTGAGCCAAGATCGCACCACTGCACTCCAGCGTGGGCAACAGTGTGAGATTCCGTCTCAAAAAAAAAAATAAAAAAATAAAAAATAAGCTAAGTAATTTAAACATAATTGTTTTAAATTAAAAATGTCTATTTTTGGATCCTTTTGTAATTCATGAGTGTGCTTGGGTGTTCACATCCATGTGTGAGACATGCCACTCTCAAACCTTGTCACAACGTTGGCACATTACCCATGTGACAAGAAAAAAAGTCTTTTTAATTACAGAATTAGAAAACATAGATTTTTAAAGACATTTAATGGTAACTTCTGTTAAAAGGTTGGTCCCGGCTGGGCACAGTGGCTCACGCCTGTAATCCCAGCACTTTTGGAGGCCGAGGTGGGTGGATCACTTGAGGTCAGGAGTTCGAGAACACCCTGGCCAACAGGGCAAAACACTGTCTCTACTGAAAATACAAAAATTATCTGGGCATGGTGGCACATGCCTGTAATCCCAGTTACTCGGGAGGCTGAGGCACGAGAAGTGCTTGAACCTGGGAAGCAGAGGTTGCAGTTAGCTGACATTGTGCCACTGCACTCCAGCCTGGATGACAGATGACCCTGTCTCAAAAAAAAACAAAACAAAACAAACAAAAAAAAGCCAAAAAACCAACCTTGGTCCCTATGCTTTCAGATCTATTTCTACAGCGTAATAATTAATCAAGATAATTCTAGGCCCACAGATGGGCATCCTAATCATCTTGAAGGCACTTCTAATTTCATCTCCCAGCCAAAGTCCTTTAGGGCTGAGGAAAAGCTAAATAAACTAGACCAGTCTACAGGTTCTGAGGGAAGTAGCCACAGCAGAAGCTGCTCCTTCAACACACGCAGGATCAGGTGGCACTCATACTTGCCGCAAGGCAGTTCTCTCTCTCTCAGCAGTCACAAGTTCATCTTTGTCTATGACCTCCTCAGTTTTTAGGGAAGAACAGAAGGGCGAAGAGTGGTCAAGAAGACTATCCCTCCCTGTCTCCAGCTTTTAAGCCATTCTATTACCTAGGAATTACAATTCAGCTCAACAAACAGAATGCTGTGATCCAAGCAGAAAAGCAGGTAGTAAAGATTCAGCAGGTACACATGTTAAGACGTGACTTGCTCCTCCTTGGCCTCTGCCATGATGGTGAGGCCTCTCCAACCACATGGAACGGTAAGTCCATTAGATCTCGTTCTTTCGTAAATTGCCCAGTCTCAGGTATGTCTATCAGTAGCGTGAAAATGGACTAACACACCCCCATCTCTACAAAAAATTAGCCAAGCGTTGGTCGGGCGCGGTGGCTCATGCTTGTAATCCTAGCACTTTGGGAGCCTGAGGCGGGTGGATCACAAGGTCAGGCGATCGAGACCATCCTGGCTAACATGGTGAAACCCCGTCTCTACTAAAAATACAAAAAAAAAAAAAAAATTAGCTGGGCATGGTGGCGGGCGCCTGTAGTCCCAGCTACTCCAGAGGCTGAGGCAGGAGAATGGTGTGGACCTGGGAGGCGGAGCTTGCAGTGAGCGGAGATCGCGCCACTGCACTCCAGCCTGGGTGACAGAGCGAGACTCCGTCTCAAAAAAAAAAAAAAGAAAAAAAAGAAAAGAAAACTTAGCCAAGCGTGGCAGTGGATGCCTGTAGTCCCAGCTGCCTGGGAGACTGAGGTGGGAGGAACACCTGAGCCTGGGAGGTGGAGGCTTCAGTGAGCTGTGATTGAACCACTGCACTCCAGCCTGGGCAACAAAGTGAGACCTTGTCTCAAAACAAAAACAAAAAGAAAACAGAACAAAGAATACTTCTGTCTGGAGGTAAAGAATATCTAAACACAAAGTAGGGTTCCTCCTTCCCTCAAAAGTCACCCTTTAGAAGATGAAGTTAATTTACTTTCAAGGACTTGCAAAATCTCTTCTATTCCAGCATGCTCCCATTTCCTTTATTTTGATAAAGAGCTGTTTCGGGAAGACATCTCTCAGCCCAAAATGACCGTGATTACTGCAATAGGCCCATCCAAATCTAAACTGCAAAACAAGTACTGAGTATTTAATAGAAGTTATCTGGTACGAACAGTTTTTTTAAAAAGGGGCAAAGTAATTTAACATTGATTTAATTTAGTAATTACTGCTGGAGGTACGACCTCATAATAACCATGATTAGGTTAGTTACAAGCAAGCATTTCAAAAGCTACTTTAAAAAGTAACTTCAGCTGGGTGTAGTGGCTCATACCTGTAATCCCATCACTTTGGGAGGCCGAGGTGGGTGGATCACTTGAGGCCAGGAGTTCGAGACCAGCCTGGCCAACATGGAGAAACCCATCTCTACTAAAAATACAAAAATTAGCCGGGCATGGTGGCGCATGCCTGTAATCCAAATTACTCGAGAGGCTGAGAGGCAGGAAAATCACTTGAACACGGGAGGCAGAGGTTGCAGTGAGCCGAGATCACGCCACTGCACTGCAGCCTGGAAGACAGAGCAAGACTCCAACTCAAAAAATAAAAATAAAAAAGTCAATTGGTAAGTGGCCACACTGTGATCATATAAGGCCAACAGATGCTTGTGGCTTCAGATAAAATTTCCAAAGACAGCATAGGACACGGGTTCACAAAGCAGGATCACACGCCATTTACAAGGAAGTGACAGAAAACAGATGCGGCAAAGACTAATCGATGATACTGAAAAGGAATAGCACTTCCAAGTAAATATATTTTGTATGATTTTAAATATATATCTAACCAAAATAGTAAATAACTATAGGTAGACTATTTGATCTATATTTCATAACCTTTTATATTCGAGTTGGCAAAAACAAAAACAAAAAAAAACACCTTTTCTGAGGACCTTTTCATTAATGTTATCTTATTTTCGGGCACTTACAGTATTTCCCCAAGTTCATAAGCAAACACAACATGTCAGTGTTAGTAGACCACTCTCTTTTTATATTTGCATTTATGCCTGTCCCCTGGGGGCATCTAAGCCTGTGACCCTTGGACCCAGCCCACCCAGACAGGAACTCCCCTACTCACCTTCTCTCATCTTTTGATCTAATTCATCCAGTGTTGGCTCAATCAACTCCCAGCCATCTGGGGGTGCTTTCCGGCTTCTTTTGACTTTAGGCATTTTCCTTCCACAGGATAATCTGCAAAGATCTGGGGGAAAAAAATGAATTGGTTTCTGAGTCTCAAATCCCCAAAGGCCTTTGCCAGCCATTATTTCGGTACAGGCTGACTTCCTTGAGTCAGCATAGGGTCACAGCTATGGGACAGGGCTCAGCACCCAGACTGTGTTCAAATCCTGGCTCTGCTACTTACCCGCTGTGATCTTCAGAAAGGTACTTAACCTTCCTAAGCCTCTGTTTCCTCATCTGTAAAATGGGGATAATGGAAGCTACCTTATGTGGTCATTGCAAAGACTTCATTAGAATTGTATCTATCATGCCTGGTGTATAATGTGTGCCTAAGAGACATTTGCTGTTGTCATTAGCTAACTTCAACTAAAAGCTTAACCCTATACTGGATGTTGGGAACACAGAACAAAAGTTAAGCCTTTGCCCCTTAGAAGGTGACATTTTAGCAAAGAGACAGACAAGAGAAAAAGCAATTACAATAGAGTATAAGGAGGGCTGTGACTCGGGGAGCCATGGGGGTGAGTATTTAAAAAGGCAAAGATGGAAGGTCAGGCACGGTGGCTCATGCCTGTAATTCTGGTCTTGGCCAGCACCTTGGGAGGCTGAGATGGGAGGATCACTTGAGCCCAGGAATTTGAGACCAGTCTGAGCAATGAGGTGAAACCCTATCTCTACCAAAAAAAAAAAAAAATCAAAAAAATTAACTGAGCATGGTGGTGGGTGCCTGTGGTCTGAGCTACACGGAAGGCTGAGGCAAGAGGATCACTTGAGCCCAGGAGGTTGAAAGTCTTCAGTTAGCCATGTTCACACTACTGCACTCCAGCCTAAGTGACGGAGTGAGACCATGTCTCAATAACAAACAAAACAAAACAAAACATAAAATAAAAAGGGAAAGATGACTGTAAAATCAAAGTACCTTAGGATGTGCTTTCCAAGAGTATAGACAGCAGAAAGATCTCTCGTCTCTGCAGTTGCAGGCTTGGATTCTTGTTCAGCTCTAAAAAATTATTCTGTGACTTTCAGGTCACCTTCCCTCTCTGGTCCTGTTTCTTCTGTAAAATGAGGGCAGTGGATTGGCTGATTGCCAAGGTCTCTTTCACACCAAACAACATATTACATAAAGTCAGGTAGTTCCCATACAAGAGGCCGATCCCAATCTAAATAGCAAAGCGTTTTTCAAACCACACAGCATTTCCTTGCTGCCAGAGAGAACCCAGGTTAAGTATTTACCTTTCAGCATAACAGATTCATCTCTCTCAAATTCATTCAGTCACTCCCTTCTGTACTGACACTTTACAAAGACCCACCCCCCCCCCGCCCACAGAGCCTCCTCTCATGAACTCTCTAAAACAACCATATAGAGGAGGAATCAAACTCTATAAGGTAGAATCAGGGTCACACAGCTGAGAATTTGCAAAACCTGACTCTGGAGGGCTCCTGACTCCCAAATCAGTGGTCTTCGCACTAGTCTCCCCTACGCTGAAGCTAAAAATAGGTGAATTCTGGTCTCGGCCCCAAGGCGCATAGTCTGTGACAAGAGAATGATCGCTTTTCTACGACCCAGGGAAATTCGAGGGCCCTGATCCAGCCTGGAAGTCAGAAGAGGCCTCTCGGAGGTGAAAATGGTAGGCGGTAACCAGATCGAGGAGAAAGAGGACGTAGGAGGTAATCAGATCGAGAAGAAAGATGTGCCGGGAGGTGTAAGAGAGATTGGGGCGCTAGGGGAAGGAGGCGAGGAGGAGCGAAGGAAGATAGTGCAGGATTGTAGGGAAAACTCATAAAAAGGACAGCATCTGAACCCAGCTTAGAAAAACAATCAGAACACAGAAGACGTTCCTACCAGAGGAAACGGCGCGAGAATCCTAGAGGAAAACCCCCAAATCTACCGTCCCCTCAGAAGAACGAACGTGGCGCCGCCTCCTCTCGGGAGCTCTCTCCGGCCTCAAGGTCCAAAGCCCGAACACATCCCAGTGGCTGGCTGAGAGTCCAGCCACTCATATCTCCCTCCAGGACGGTGCAGACCACCGGTCTCCCGCCTCAGCCGTTGCCAAGGTAATCGAGAACAGAGGGAAAACACATACCGGAAGCTCCTGGAGCTTGGGTAGCTGCTTCTCGACAGAAGGCTTCCGCTCTTCAGGCGATCTCTAAGGCATGAGGTCCTTGCGGAGCCCCGCCCTACCCGCGCGGAGATTGCGTCATCTTAGGTGTCCTCAGCAATGCCTGTATAGAATTCCAGAGCCGCTGTTGCCATTTGCCCTCACTTCCGGTGGGTGGCAGGCAGGGCCACGCGTCTTCCCGAACGGAGAGACTAGGGGCGTTGTTGCCTGGCAGCAGACGGGCAAGCCTGGACTTAGGCGGCGCGCAGGACGGTCCGACTTCGTGCGGAGGCCTCCCTGAGGTCCGGGTCCTTGCGGCCACTGCGGCCACTGAAGCGGCGGCGGCGGCTGGCCCAGGAGGAAGAAGTCGAGCCCAAGCTATTTCCGGTTCCGGTGTCAGTTCGAGGCGCCGCCGCCGCCGCCGCAGCCGCCGGAGCCGCAATGCCTAAAGGAGGTGAGGGGCGGGCGCCGGTGGCCCGCAGGCCTGGAGGGGCGGCCCAGGTCCGGCTTCCGCTGTCCCCTCAGCCCGTGCGCGTCTCTGAGAGCAGCGCAGAGGGAGGCTGTCCGCACCGGCTGAGAGCCAGGCCTGGGCCTCGACGCCCAATTGTCCCGATGGGGAAACTGAGGACTGTGGTGTCCCAGAGTCACTCCGTCAGTGGTCTGAGGAGTTTCGGAAGCTCTGGGTCCTCGCCGGCCTAGAAAGCCGGATCTAGGATGCGCTTCTCCGGGTCTAGGGGTTCTGGAATTTATCCCACTCTTTGGCTGGCTAGGAACTGAGTCACCGCGTCCCGCGCTTGTGCCGGGCCCGCCTGCCTCTCGCGTAAAACGTGGGCTTTTTCTGGCTTCGGTTCAGCCAGGCCTGCCTAGGAGGACTTAAGGAGATGCCCATGAGCCTTCCAGACCTGGTTTCGACTCCCCCGTTCGGTAGCGGCTCGGTGTGTTCCTTTGAGCCAGTCGCTCCACCTCCTGTGTCTCCGTTTTCTCATTTGCCAATGGGAATAACGATTGTACCTACCTCTTAGTACTGTTGGGAGGCTTCAACTAGGTAATCCACGTGGAGTGCGCAGTACAGTGCCAGGCAGTCGTTAAAAGTGCCCAGTGAAGCAGTAACTATTCTTATTTTTAAGGCTTTGCCAGCTCTTGATCTTGTAAGTAGGTTCATGACTGCCCAGTCCATTGTAGCCCGTCCTCTATCTTCTAGCCCGTTCTCTATCCTGTTTCCCCCTTTAGAATCGATAGTCCCCAGTTTGAATCCCAGCTATGTCACGTCTAATTCTGTGGCCCTGAACAAGTTAACCTCTTCCTCATCTGAAACACTGGGCTAATCCTTAGCTTGTTGAATTGGGGCCGGGGTGGTAAAATTATAGCGCTCATAAAGTGCCTGGCCACCTCCTGGCACAGAACAAATATATTTGTGTTGGTAGCTCATGTGTTATATTGGTTAATGCACTCAACCCACAGAAACATCTGCCTGTAGCGTTTTCAAACCTAAATCGCTTCCTGACTCCAGAGATAATTGGGCATTACAGAGCTAAATGTGTTTAAACCTAGCTCTCTACTGATTTATTCTGTGGCTGGAAAAGTCTCTCTGCTATTGTTCCCCAGTCCCTTCATCTGTAAAAGGAGGTTGCTGAATGAGCCATCCTCCCTCCGAAGTTTTACTTAATGGATACTTTGGGTAAAGGTTGGAGGTTACAACGATAAAACCTTAAATATGAATTCATAGCTAAATGGTCTTTGGGCTTGTGAAAAGCTTTTTGGGGTAGACAAGGTTTACATTTTCTTGGGTTAATCTGAAAACCACAAAAAACCGTGAAGGTGTTAAAAGTATCAAACTCCCTAAGAGCAAAGGACCAACGCTTGTTTCCATTATGTTAAGTGCAAATCGTTTTTTAAAGTCTTGAAGAGTCTACTATAAAATTACTGTGGACCAAGCTAAGGTCAGGGTCCCATAGCCAAGTGCATGAGAGGAGAGCCTATAGTAATCAATTTTGAGTTGTTACTGTTGCCTGGTGTATTAAGAGAGCAAGAAAGGGTGTTGGTTTTTTTCTTGGCACACTTGCTCTCTCACAATAGGACTTTAATAAGCATAGACTTAGACACCCCTGGGAACCTAGGTAGTCATTAAAAATGGGTGGTGTGATCTTTAGCAGCCCAATTATGGCTTTGCAGCTGCTGTAAGGAATCAGAGGAGGCCAGTATCTCTGCTACCGCCTCTGGAGTGCAGAGCAACTCTGGCTGATTACAGAGTCTCTGCTCACAGAGACAGACTATGGAAATCAGGTGGGCCTCAGCTTCCTGTGTGGAAGTTGAGGCCACAGCCACCCTTGCATACTTGGGGACCAGCAGAGGGGGATGCCACCTTGCTTTAAAACTGGCTGATGGCTTAAGCAAGGGTCAGCCTGGTGTTCTGGCTGAAGAGGGTCAGACTATAAAACTGACACTTTAACTGCTAGTCACATTTTTAACTTTTAGACTGTGTAGTCAGGTTTGTTTTCATCTGTACTTTGCCAGTCATTTCTTAGTCTAAGCACAAAGTTTTTGCCTGTAGGTTTGGGTTTCTTTTTTTTCCCTTAAGTATTCTCTTTTTGCCATACTACTAAGGTGAACACAAGGTATTTTATTGTGTTTCCAACATCTGCAGTAAATTGCTTATGTGCTCAGTGGTGCTTTTGTTGTTGTTTTTCCACCAAATACTAGATTAGAGGGAAAAGTAACGAACAGCGATTTTTTTATTTTTTTGAGACGGAGTCTCGCTCTGTGGCCCAGGCTGGAGTGCAGTGGCTCAATCTCGGCTACTGCAACCTCTGCCTCCTGGGTTCAAGCGATTCTCCTTTCTCAGCCTCCCAAGTAGCTGGGATTACAAACATGTGACACCATGCCCAGCTAATTTTTGTATTTTTAGTAGTGAGGGGGTTTCACCATGTTGACCAGGCTGGTCTTGAACTGGCCTCAAGTGATCTGCCCGCCTTGGCCTCCCAAAGTGCTGGGATTACAGGCATCAGCCACTGTGCCTGGATATTAGCGAACATTTTTGTAGTGCTTATTCAGTAGCAGGCACTGTTCCAGCAGCTTTCTGTATATTGATTAATTCATCTATCTTTGTGACAACCCTGTAAGGTAGGGACACAGATGAGGAAACTGAGACTGAGAGGTTAAATACCTGCCCAAAGTCATCAAGCCAGTAAGCGTAGAACCTGGGAGTTGGACTCTAAACTTCGTGGTGTTTCGCAGTCTGCTTTGGTCTAAGTCTCCTGGTCTATGAAATGGGACCAGCTATCACCCCTGTACCATAGGTTTGTTCCGAGGATCAACTGTGCCCCTGGCTGGCTGGGCGCGGTGGCTCACACCTGTAATCCCAGCACTTTGGGAGGCTGAGGTGGGCAGATCACGAGGTCAAGAGATCAAGACCATTCTAGCCAACCAACATGGTTAAACCCCATCTCTACTAAAAATAAATAAATAAGCTGGGCATAGTGGTGCACGCCTGTAGTCCCAGCTACTCGGGAGGCTGAGGCAGGAGAATCACTTCAACCAGGGTGGTGGAGGTTGCGGTGAGCCGAGATTGCGCCACTGCACTCCAGCTTGGGTGACAGAGCGAGACTCCGTCTCAAAAAAAAAAAAAAAAAAGTGCCCCTGGCTGTGACAGAACATCGTGTAAAAAGCCCTTATAGTGACGGCAGGGATGTAAGTGGTACATGTTTCTGTGGTTGCATCTGAGTCCACTATGCTTGGATTGTAAGGGACCAGGGGATGTAGCAAGTCATTGCAGTGCACCGTCCGCCATGTTCTCCCCTCCGGTCTTCTGTGTAGGAGCCAGCATTTAGTACACAGTTTGGTGATGCATCAGATGGTCACGAGTTGCTTCCTGCGTGCCTTTGAACACATGAGGGTGGCGGAGGTGTCGGTTTGGGTGGTGCTGGGTGAGGGGTAGGTGAGGCCTCCGATGAGAGTACTCCAAGCAGGACACAGCCCTCTGGGGGTCAGAGCAGTCAAGGCAGCTGCTTCCGCTCACCTAAACTGCGGGTCTCTGCAGGAAGAAAGGGAGGCCACAAAGGCCGGGCGAGGCAGTATACAAGCCCTGAGGAGATCGACGCGCAGCTGCAGGCTGAGAAGCAGAAGGCCAGGGTGAGTACGTGCCTGTCCAGGCCACGCCAGTGGCCCAGGGTGGCGCTTTGCCAATTTGGTTCATAGAGAGGCCAGGCAAGGACTACCCATTCGCAGGGACAAGCCAGCACGTGGGGGTCGGGCGGGCAGTGAGCCCCAGGTGTGAGTCTCAGAACAACCAATGACAGTCAGGGCGTGGGCATCCTCTGCCTGGATGGGTTAGAAAGAACTGTGGCTGCTCTGCAGCAGCTGCTTTAGTGGGGCCCTGTTCTTGGTCTTGTGCACCTACTTTCAGGAGGATCTCCCTCCTGCAGGACCTGTCCATTCACAGCTCGAGCTCCCAGCACCCCTGCTTGTCTGCTGCAGCCACACAGGATGATTTGCCACACTGCACATGACATATGCCCTGCCTTCCCACACCCCCAGCATCAGCATGCTCTCCATCCCTGGAGACGTTGTTTAGCCTCTCCTCCTCTGTGACTCATGCCTCACCTCCAGCCAGAGCTGATTTAGTAGTTCCCTCTCCTCTGCTCCCATAGTACATTGTCCAGGCCACCGTTAGGAAATAGAATACATTCCCATCGTCAGCATCTGCATCTTACCATATCATTAGATTGATGCCTGGATCAAGGGCCTAAGGGAGCAGTCAGGGCCAGATGGGTACACAGCTGTGACGTACCCCAGGAGTCTCAAGAAGGGAAAGGCCACATCCAGCTGTGGGGTCTGGGAGGGGTCCTTGGGGGAGCCAGCAGCTGAGCAGGACATGGAGAATGTGTGGGCAGGTGCCAAGAGGTGAAGGGACATGAGGTTCCTATAAGGGACATTTTTGGTGGGAAGGCAAGA
This sequence comes from Homo sapiens, assembly GCF_000001405.40. Classification (NCBI taxonomy): domain Eukaryota; kingdom Metazoa; phylum Chordata; class Mammalia; order Primates; family Hominidae; genus Homo; species Homo sapiens. The sequence continues at coordinate 99,404,039 of NC_000007.14, read as the reverse complement.
AAGGTGGAGGGAAGCAGCCTTCCGAGGTGTTGTTCTGGGGAGCTGGTGCAGGAGGTCACCTGTGTGGGTGGGTCGGGGGGATGACTTGCCATGGAGTGGGAGTGGAGTGCGGAGAGGACTCGCCTGGGAATGCCAGCATGATTTGGCAGCTGCATGTGGCAGGTGGGAGCTGAGTAGGATGGTGGTTTTCAGCCTGGTGGCTGAGTCCTTCTGACCCCAGGAAACAAGCTTCTCACCCTGGCTGCTGAGGTGGCTGCGTTAGGAAGGGGAGCAGGGCCTTCTGTGGCTGTGTGAGGGGCTTCCTGGACTATGGGAATGGCCTCTAAGCTGTGGTGCTAAGTGCATAGGCTGCCTGTGTCTGGCCCAGGTCCCATTCCCTGGGGGCCAGGGTCACAGTAGGACCCTTGTCATCCTTGGTTCCAGCCTTCCAGAGGCTTGATTTCTCAAGATCCACAGTCTGGGGGGTGATAGGGTCACAGTCTTGGGGATTTGTTTTGCATTTTTGATTCTGCAGGTTGTCCATTTCTGAAACAGGAAGAAGAGGAGCAAAAAGAAGGTGGAGATGGGGCTGCAGGTGACCCCAAAAAGGAGAAGAAATCTCTAGACTCAGATGAGAGTGAGGATGAAGAAGATGACTACCAGGTACTGAGTTCTTTTGAGGGCCTAGAGCCTGGACTCATTCATTCAACAAACAAACGTTGAGTGACCGTTTAGTACTAGTCCCAAAGGTAGATGCAGACAACGTCCTTGCTCTTGAGGGTTTACACTACGGGAGATACAACAAAGAAGTAAACAGACAGTGTCATTTCAAGTAATGAGAAGTGTTACTAACAAAACAGACTGTGATTGAGGGGACTTGGAAAAGTGTTGTGGTGGTGAAGCAACTTATAAACTGAGATCTGAAAAAACAAGATGCAGCCAGCTATGTGAAAATTGGCGTGCAGAGCAATTGAGAAACTGGATTAGCAAGTGCAAAGGTCCTGTGGTGGGAATAAGCTTGGCATGTTCAAGGACCAGAAGGGGGCCAGTGTAGCTGTGAGTTAGTGGGTAAGGAGCGGAGTGGTCCAGATGCAGGAGGAGAATTGGCAAGGGCACCTCCTGTGTAGCTGTTGAAGGGGTTGGCATTTCTTTTCTTTTCTTTTCTTTTTTTTTTTTTTTTTTGAGATGAAGTGTCGCTTTGTCACTGAGGCTGGAGTGCAGTGGCACGATCTCAGCTCACTGCAACTTCCGCCTCCCAGGTTCAAGCGCTTCTGCCCCAGCCTCCTGAGTAGCTGGGACTACAGGCGCCTGCCACCACGCCGGGCTAATTTTTTGTATTTTTAGTAGAGACAGGGTTTCACTGTGTTAGCCAGAATGGTCTCCATCTCCTGACCTCGTGATCCACCCGCATCAGCCTCCCAAAGTACTGGGATTATAAGCGTGAGCCACTAGCCCAGCCCCCTTTTTTTTTTTTTTTTTTTTTTTTTGAGACAGGGTCTCGTTCTGTCACCCAGGCTGGAGTGGAGTGAAGCTGCAGTGAAGCACCGCAGCCTCAGCCTTCCAAGTAGCTGGGACCAAAGGCACACGCCACCACATCTACCTAATTTTTAAATTTTTTGTAGAGATAGGGATCTCACTATATTGCCCAGGTGGTCTCCAACTCCTGGGCTCAAGTAATCCTCCCACTTCACCCTCCTGAGGTGTTGAGATTGCAGCAGCATGAGCCACCATGCCTGGCATGGGGTTTCTTTATGGTAGGTAGTGGCAGCTGGGGGAGGCCTTGAAGGGATTGAGAGACATGACCAGATATGCTTTTTTTTTTTTTTTTTTTTGGGAGATGGAGTCTCTCTGTCGCCCAGGCTGGAGTGCAGTGGTGCGATCTCGGCTCACTGCAAGCTCCGCCTCCCGGGTTCAGGCCATTCTTCTGCCTCAGCCTTCCGAATAGCTGGGACTACCGTAGAGGTAGCGTTTCACCATGTCAGCCAGGATGGTCTCAATCTCCTGACCTCGTGATCTGCCTGCCTTGGCCTCTCAAAGGGCTGGGATTACAGGCGTGAGCCACTGCGCCCAGCCTCCAGATATGCTTTTAAAAGATTATTTTACTTTGGGAAGCCAAGGTGGGTGGATCACAAGGTCAGGAGATCGAGACCATCCTGGCTAACACAGTGAAACCCCGTCTCTACTAAAAATACAAAAATTAGCCAGGTGTGGTGGCAGGCGCCTGTAGTCCCAGCTACTTGGGAGGCTGAGGCAGGAGAATGGCGTGAACCCGGGAGGCGGAGTGCAGTGAGCCAAGACTATGCCACTGCACTCCAGCCTGGGCGACAGAGTGAGACTCCGTCTCAAAAAAAAAAAAAAAAGATTATTTTAGCTTCTTCATGGAGAGTGAATGATAGGATGTTGAGAGTAAGAGCAGTGTTCAGATCAGAAATCCTGGGCCGGGTGTGGTGGCTCACACCTGTAATCCCAGCACTTTGGGAGGCCAAGGCGGGCGGATCACCTGAGGTCGAGATTTCGAGACCAGCCTGACCAACATGGAGAAAACCTGTCTCTACTAAAAATACAAAATTAGTCGGGGGTGGTGGTTCATGCCTGTAATCCCAAATACTCAGGCTGAGGCAGGAGAATTGCTTGAACCCAGGAGACCGAGGTTGTGGTGAGCCGAGATTGTGCCATTGCCCTCCAGCCTGGGCAAGAAGAGGGAAACTCTGTCTCAAAAGAAAAAAAATCGTGGCTTGCCCTAGGATGGTGACAATGGCAGTGGAGAAGAGTGGACAAATTTAAGCTGTATTTGGGGGTTGCTGAAGGAACGACGAATCAAGGATATGCTTAGGATTGCAGGGAGGGTCCGGTTGGGTAAAGGATGAATCTCGAGTTCTGTCTTGGACATGTTAAGTTTACAGTGCCAGGCATCTGAGTGGAGGTGTAAGTGTGCAGCTGGACTGGAAGTGTGTGGAGGGAGCTCTGTGGAGTGGAAGCTGTCTCCCTGCCCCCTTAAGGAGAATTGATGGAATTGACAGGGCCTGAAACTTTGACCAAACCTGCTGCATTGAGAACACACCCCCTTCTTCTGGAACTTCTGCAGGGGAGGTGGAAGGTGCAGATTCCAGGTTTTTGGGCCAGCGTCCCAAACCTGTAGAGTGTGTGATCCAGTAGCTTATTCTTGGGTTACAAGTCCAGTCCATCAGCTAAGGTGGGTGGGAATTGGAATTAGTCATGACAGCACACACTTGGCCCACCCTGCCCTGGGGATTCCAGCCCAGCGCTTTTTGCAAGAAGAATCAGGCATGGGATTCCATGGAAAACTGCTTTTGGAAGCCGAGCTTGAAGTAGGGGAGTAGTGCTGTGTGAGTGCTTGCAAGTCGGGGTAGGGCGCACCTCTCATCTACCACCTACTTCCTGGTTGACTTGGGCAAGTTATTCGACCCCGAGCAGCCGTTCTGTGGGCTCTTCCCAGGCTGATGAAGATGCTCCAGAGAGCTATACCCACTGTGAGACTTGGGCTGAGCACTACGTGGGCTGGGGTGGAGCAGGAGTTTGTCCTCATCCAGATGGGCTGTTGAGAGATGGCAGGAGTGGCCCTCAGGGGCTCCACAGGACCTGAACTCCAACAACCAGCTTCTTGCCCTGTTCTAGCAAAAGCGCAAAGGCGTTGAAGGGCTCATCGACATCGAGAACCCCAACCGGGTGGCACAGACAACCAAAAAGGTCACACAACTGGATCTGGACGGGCCAAAGGAGCTTTCGAGGAGAGAACGGTAACATCACTGGCTGGGCCTTGTGTCACGGGGAATACAGGCCAGCAGTTGGCCTGTGGGATGCTAAGGTCCCCAGCTGGCTGGGAGCTGTGGCTGTTTATTTCTGTCTCATTCCCCAATGGCCCTCCAGTAGCCTTTAAAAAGCCACACAGAATTTGTTTTCACCAATTGATACATGATATCAGGGGAAATAGGACAACAGGCTCAGACCTGAGCATAACACTTGAGGTAATGGTGCAGGATACAGAGGGTTGCCCTCCATTCCCCTCTTCCAGAGCACCACACCCTGGGGAGACTTCCCTTACCCCACTGATCTGACCATTCCTGACCTGCATCCATCTGTAATGTCGTGGCCATGGGGACTGGAAGGGGGCTGCGAGCCTGTGCCGGCCAGAAGGCAGTCCAGCCCAGCGCAGCTCAGCCAGCTGTCCCAGGCCTCTGCAAGTCCTGTGTGAAAATGAAGCTGTAAATATCTTCCTCAAGAGTCGTATGAGGATCAAGATCATGTACTGAAGTGCCTGGCACAGGATCAGTCCTTGACTGGTGCCCTGACTTTTGGCAGCCACCAGGTGACCTCAAGGGCCTTACAAGAGGTTGAAGCCTGCTAGTTTCTCTCCTGACTGGGAATTTAGGATAATGGCTGAGGGGTGTGTCTGTGAAAGCCTCGTGGGGAAGGCCATGAGCTTGGGTGTGATTGCAGCTGCTAAGGACCCTTCTGTCCCCCTTCAGTAGCTTCCTCTTGGCATTGACTTCAAAAACCCAGCAACCTGGGTGTTCTGCCACTGTGGTATTCTGCCATTGGCAGCTGTGCAGCCTTCGATAAGGCTGTGCCTTTCTGGGCATCAGTGTCCTCTCCAGTAAAAGGGATCCTGTTGCTCCCTCCTTCTGTCCTTTGGGGTTGCAGAGACACCCTGCCTGGCATTTTGCTTTCACTGAAGGGCCCTGCAGAGTCTTTGGGCTGCCTTAGTCATCATTCCTGAGGCTCAGCTTAGAGGCTTCTGAGTGTGGCACATCCCTCCTGAGCTAGGATCTGCGGTTCGCCAGGTATTATCTCCTCAGCTCTGTAGTGAGGCATCTGCTCTTCCCACTCGGGAGTCCCTCTCCCTCCCCTCTAGCTAGCTCCCATGCCTGGTTTCTCATTACTCCCCAGTTCTGTGTACCTTGAAGGCCTCTGGGAGGCCGAGTCTCTCTCCCAGCCTCCTGCCAGGCAGGGCCCTCCCCTCCTCCAGCACTTGGCTCTTCCAGGAACCCAGTGCAAATAGGCCCTCCGATCTCATCCTGAAGGGCATCCACTCCAGTTCAGAATCTCAAGCTTGGGAAGATCCTCAAAAGGAAGCTAATGACCCTCACCACTGACTCTACTTAGGGGGTTCATTCCTGACACTTTGTCCCATGGGAGCCCAGCAATTATTCCCATCTCCCTACTGATGGGGGCTGTCCCCTTGGGGGGCAGCACCGTGCACATCTGAGCTGCTCTAAGAATGGGCCATGTGGTGTTGACCTGAGACTGGGTGTGTCTGTTTCCCACTGTGGTCCTCATCCTATGCCCTGTGGCTGCTTCCTCCACTTCTTCATTCCTTTTTTTGTTTGTATTTTTTAGAGATAGGATTTCACTCTGTCACCCAGGCTGGAGTGCAGTGGTGCAATTGTAGCTCACTGCAGCCTTGAACTTCTGGGCTCAAGCAATCCGCCTGCCTCAGCCTCCCATGTAGCTGGGAGCCATGCTGCCTTAGCCATGTGTGCCACCACACCTGGCTAATTTTTAAATTTTCTATTTTGTACAGAGTCTTGCTATATTGCCCAGGCAGGTCTCAAACTTACAGCCTCAAGTGATCCTCTTGTCTTGGCCTCCCAGAGTGCTGGGATTACAGGCCTGAGCCACCATGCCCAGCCCTTCCTTCCTTGTAGGATGTGGTCCCCACTGCTTTCATCCTCCTGGTCATCTTCTCTGGAACACTCTTGGCCTGGTCCCCCTTCTCTCCATGGCCGCCAGAGCCTGATCATGAAGCCCTCAGGCATCTTCCCCTCCCTGCTGTAGCTGGACATTGTCCCCTTTCCCTCTGAGGCTTTCTGGACATCGCAGATGTTTTCTCCCTGGGCCTCTCCCTCCTGCTCACTTGCTTGGTGAACGTCCACCAAGCAGGGGGTTCATGGAGGCAGGGACTCACAGCCAGGGCACCCCTTCCACCTCGGCCCTAGGCCGAATCCTTGGCCTTTATTCTGACTCCCGTCCAGTTTGGCAAACAGTGGTAGGAAAGATGTCCCCATGACACCATTTTATCCACACAGAGAAGAGATTGAGAAGCAGAAGGCAAAAGAGCGTTACATGAAAATGCACTTGGCCGGGAAGACAGAGCAAGCCAAGGCTGACCTGGCCCGGCTGGCCATCATCCGGAAACAGCGGGAGGAGGCTGCCCGGAAGAAGGAAGAGGAAAGGAAAGGTAAGGGCTGGGCTGCGCACGCAGGGACAGGCCCCAACTCTGGTCCTGGGCCAGCCACAAAGCACTGAACTCGTGTCCCTGTCCGCGAGGTGACAATGAGGTGAGGAGTGACTGCTGCCTAGGAGGTCGTTCAGGAGAGGGCCACCCTCCCTGTGCCTGCCACTCCCTCGGGGACCAGGAGGGTCCAGCGACATCATGGGGTCGGATGTAGGTTGAAGTCTCAGCAGAGCACCGTCCACAGTAGGTGGACAGTCACTCCTGCTCCCAACAGCGGGAGGTCACAGGAAACCATGCCCCTAGTACAGACCTTGCCTGAGGCTCACAGGTCCCACTAAGGTCTCTGGTGCCTTGGGAACCCAGGAGAGATGCCTGAGGTCACCGCTGTCCATCTGCAGGGCTTGGGAGGGTGAGCTGGATACACAGCAGTGCAGACTGGCTTGACATCCAGCCCAGGCATCCCTTTTCCTGTGCTCTCCCCTCCAGGCAGGCCAGAGATGGTGGAGGTTCCTCTAGGCCAGAGTGGCTATGGGAGTTGGTCCAGTTTATAGGAGCATTCAACTTGCAACATTCCATCTCCCGGGGGTCTGTGAGAGCCCCTACATGTCCATCTGTCCTGCCTCCTCACCAGACCATGAGGAAGCAGGCCTGGAAAGGGGAAACCAATTGCTCAGGGACATTGTCACCCGCACCAGAAATCCAGTGATCCCAACTTCCCATTCAACCCTGCTTCACAAACCCCAAGCAGGAAAGGACTTCACATGTAACTGTTGGAATGTTTAAATTTTAGACTTCAGAACCCGTGGAGGGAGGTTAGAATTACAGGGTTCTGCTGGGAGGTGGGGTGAGAAGTTTCCGTTTGCCCACAAGAGTGTGTGTTGGTGGGGCTTTGTGGAAGGAACAGCTTTCTATAAGGTGGTCTGGCCACTGAAGCGTGTCGGGAATGTCGGGGGGCCCGGGGTTACAGCTGCAGCAGAAATCCTCTCCCACGCCTCGGCTCTTCTCTGTTGCACAGAATGTTTTCTGCAGCCTTTCAGACCTAAAGTTCTAGGGTTCTGGCACGTGTGTTGGGAGGGGGTGGGGGGTTGCTTTGTTTTAACCCCTGCCCTTCTCCCACCCCTCAGCAAAAGACGATGCCACATTGTCAGGAAAACGAATGCAGTCACTCTCCCTGAATAAGTAACTGCGACCCGTGGGAGGAGATGCCGGGGACCTGGGCCGCGCTGCCAGGACCTCTGCTGTGTCTCGCCCACCCTGTGCCCTGGCGCCGCTGCAACAGCCCCTCATGGCCAGGAGCCCCCCATGGCCTGGGGCCTCCTCTTCATCTTGGCACAGAAATTGTTTGGGGGATGGGGGGGGGGACTGGGGGAGGGGTAGCTGCTATCTTTGAGACAGAAAGATGCAGGACAGCATTTCATATGTAACCATTTGAATGTTTTTGCTGTTTTTAGAATTCAGAGCCCTTGCTGGGGGGTGCCTGGGAGATGGGGTAAGAAGAGCTTTCATTTGTCTGGTAGATAGATAGCATGTAAGGGGGTGGTTGTCCCAGGAGGCAGCTGCTGACAGGTTTGCTACACACAGCCCCGGACTGTGTTGCCTGGGTGCTCATTCAGAGAGGGGCTATCATCTGGGAGCCTGTGCCCCTGGGTCCTCGAGGGTCATGGCTTGTCCCTGGTCAGTCCTGTCTGACTGACCTCAGGGCCTCACCTCTCTGCCCTTCCCTGCCCGGTTCCTACTCACCTGGCTAGGGCCAGTGCCCATTTTCAGCCCTACCCATTGATCATTTCAAGAAACCTCTGTTTACTGTGTGGCACCCAGGCAAAACATGCTCCACAAATTCAACTTGTATATTTGGCAGATTAAACTTGACATTATCGTAATCTTTGTTTTGGCAATCCATCCTTTGGCTTCCGTGCTCGAGCCGTTTTTACCCAGCTGGGTACGGTGCCACGTTCAGGCACGTGCACCCGGCAAGGTTCAGGGCACATACCTACCTGGGGCATGACATCTGTCAGGTGGCACCGAGCAGGATGCGGGGATGGACCCTAGATACCACAGCCTGCCCCCTCCCCTCCTTTAGCCAAGTCAGGATCTTAGGCCTCAGCAGGCAGGGACCCTTCCAGGCCACAGTAGGCTGAAGCAGCACCAGGATCCTGGCCTGGCCTGGCCTGTAGGTGTCCCCTGGTGGTTATAATTCTGTAACTCTAGGGGAGAAGGGGAATAGCACTAGCATTGGATGTCGCCAAGGCCCACATTTTCCTGAGAGAAGCCACAAAAGATGTGCAAATGCCCTTCAGCACAGGACCTGGTGACATGACATAAACTCCAAGACAGAACCTCAGTTTACAGCACACGAAAAAAATATCTTGCCAACATTGTAATGACAAAATAAATTCCCGTGAAGTTCCACAACCAGGCCGGGCATGGTGGCTCATGCCTGTAATCCCAGCACTTTGGGAGGTGAGGTGGGTGGATCATCTGAGGTCAGGAGTTCAAGACCAGCCTGGCCAACATGGAGAAACTCCGTCTCTACTAAAAATACAAAAATTAACCAGGCTTGGTGGTGTATGCCTGTAATCCCAGCTACTTGGGAGGCTGAGGCAGGAGAATCGCTTGATCCCAGGAAGGCAGAGGTGGCAGTGAGCTGAGAACGCACAACTGCACTCCAGCCTGGGTGACGAGCAAAACTCCATCTCAAAACAAAAGTTCCACAACCAGCCTGGAGTGTGTAGCCCCTTTGTCCAGGAATTTGACTAGTCAATCAGTGACACCTGGTACTGGCAGTTTTGGGAGTGGCAGCCCAGGATGGACAGCAGTGGGGAGGGAACCATTTGGCATAAGGCCGTTGGGCTTCAGGATCAATTTTGTTGGCAAGCAGTAAAAATAAGCTATCTACCTATGGCCGTGCAAACACCAATCTCTCCCTGGAGTCCCAGCTACTTGGGAGGCTGAGGCAGAAGGATTGCTCCCACGAGTTCTAGTGCAGCCTGGAAAACTTAGCAAGACCCCAAGGAAATAACAAAAAACCTCTCCTTCCACATAGGCAAGCATGTCCATAATTACTTTTTTTTTTTTTTTTTTTTTTACACAGTTGCATTTTATTACCTCCACATTTTGAAGCAGTTCATGACCAGCATAGTGCTTTGGGGGCATTTTTTTTTTTTTTCAATAAATGAAAGCATTTAAGAAAAAGGCACGTATTCCTTGAATAGGTAAGAAAAGCTCCCCATCTGTCCCCTCCCTTTTTGAGGGAGCAGCCCCTATGGGAACTCGTATTGGTACCCCAGAAACATTCAGCAAAGCAACCATTAGCCTCCCTGACCCCTCTCCCCGCTTCCCCAGCAGCTAGGATGAAGGCAACATATTCCTCACAGGTCATTTGATCTTGAGGTCCTTCAAGGCTGACTCCAAGCTCTGCAGGGAGGCAGAACGGACAGGCTGGTTCTCAGCTGTCCTGCAGGCACCCCACTCCCAGGGACCTGATCACCCATCTCAGCCCCAGCACAGCAGAGGGCAGAGAACCTGCAGTTTTGGAGTCTGTCAGCTGGGTTGGAATCCCGGCCCTGAAGACGGGTGCCCCAGTGAGCACCAAGGCCCAGATGTCAAGGGGCCGCCCCCACCCCTCATCCCCATGCAGTGCCATCTCTGCAGGAGTGAAGGATGGGGGTCATCTCCAGGGAGTGGGGATGGGGGGAAAGGGTTGACCTGGGAGGCATGGCGGGAAGCCAGGAGGGGCAAGCCTCACCTTCACATCCCAGATACTCATGCCGCCATCCATGCCAGTGGTGCAGAACTGCGAGCACTTGGCCTTGCCGCCGCTGAGCACCGAGATCTGGCTGCAAAGAGGAAGAGGAGCTTATGAATTCAACCTGTGCTGGCGCTGGGCTCAGGCCCACCCTGTCCACCAGGCGCTCCCAGACTTCTTGGGGAGCGGGCTTTAGTGAGAAGTACCGAGGGGGTGTAGTGGGCTTAGAAGTCAGTTCTGCCTTGGGGACAGTGGCATGCGAGGTGCAGGCAAATGGGACAGGACACTCAAGTCCTGGGAGGCAGGAAAGACACGTGTGTCTGCGGAGTGTACACAGTGCCAGCAGTGCAGCTGGACAGGACAAAAAAGGAGATGGGGGTGGGGGCAGCCAGGGACTAAGCTGATAGCTGGACAAAGGTGTTTCATCTGAGGAAGCCATCGGATCTGGCGGACACAGGAGGTTTTACAGACCGAAGGGCTTGGCCAGTCTTGCCATACAGCTCCCGCTCCCTCTGATTCGCCGCGGGGTGGACACGTGTGGCTGGCAGCTTTTGGGCTTTGAAGAGCCTCTTCCCCATCCCACCCTAGATCCATAGAAGGCTGCGGAGAGACCCTCAGCTCCGCCCCCACCTCGCTAAGTGCTAGCAATAGACCCGCCCCAGCTGTGACCCCGCCCAGGAAGCCCGCTGGTCACTGCCTGGCCACCCCAGAGAACCGTAGGGGCCAGCCCTACGACAGTCCCCACCTAAGTCCCGGAAATGCAGAGCGAGGCTAGCTGCTCAGCCCCATCTGATGCTATTTTTATGCAACCTAAAGAGGTCGACCCCGTCTTATGTCGGTCGCACCGTGTCCCTCCCAGGCTCCACTAGCACCTGGGCTGCTATGGTGAGATCAAGATGGGCCCCGCCCACAACTAACGATGTTATTCCGCAGCGAGTCAAAGCCACTCCCTACCCTGGGCCCGCTACGCGACCTCTGCCGGCCTCCGCCCCACGCGGTTTTAGTACGGCGCCAAGGCCCCGCCCACAAATCGGCCCCGTCCCCTCGTGTCCGGGCCCGCCGCTCATCAGACGCCGTTCCGGCGCAGCGAGTTGAGGGCACGCCTACCCTCCCTCCGGGTCCCCAGTCCTCAAGGTCCCAGCACAATGCCCCAGGAGGAAGACTCCAGGCCCCTTCCTCACCCGACGCTGTTTCTGGGCGAGCCGAGGCCCCGCCCACCCGCCGGCCCGGCTCCCGCTCTCACCTGACGCTGTTCTTGTGCAGCGAGTCTAGGCCCGCGCCCGCAGCCGTGCCACCCTCGGAGCTCGCCTTCTTGTCCAGGTTCTGGAAGCGCTCGCGGGCCGTCAAGCCACGCTGCGAGCTCTGCTTAGGAACGTCCAGCCGCCCGCCGAAGCTCAGCATCCCCGCGGCGGCGTCATAGGTGAACAGCACCGGGAAGCAGTCGTGGCCCTGCGCGGAGGGCGGGGGCCATTGGAGCGCCGCGGAGGGGAAACCGAGGCCGGAGGGAAGGCCAGGCGGGCGTCTGGCCGCCCGGGAGGCAGATGCCAGCTCAAGGATACAGACGGGCCACAGCGAGGGAGGCCCGAATTGCAGGTGTATCAAAACCGGGGGTGATGCTGGGGGCTGCCACCTCCCCCAGCAAGGCCAGCGTTGGGACTCCCTGGGAGCTCAGGCGCCTTCTGTCCTGCCCAGCCAGTTACACCTGCTCTAGGGGAGACCCCTGCAGCTGTTTGCTTTTCTAGGCAAAAAGCAAGCCTGACCTGGCCCTGGCACCCCCATTATGTTTGCAGAGGGGTGAAAAGGGACTTGACAGATGTGGGCGGAGGGGAGGGAGAGCAGTGCCCTTCCTGGACACCTGGAGGAACCGCACACCCCGAACTCTCGCCCTTTGCATTAGGCGTGGCCTTGCCATTGCACCTGCCAATAAAATGTGGGCAGAAATGTTAAGACCCAGGGCATGATTCCGCAGGTTCCGGCTCCCTCGTGGCATCTGGGACAGCATGCTGGGGACAGCTTCCATCAGAGCACCTCACAACACCCACACTGGACATAAAATGTGAGCAAGAAGTAAATATCTTTTTTTTTCTGTTTTTGAGATGGAGTCTCGGTGGCTCACCCTTGGCTCACTGCAACTTCTGCCTCTGGGTTCAAGCAATTCTCCTGCCTCAGCCTCCCGAGCAGCTGGGACCATGGGCGCCCACCACCACACCCGGCTAATTTTTGTATTTTTAGTAGAGATGGGGTTTTGCCATGTTGGCCAGGTTGGTCTTGAACCCCTGACCTCAGGTGATCTGCCCTCCTTGGCCTCCCAAATTGCTGGGATTACAGGTGTGAGCCACCGGGCCTGGCTCTTTTTTTTTTTTTTTTGAGACAGGTTTTGTGTCGCCGAGGCTGAAGTGCAGAGGTACGACCATAGCTCAGTTCAGAAGCCTCGACCTCCCATGCTTAAGTTATCCTCCTGCCTCAGCCTCCCAAGTAACTGGGATTATGAGATTACAGGTGCACCACCACACCCAGCTAATTTCTTAACTTTTTGTAGAGACAAGGGTCTCACACTGTGTTGCCCGGGCTGGTCTCAAACTCGTGGCCTCCAGTGATACTTCCACCTCAACCTCGCAAAGTGCTGGGATTTTAAGTGTGAGCCACCGCACCTGGCCAAATCTTTACTCTGTTAAGCAACTGCAGCCAGGGACTTTTGGTTACTGCAGCATAACCCAACCTGTTCTGCCCAATTCTGGTACATGAGAGAATGCAAGGAAGAAAAAAAGGAGGGAGGCAGGAGAAAGGAGGGAGGAGATGAGAGTTGCTGGGCTCTCTCGGAGGCCTGCTGTGACCACACACCCTCCCTCCCCTCCCTATTCCTCACCGCTGCCACCAGGCTGTTGTCTGTGATGAAGGTCAGCGCCAGCAGTGGTAGTGTTTCAGAGGCCAGAGTCGCGACGCTGAGGGGAGAGAGCTGTGAGTCACGGTGTCCCACTCCTCTGCACTCACCTCCTCCCCTGGGGATGGCCTCGACTCACGCCATCTTCTTGTCGGCATCAGCCAGGCAGACGGTGCTGTCGTGGCTTACCCAGGCCACGCGGCTCCCGCTGGCTGAGAAACAGACGCCATGTACCCAGCCGCAGCTACTGCTGGATTCGAACATCAGTTCCCCAAAGGGCATCTTGGAGCCCCACGGGGTGGGTGCCGGCCGTTCCTCCACCTCCTTGATGTAGGCTGAAAAGATCCTACCGGGATAGGCAAAGTAGAGGTAAAGTAGCCAGGCATGGTGGTGCGCACCTGTACTCTCAGCTACTCAGGAGGCTGAGGCGGGAGGATTGCTTGAACCCAGGAGGTCAAGGCTGCAGTGAGCTGTGATTGCGCTACTGTGCTCCAGTTTGGGCAACAGAGTGAGACTGTCTCAAAAAAAAAAAAAAATTTTTTTTAAAGGGTTAACAGGTGCCTGGGCATGGTGGCTGAAGCTTGTAATCCCAGCACTTTGGGAGGCTGAGGCAGATGCATCACTTGAAGTCAGGGGTTCGAGACCAGTCTGGCCAACATGGTGAAAACCCGTCTCTACATTTAAAAATACAAAAATTAGCCGGGCATGGTGGCATGCGCCTGTAGTTCCAGCTACTCAGGAGGCTAAGGCAGGAGAATCGCTTGATCGCTTGAACTCAGCAGGCGGAGGTTGCAGTGAGTCAATATCACGCCACTGCACTCCAGCCTGGGCGAAAGAGCGAGAGTCCGTCTCCAAAAAAAAAAAAAAAATCCTGTCTAGCTGGGCGTGGTAGTCTTGCTTGGGAGGCTGAGAAGCAAGAGGATCGCTTGAGTCCAGGATTTGGAGGCTGCAGTGAGCTATGATTGCACTACTGCATTCCAGCCCGGGCAACAGAGCAAGCCCCTAGCTCAAAAAAAATAAAAGAGGTGGGCAGAGGCCCATCCAGCTGAGACATGAAGGGTTCCCCAGGAACTAGAACCTTCAACCGACGCCCAGGTCATCCACTGGTAGCAGGTCTGGAATGTGTCTAGAAGCTGGGGTGTAGAGCTTTCAGGTGCGGCTCCCCGCTATGATGTCAGCAGTCAGTTGACGTCAGCCCCGCCCTCCCCCATGGCGCCCTGTCTCACCGACACTTGAAGTCACAGGAGCCGGCAGCCAGCAGCACATTGTTGGGGTGCCAGTCCAGGCTGAGGACGGTGGAGCGGATGGGCTTCTTGATGTGCTTGCAAACCCACCTGGGAACGGTGGTCAGGCAGACAGGGAGAGAGGGACAGGCAGGTGGGACTCATGGACCTCAGCACCAGGGACTCCAGGCTCCCACTGCTCCCTGCAGCCCACCAAAGACCCAGGAGAGAGGCGACTGGGCATTGCCAGCCCACAAGGCCGTCAGGGCCCTGGGGCGGCAGGGATGTGCTGTGTCGCTTCTGGAGTGGGAACTCTGTGCCCTCTATCCTTTAGGCCACACAGTCACCCTCAGAGCAGGCTCAGCAAAGTGATGCCATCACCAGAGGTCACACAACTACTAACTGGCCATGGTGGGATGCAAATTTGGGTCTCTCAGATGCTCCTGGCTGGCCTCTGCCCTCAGCCATGCAGGGGAGATTAAAAACTAAGACGTGGACTGGCAATCATGGCTCACACCTGTAGTCTCAGCACTTTGGGAGGCTGAGGTGGGAAGATTGCTTGAGGCCAGGAGTTCAAGACCAGCCTGGACAACGTGACAAGACCCTATCTCTACAAAATAAATAAATAAATGATTTGGGCCTGTAGTCCGAGCTACTCAGGAGGCTGAAGTGGTAGGATTACTTGAGCTCAGGAGGCTGAGGCTGCAGTGAGCTATGATCACAACACTGCACTCCAGCCTGAGCGACAGAGCAAGACCTTGTCTCAAAAATATATATATGGCCGGGCGCAGTGGTTCACGCCTGTAATCCCAGCACTTTGGGAGGCGGAGGCAGGAGGACCACCTGAGGTCAGGAGTTCAAGACCAGCCTGACCAACATGGAGAAACCCCATCTCTACTAAAAAATACAAAATTAGCCTGGCGTGGTGGTGCGTGCCTGTAGTCCCAGCTACTCAGTAGGCTGAGGCAGGAGAATTGCTTGAACCTGGGAGGCAGAGGTTGCGGTGAGCTGAGATTGTGCCACTGCACTCCAGCCTGGACGACAGAGCAAGACTGTGTCTCAAAAAAAAAAAAAAAAAAAAAATTGGCTGGGCACGGTGGCTCACGCCTGTAATCCCAACACTTTGGGAGGCCGAGGCGGGTGGATCATGAGGTCAGAAGTTCTAGACCAACCTGGCCAAGATGGTGAAACCCCATCTCTACTAAAAATATAAAAATTATCCGGGCATGGTAGCAGGTGCCTGTAATCCCAGCTACTTGGGAGGCTGAGGCAGAGAACTGCTCGAACCCGGCAGGCAGAGGCTGCCGTGAGCCAAGATCGTGCCACTGCACTCCAGCCTGGGTGACAGAGTGAGACTCCATCTGAAAAAAAAAAAAGGAACAAGATGTGGCTGCGAGCTCGTGAGTGGTGCCTTGAGAAAGTGACTGCTACAGGGCCTTTGCTAATCTGTAAAGTGGGGACAGTGACCGATGCCCAGTCCACGGAGCTGCAGGGAAGTCAGGACTAATGTGTGTGCAGGGCTTAGTGAGGTGCCCCCAGATGTGTTTCTGGTGTGGTGGGTGTCACTGGCAGTGAGAACATCCGGACGCTGCAGAGAGGCCCTTGCCTCATGAATGAGGCCCAGAGAGGAGAGGATGGACTCCCCCAGGGTGATGGGAACAGGGGTCCTGACATCCCATTTGGTGCTTCCCGGGGACACTCTAGTCCTGCCCCCGGTCCCTAACAGCCCACTCTGGCCCTGCCTAGGTACCCACCAGTCATTCTCCTGCTCGAAATAACAGATGGAGATCACACGAGAGCCGCTGCCCACAGCAAACTTGTTCTCGTTGGGGGCCCAGCGCACGCAGCGGGCAGCCCGGTTGATCCGCAGGATGACCAGCGTGGGCTTCCATGTGCGGCCCTTCAGCGTCCACACGTAGGCGTTGCGGTCTGTGCCGCAGGTCACAATACGGTTACTCTCGGGGGCCCAGTCGATGCCTGTGGGGGGATGGAGGGAACACAGGAGGCTGATGACACTCAGGCAGAGGTGGCTGTATGGTGGCCACATGGGAGAGGCTGAAAGGCCACCATCCAGGTGGAAGCTGTATCTGCCCAGCAGGCACTTTTTTTTTTTTTTGAAACAGAGTCTCGCTCTGTCACCCAGGCTGGAGTGCAGTGGCATGATCTCAGCTCACTGCAGCCTCTGCCTCCCAGGTTCAAGCAATCCTCGTGCCTCAGCCTCCTGAGTAGCCGGGACTACAGGTGTGTACCACCAATCTTTTTTTTTTTTTTTTTTTTTTGAGACAGAGTCTCGCTCAGCCGCCCAAGCTGGAGTGCACTGGCACGATCTCAGCTCACTGGAACCACCATCTTCCGGGTTCAAGCAATTCTCACATATCAGCCTCCCAAGTAGCTGGGATTACAGGCACCCGCCATCATGCCTGGCTAATTTTTGTATTTTAGTAGAGATGAGGTTTCACCATGTTGACCAGGCTGGTCTTGAACTCCTGACCTCAGGTGATCCGCCCGCCTCCGCCTCCCAAAGTGCTGGGAGTACAGGCGCAAGCCACCGCACCCGGCCTCTTTCTTTCTTTGTTTTTATTGCGACACAGTCTCGCTCTGCCATCCAGGCTGGAGTGCAGTGGTGCAATCTCAGCTCACTTCAACCTCCGCCTCCTGGGTTCAAGCGATTCTTCTGCCTCAGCCTCCAGAGTATCTGGGACTACAGGTGCGTGCCACCACACCCGGCTAATTTCTGTATTTTTCAACATTTAGTCATGTTGGCCAGGATGGTCTCGAACTCCTGACCTCAAGCGATCCACTCGCCTTGGCCTCCTGAAGTGCTGGGATTACAGGCATGAGCCACTGCACCCGGCCCAGCAAGCACTTTTTACTGAGATCCAGTGCTTATTTAGAGTGACACCAGGGGGCACTCCTAGAGCTTATGAGGGAGTGTCAGAGCCCTCCATGCTATCAGCAAACATGCTGGAGGGCAAAGCCAAGAGGCAGAAAAGATGGGTTCTTGGTCATGTGGAGCTGCTGGATCAAGCCTCTCCTGAAGCCCTCAACCCTGTGAGTTTTTGGTAACATGAGCCAACACAGTCCCCTTAAAATTGAAGCCAGTTTGAATCCGGGTTTCACGGTGAGTGGGCAGATGCTCCACAATGAGTGGCCATGCCCTGCCTTGCACCACCCCCCCAACCCACCACCTCCTTTCAGGACGGTGGTCCCAGCCACCCTGACATACCTGTCACCTGCCCGTTGTGCTCCTTGAGCTCGTGCACCTTGGTCCATTTGGCACCGCTCTTTTCATAGATATGCACCTCATGGTTGTTGGGGCAGATGGCAATCTCTGAAGGGGAGATGGAGGGAGATTGAGGGGCCCTCTCCATGACTGCCCTCTGCCAGGACACACTACACAGTGCACCTAGGCAACAACACCTCACCTTTCATGACTCAGTCTCTCCTCTTCTGCCTTGCAGGGGCCCCCTGAAGTCCTTCAGGCCCTGCTAGGCCACCCTGTCTTCTCCTGGAACTGGCTGTCCTTTACTCGCAGCAATGAACCCTGGGACCTCTCCCCACCCTATTGCTCTGGCCAACCAGGAACCCTTCGCTGCTCCTGCTGACACCTCAGGGCCCCTGCACCTGCCAGCCCCTCCCCAGCTGGGGCACAGTTCCCTTCCTCTCCCCCTCTGGGTCTCTGGGTAAATGTCAAAATGTCATCTCCTCCGAAAGGCTTTTTCTTGGTCACTTTTTCTTTCTTTCTTTCTCTCTTTTTTTTTTTTTGAGACAGAGTCTCGCTTTGTTGCCCAGGCTGGAGTGCAGTGGTGCAATCTCGACTCACTGCAACCTCCGCCTCCTGGGTTCAAGCAATTCTCGTGCCTCAGCCCCCCGAGTAGCTGGGATTACAGACACCCACCACCACGCCCAGGTAATTTTTGTATTTTTAGTAGAGACAGGGTTTCACCATGTTGCCCAAGCTGGTCTGGAACTCCTGACCTCAAGTGATCCACCCACCTCAGCCTCCCAAAGTGCCGGGATTACAGGCATGAGCTACCGCAACTGGCCCATTCCCTCCTTAAACTTTAACCCAGGAGGCCCCTGGTCAGCTGGAAGACCCAGGGGTGAGGCCAGGGGACAGCCACATGGAGCCCATGGTCCGGGGGCCTGGCTGCTCCAGAGTCCCCATGTGTGCTCTGGCTGGTCCCCATCCCAGGAGGTGGAAGCAGCCACCCACCGGCCCCCAGCAAGCACTCACGGGTGCGGTCCTTGTTCCAGGCGTGGCAGCTGATGGGCTCCACCAGGAAGCTGTGGTAGGCCATGGCGGCTTGGCTCCTGTGCCCGAGAGAGGAAGAGAGAATCCACGTCAGCCCCAACCTTGCCCCTGACTTCACCCATACCAGGCCCCAGATGATCCTCACAGGCCTCACACCAGGGAGGCCCCTCAGTTTAGAGGGGCAGCAGTTTGCAGAGAGGAGCAGCAGGGGCCAGCCCTGGCTCCCAACTGGCCTGACATGTTGCTTCCCCTCCTGGGGCCTCAGTTTCCCTCCTTATAAAAGGGCAGCTTTCACAGGATGTCTCTGAGGCTCCAGGGACAGGGTGGAGGAGACGGTACTACAGGGGAGATGCTCCCTGGGGCGGGGTGGGGTGCTAGGACTCCAAGCTGGACAGGCCCCTCACTTGTCATCTGTGCCTCGGTTTCCTCATAGGATGGACGACCCCCCCCCCCCCACCCAACTTCCCCTGCCCCATTAAGGATGGGATGAAGATGAAGTCATCCAGGCCAGGCCCGGTGGCTCATGCCTGTAATCCCAACACTTTGGGAGATCGAGGCAGGCGGATCACTTGCGGCCAGGAGTTCAAGACCAGCCTGGCCAACATGGTGAAACTCCGTCTTTACTAAAACTACAAAAAATTAGTCGGGTGTGGTGGCGGGCACCTGTAGTCCCAGCCTGAGGCAGGAGAATGGCGTGAACTTGGGAGGCGGGGCTTGCAGTAAGCCGAGATCGCACCACTGCACTCCAGCCTGGGCGACAGAGTGAGACTCCGTCTCAAAAAAAAAAAAAAAAAAAAAAAAAAAAATTAGCCAGGTGTGGTGGCACCTGCCTGTAATCCCCACTACTCAGGAGGCTGGGTGACAGAGCAAGACTCATCTCAGAAAAAAAAAAAAAAAAAAGAAATGAAGTAATCTCATAAACCACCTAGAAAGGTGTCCAGCACATGGCAGTTGGCCCTGCCGTGCCCAGAGCCCTGGTCTTCCCCCACACTGCTCAGACGGGGAGAAGGGAGGTGGCCGGTCTGCAGGGGCTCATGGCTGAGGCAAAGGCAGATATTTAACAGATACATCCCATTCTCCATCCAGACATCCACTGGCTGCACCCAGGGCTGGGAGGAGGCACAGGGCTAGGCGAGGCCTGGGTGATGGCTCTTGGGGAGGCCCCAGGGTGACCCAGCCTTGGGGAACTGAAGGAGGGAGATTTTTGTTTCTTGAGACAGGGTCTCTCTCTGTGGCCCAGGATGGAGTGCAGTGGTGTGATCATGGCTCACTGCAGCCATGAACTCCTGGGATTACAAGCATGTGCCACTGTGCCCAACTAATTTTTGATTTGTTTGTAGAGAGGGGGGTCTCACAATGCTGTCCAGGCTGGTCTCAAGCTCCTAGGCTCAAGAGATCTTCCCTCCTCACCTGCCAAGTATTTGGGATTACAGGTGTGAGCCACTACACTCGGCCAGAACGAGGGAGATGTTTGACTGCAGCCCTCTAGACTAGCCCCAGCACTGAAGGGGAACCCTGGCAGAGGGCAGCGACTCATCCTCCCGTCAGCCCAGCTCAGCCCCTGCCAGCCTGTCCCTAGCCTCCTCCACCTGCCGCTGAGTGTCAAAGGAGCCCACCAGGCCTGACGGGGGTGAGATCACGGTCTCAGCCCAATTCCTCAAACACATCTCTCCCCGCCTCCGTGACTCAGTTTCCCAGCATCACAGGGACCTGGAAGTGGAGGAGCCCAGTGGCACTGCTTGCCCAGCCACATGCCCCGGGACACATCACCTGCCTTCTTTTAACCTCAGTTTTCTCATCTGTAAAATGGGAACAGGAATCCTGCCTCCCAGCAGAGATGCTGAGAGCTGGAAGCAGATGACACACCGCACCTGGCCTCTATGAGGAGGAACCACGAGGCGGTTACTCTTAGCCTGTGATGGATGTGATATACCAGCCCTTTGAGGAGCAGGCCTCCCCAGCCAACCAGAGGCCAATCCTGGGGCACACAGGCATGCACCTGCCTCGGGCTTCCGTGCTGGCTGTTCCCTAGGCCTGTGACACTCTTCCCCCAGATACCGGCACACACGGCTCTCGCTCTGGTGCTGCCACTCAAGTCTGTACTCAAATGTCAACTTTTGGGGAGGCCTTCCCTGGAAACTGCAGCACCTTCCACGGTCCGGCACTTCGTAATTCCCTATTTCCGATTAAATTTTCTCAGCAGTCACCATCAGACATGCACTCACTGATCTGGCCCGCTGCCTTCCTCCCCTGCTGGAATAGAACCAGCTTGGCAGAGACACATTTTTGTTCTATCTTGTTCTCGTTTCTATTTCCACTGCTTAAATGCTTAGCACATAGTAGGTGCTCAAGAAATATCCGCTGAACAAATTTTTCATTGCCATTAGTGACCAACAGAGTACGTTCTCAGAAACGTGTGTGTGTGTGTATATTTGAGAAAGGGTCTCGCTCTGTTGCCCAGGCTGGAGTGCAGTGGTGTGATCACAGCTCACTGCAGCCTCGACTTCCCAGGCTCAAGTGATCCTCCTGCCTCTGCTTCCCAAGTAGCTGGGACTACAGGCTCACGCCACCCTACCCAGCCCTCAAAAATATTATCATTACATAGGTTAGGAATGAGGCCAGGCACGGTGGCTCATGCCTGTAATCCCAGCACTTTGGGAGGCCGAGGCGGGCGGATCACCTGAGGTCAGGAGTTCAAGACCAGCCTGGCCAACATGGTGAAAGACTGTCTCTACTAAAAATACAAAAATTAGCTGGGCGTGGTGGCGCACACCTGTAGTCCCAGCTACTTGGGAGGCTGAAGCAGGAGAATCTGTTGAACCTGAGAGGCAGAGGTCGCAGTGAGCCAAAATCACACCACTGCACTCCAGCCTGGGCAACAGAGCAAGACTCTGTCTCAAAAAAAAAAAAAAAAAAAAGGTTAGGAATGAATGTGTGTGAAAAAATAACTTAAAAATAATAAATAAATAAATAATTTTATTAAATAGGGCCAGGCGCAGTGGCTCATGCCTGTAACCCCAGTACTTTGGGAGGCCTAGGCAGGAGGATTGCTTCAGGCCAGAAGTTCAAGACAAGCATGGGCGATACAGTGAGACCCTATCTCTACAAAAAATTTAAATAAAAAAATTTGCAGGTGTGGTGGTGCACATCTGTATTCTTAGGTATTCAGGAAGCTGAGGCAGGAGGATTGCTTAGCCTAGGAGTTTGAGGCTGCAGTGAGCTATGATTGTACCACTGTGTGACAGAGCCAGACCCTGTCTCTAAAATAAAATGTATTAACTAGTACCATCCAGCACTTTCTGGATACTCCCTCCTTGCCAGCTCTAGAAAAAAAAGTATCCTTTTTTTTTTTTTTTTTCGAGATGAAGTCTCACTCTGTTGCCCAGCCTGGAGTGCAATGTCGCAGTCTTGGCTCACTCCAACCTCCGCCTCCTGAGTAGCTGGGATTACAGGTGCGCACCACCATGCCTAATTTTTATATTTTTAGTAGAGACAGGGTTTCACCATGTTGGCCAGGCTGGTCTTGAACTCCTGACCTCAAGTGATCCGCCCGCCTCGGCCTCCTAAAGTGCTGGAATTACAGGCATGAGCCACCGCGCCTGGCCAGGTGCTCTGTATACATTCTTGACTTCAACACTCCCACCAGCCCTGGACTTTCAGGGAGGCCTGGCTGCACTTGGGGAGGGATGCCAGGCTCCAGGTCAGCTCCAGATGACAGATGTGGGGGCTGAGGCCACCTGCCCAGAGTCACCAGTGACAGCCATTAGATAATGTGGCTGCCTCCCTCACCAGACTGGCAGTTTTGTGTTGGGTCTCAGGGCCTGGGCTGGGAGCCAACCAGGACTGGGAACCCTGAATGCCCCAGGAGGCCGGTGGCTGCCCCGTCACTGCCCTGCCCAGGGGCCGGCCCATCCTGCACTGCATCTGGGCCCAGGCACAAGGGAAAGGCAGAACGACCTTTGCCTGGGGCTGCAGTTTGGCCCCACAGGGCTCAGTGACCAGCCTGCCCGAGGTCACAACACAAAGCCCCCTGCGCTCACTGCCTGGAAGGCCCTGTCCACCTCCTGCTCACTCCAGATCCAAACCGCTTGCTTTCACTTGTATCAGGATGTCCTGGAAGATTCCTGGAGCAGCACAGGACACACACACATGCACATGTGTACATGCACGGGGCAGGGACCTCATGTTTCCTCCATGCTTAGAACAGGACCCCGGTGGGTCCCCAGTCAGCATTTGCTGAGCAAGTAGACACACGCAGCGCAGGGTCAGGCCACGCACACAAACACATGCGTGTTCAGCCTCACACACACAAGCACACTTTGCATGTTAAGCCTTGCACACACACATGCACACTGCACCTCCCCACACTTTAAGCACATGTTTAGCCTTGCACACATGACCATACTCCCCACATGCACGTGTTGAGCCTCACACACAGGCACACTGCAGGCCTGCACACATGTATGTTCAGCCTTGCACACACGCAAGCGCACTGTGTCCACAAGCACACTTTGCACGTGTGGGCAGCCTTACCCAGAACAAGCACCCGGCACCCACTGGGGCTGCCTCTGCAGCCTCTCTCTCCTTATAAGGCCTCTTTGTGTAAGGTGAGGGCCCCGGAAGCACCATCTCAGCGCCCTCAGCCATGTCAGCAGGTCTGATGGGGGTTTCCCTGAGCGTTTCCTGTGTTCCCAGGCTGGGACATCACCACCCACATCTGATGCCAGCACTGTGCAGAGAGAAGCTCAAGGCCTGTGACTGATTCACGGTGCTCATCTACACCCCGACAACCCCCATGGTCCAAGGTCACCAGCAGGGCAGGGGCAGGGTGAAGGCCAGAAGCCCACTTTCACACTCCACCCAGGCTCTGGTTGGCCCCAGGACTCCAGCTGAGGCCAATTTTTCCCTCCCTTTCAGCCCCAGGAGGCCCAGACTGAAGGAACCTCCGGGGATGAGGGTGGGAGAGCCCAGACTCAGAACCCTGGGTTGATGCACAGACTCTGACATCCCAGCATCAGTGGTCACATTCTTGCTGTGTGCCCAGCCACATCTCTGCCCTGGCTGTCAAGACGGAGTGGCTGGCTCTGCTGAAGACAGCAACCCCCACGTGTGCCAGTGGGCAAGGGCAACCGAGAGGACTTGAAGAGCCCTGACCACTGTTTCTAGGACCTAGACATACTCAAGGGGCAGAGGAGGGGCTGGAAAAGATGGCCACAGTGGTACACTAGTGACTGGCAGAGGAGGGAGGTTGAGACCACACCTATCAGCCAATCACACTTCAGCATGAATTAGCAGAAATACTTCCTAGTCTGTTGAACAAACCCCTTAAATGGGGCAAAGAAGTGTTAAGGGGGCGAGAGACAGGAAGACTCATTTCCCTTTTTCCATAACTTCTGCAAAGCAGCTGAAACCCAAAGCGCCTCTGCGATAACTCCCCAACCCCCACATCTTACCAGTGAGGAAGTGGGAGAGCAAAAAGGGAGTGGCTTCTCTCAGCCAATGCTGCCACAGGGCTCCAGTCTCCTGCCTCAGGGATTCTAGCCGGGGACACTCCAACTTCATCATCCTCAGGAAAACCTCTCACCTACCAAGCCTGCGTGAGCCAGCGTGTGCTCACCCCCGCCTGCCAATTACCCTGCTCTGGATGTCTCAGGAGAAAAATACGAGGGCTGCTTCACCCACCAGTGTTGACAGCATAAGGTCTCAGTGATGGCTCCTGGGGGAGGGATCCAGGACACCAACCCACTATCACTGTGGCCCTGTGAGCCAGCACTGTGGGCCTGTTTGATGTTAAGAAACCAGAGAGAGGAGGGGATAGCCGGGCACAGTGGCTCACGCCTGTAATCCCAGCACTTTCGGAGGCCGAGGTGGGTGGATCACTTGAGGTCAGGAGTTTGAGACCATCCTGGCCAACATGGCAAAACCCCGTCTCCACTTGGAAAAAAAAAAAAAAAATTAGCCAGGCATGGTGGTGCCAGGCAAAGAAAGCCTCAGGCTGCCCAGCGGCGGGGTGGTGGTGGTGAGGCACTCTAAAGTCCTGGGCCTTGATACTCTCTCCCTTACTGTGCTGGGTTTACATTCTAGCTGTCTTCATACTGGCTGGGTGCCCTCAGCCAATATTTCCCTCCCATCTTAATCCAGATGAGGCTGGGGCTAGACTAGGCACAGGCTGCGGGACCCTTCTTGCCTGGCTTCCTTAGGTTTCCCTGAATCCAGAGGTTTGGCTGTATCAGAGGCTAAACCAAGGAGGAGTTGCCTGGAGGAAAGATCTCAGCATTACAGGCGCTCTGGGAAGTCCCCACCCAGCTCAGGCAGTTCTTGGATAGAGCAGCCAGCAGGCTAATTTGCACCGTGCTAAGCGGTTACTCAACTTCCTATGCTGGGTCAGAGCCCTTCCTACCCCTATCCTTCCCTCTCCAGCTCTGCTCTTGAAGTCTTACCAACCACGCAGAGTGAAGTCAAGAAACACACATGAAAACAATCGTAAGGTACCATTAAAGCACCGGTTAGTCATCCAAACAAAACAAAAACACACAAAATTCAATGCTAGCAGAGCTGTGGAGAAATTGTCATTTGTTGCTAATTGGTTTAATTCTTCTGAAGGGCACTCAATTCAACAAGTGGGTGGGACCAAATATTAATAGAACAGAATAACACTAACAGGAACTTGAAAATTAGCATTCTGGCCAGGTGTGGTGGCTCACGCCTATACTCCCAGCACTTTGGGAGGCCGAGGTGGGTGGATCACGAGGTCAGGAGATCGAGACCATCCTGGCTAAAACGGTGAAACCCCGTCTCTACTAAAAATACAAAAAATTAAGCCGGGCGTGGTGGCGGGCGCCTGTAGTCCCAGCTACTCGGGAGGCTGAGGCAAGAGAATGGCGTGAACCCGGAAGGCGGAGCTTGCAGTGAGCCGAGATTGCGCCACTGCACTCCAGCCTGGAGGACAGAGCAAGACTCCATCTCAAAAAAAAAAAAAAAAAAAAGAAAAAGAAAATTAACATTCTTTGGTCACATACACCCATTTGGTCCTAAGAAAACAGCAACACATTTTTCTTTCTTTTTCTTTTTTATTTTTGAGATGTAGTCTCATTCTGTCGCCCAGGCTGGAGTGTAGTGGTGCATTCTCGGCTCACTGCAACCTCCGCCTCCCAGGTTCAAGCAATTCTCCTGTCTCAGCCTCCCCAGTAGGTGGAACTACAGGTGCCCACCACCACGCCCAGCTAATTTTTGTTTTTGTTTTTAGTAGAGATGGGGTTTCACCATGTTGGACAGGCTGGTCTCGAACTCCTGACCTTGTGATCCACCCGCCTCGGCCTCCCAAAGTGCTGGGATTACAGGTGTGAGCCACCACGCCTGGCCCCATTTTTCTTTTTTAAAAGCAAACAGGTGGGGTGCCATGGCTCACGCCTGTAATCCCACCATTTTGGGAGGCCAAGCCAGGTGGATCACTTGAGTCCAGGAGTTCGGAGACCAGCCTGGGCAACATGGCAAAACCCTGTGTCTATAAAAACTACCAAAAAAAAAAAAAAAATTAGCGGGATGTGATGCTGTACGCCTGTAGTCCTGGCTATCTGAGGGGCTGAGGCTGGAGGATTCCTTGAGCTGGGAAGGTGGAGGTTGCAGTGAGCCGAGATCTCGTCACTGTACTCCAGCCTGGGTGACAGAGTGAAACCTCATCTAAAAAATAAAGCAAACATGTTTATAATAGCTGTCTTTATAATGGTGACAGTGTGGAAAAACCCAGGTGACAATATGGAAAGAGTAAATTATGACATTAACATGTTGAGATGCTACGTAATTATTAATATTAGAAAAGACCTATCAACCGACGGGTGCGGTGGCTCACACCTGTAATCCCAGACTTTGGGAGGCGGAGGCAGGTGGATCACCTGAGGTCAGGAGTTTGAGACCAGCCTGCCCAACATGGTAAAACCCTCTCTACTAAAAATACAAAATTTATCTGGGCTTGGTGGTGGGCACTTGTAATCCCAGCTGCTCGGGGGGTCGAGGCAAGAGAATCACTTGAACTCGAGAGGAAGAGGTTGCAGTTAGCTGAGATTGTGCCACTGCACTGCAGCCTGGGCGACAGAGTGAAACTCCGCCACCTCCAAATAAAAAAAAAAAAGAAGAAGAAGAAGAAGAAGAAGCTGGGCGCGGTGGCTCACGCCTGTAATCCTAGCACTTTGGGAAGCCGAGGTGGGCGGATCACCTGAGGTCAGCAGTTCGAGACCAGCCTGGCCAACATGGTGAAACCCCGTCTCTACTAAAAATATAAAAATTAGCCGGGCATATTGGCATGTACCTGTAATCCCAGCTACCTGAGAGGCTGAGGCAGGAGAATCACTGGAACCCGGGAGGCAGATGCTGCAGTGAGTCAAGGTAGTGTCACCACACTCCAGCCTGGGCAACAGAACAAGACACTGTCTCAAAAAAAAAAAAAAAAAAAGAAAGCACGTATAAGGCAGGCGTGGAGGCTCATGCCTGTAACCCCAGCACTTTGGGAGGCCAAGGCAGGAGGATCGCTTAAGGCCAGGAGTTTGAGGCCAGCCTGGACAACACAGCAAAACCCTACCTCTACTAAACATTTAAAAAT
Source organism: Homo sapiens (assembly GCF_000001405.40). Lineage (NCBI taxonomy): Eukaryota > Metazoa > Chordata > Mammalia > Primates > Hominidae > Homo > Homo sapiens. Next base: position 99,377,164 of record NC_000007.14, on the reverse strand, counting down.
TAGCTGGGCATGGAGGAACATACCTGTAATCCCAGCTACTCAGGAGGATCCCTTGAGCCCAGGAGTTTGGGGCTAAAGTGAGTTATGATCAAGCCATGGCACTATAGCCTGGGCAACACAATGAGACCCGGACTCCAGAAAAAAAGAAAAAGACCTATCAATGGATTATGTACAGACATATGTAAGAAACAAACTTTACCGGCATCTATCAGGGCGATTTTACCCAGACCTTTCACCATTCTCCCCCTGAAGCAAGCCTGAGACATTTTTTGTTTGCTTTTTTTTTTTTTTTTGGAGACAGAGTCTCGCTTTGTAACCCCAGGCTGGAGTGCAACGGCATGATCTTGGCTCACCGCAACCTCCGCCTCCCAGGTTCTAGCGATTCTCCTGCCTCAGCCTCCTGAGTAGCTGGGATTACAGGTGCCCACCACCACACCTGGCTAATTTTGTATTTTTAGTAGTGACGGGGTTTCACCACGTTGGTCAGGCTGGTCTCGAACTCCCGACCTCAGGTAATCTGCCTGCCTCGGCCTCCCAAAGTGCTGGAATTACAGGCGTGAGCCACCGCGCCCAGCCTGTTTGCTTTTTACCTTCAGTTTGTACAGGAGGAAACCCAGGCTCAGACAAAAGCAACGATTTGTTCAAAGTCACTCGGCTTCTACTAAATGACGCAGCTTGGGACTCTGACCCCAAATCTTGGAGGCCAGGAAGTTAGGTTCACCTGGGGGAACACTATGATCAAGGTGAGCAACAAACGCACGTTTATACTGTCAGCGCCTGACACGCTGCCAGGTGTCTTGCAGTATTGCATTTCAGCCTCCCAGTCTTTAAGGTTCCCATTTTCCAGATAAGGAAAGTTGAGGCTGGCAGGAGTTGGGTGGCTTACCAGTCACTGGCCAGTGAAGGGAGAAGCTGGCACTCCTACCTAGGTCCCTAAGATTTTATTTATTTATTTAGAGACGGAGTCTGGCTCTGTTGCCAAGGCTGCAGTGCAGTGGTACAGTCTTGGCTCACTGCCAAGGCAGGTTCAAGCAATTCTCTTGCCTCATCCTCCTAAGTAGCTGGGATTACAGGCATGTTACGTGGCTTTTTTTTTTTTTTTTGAGACGGAGTCTTGCTCTGTTGCCCAGGCTGGAGTGCAATGGCGTGATCTCGGCTCACTGCAACCTCTGCCTCCCGGGTTCAAGCAATTCTCCTGCCTCAGCCTCCTGAGTAGCTGGGATTACAGGTGCGTGCCACCATGCCTGGGTAATTTTTGTATTTTTAGTAGAGACAGGGTTTCACCATGTCGGTCAGGCTAGTCTCGAACTCCTGACCTCAAGTGATCCGTCCACCTCGACTCCCAAAGTGTTGGGATTACAGGCATGAGCCACAGCGCCTGGCTACATTTTATTTATTTATTTTAATAGAGAAAGGGTCTCGCAATGCTGTCCATGCTGGCCTCCAACTCCTGGCCTCAAGCGATCCTCCCGCCTGGGCCTCTCAAAATGCTAGGATTCTATGTGTGAGCCACCGCGCCCGGCCGGGATGGGTGGTGGTAGCCTCCGGGCTGCATTGGCAGAGGAGGCAGGGGGAGGTCTGACTCCCCAGGCTTGCACTCCTGATCCCTTCACTGCCCGCGGGTGCAGCCCGGCCCCGCCCCGCCCTAGGCGGCCTGGCTGCTCTCCCAGCGCCTCCGGAAAGGGAGGGGCTGCTCGGATCTGCCCTGGCCGCGGAGCCCTGCAGCTGAGGGGGTGCGTTCCGGGACCCCGCCAGCCAGGCCCGCCCCGTACGGGACCCCTCGGACCTGGCCCGGGGGAGGCGGGTGGGAGCAGCGGGAGCGGCCAGGAGGGCAGGGGCGGGGCGGCAGGAGACGCCAGCTCATTTCCCGGCGGCTGCAACCCGGAAGGCTCCGGGGATGGAGGGGAAGTGACTGGGTGTGGGGCCCCGCCGGCCCGAAGTAACGGGGCTACACCGACCGACCGCGGGGCAAGGCTGGGGATGGGGGCCGGGGAGCAGGGGCGGAAGGCACGAGGCGGAAGCTTGGGGCCGGGGGCTGGGGACGCCCCGAGGGCGCCCGGTGCGCTGGGAGCCCGCGTTTCCACAGTCTGGCCCTGCGGCCACCCCCGCGCCCCCTCCAATCCCAGGGCTCCCTCTCCTTTCCGTGAGCCCCTCGTCCCCGCGCCCCCTCCTCTCCATGTGCCCCCACTCATCCCCGTGCCCCTATTGGGCGGCGCCCCACATCTATGCGTCCTCACTTCCAGGCGCCCCCCGGTCCCCTCCTTGCACCCCCTCTCATCCCTCCAGTCCCGCTCACTCCCAGGCGGCGCCCCACATCTACGCGCCCCCCCACCTCCAGGTGGCTCCCCTGACCCCCACCTCCGGGCGCCCCCACGGCCCTCACCTCCCGCGCCCCGGCCGCGGACTCTGGGCAGTCGACGCGCCGAACCGGCTCTGGGCTCCGCGCCGGAGCAGCAGCCACTTCCTCGTGGGCGGGGGGCGGGGCCTGCCGACCTCAGCCCGGTAGGGCCCGGGGGCGGGGACCTGGGGCAGCGGTCGCGAGATCCAGGTCCCGCCCTCCCTTCGGGGTGGGGGTGCTGCCGGTACCCGCGCAGACGTCGGAGCCCAAGGCTCTGTCCGCAGAAGCCGTCCGCAACCACCGTCAATGCTTTACCAATGGGGAAACTGAGGCTGGGAGCCAGGCGCGCAGCCTGAGCCGCCGCTGGGCTGGACCTCCGAGCCTGGGCCGGGCGCACGGCCCCCGGGGACTGCCGGGCGCAGGGTCGGGGAGTCACGTCCTCTGAGCCCGGACGGCGGGTACTGCGGGCTCCGCGCTCACACGCAGGTGAGCGGCTAGCGAGCCCTGCAGCCCCGTCGGCAGCCAGCGAGGAGCTCCCTTCACGCTGATGCCGGTGGGCGCCAACTGTGCAGGCCCTGGGCGGGGAGCAGGCGGTCCGGGCGTGGCCAGGGCAGCCCGGCCCCGCCCCCTTGGCCCTCCGTGTCCTCGCCACGAAACAGGGGTGCTGTCCCCGGGCAGGGTGACACTGGCCGCCCCTGCTGACGCTGGCCGGCCAGTTAACTTCTTTCCTTTCTGTTTTACGTCAATCGGCTTCACTTCTTTAAGTTACCCGGTTAGCCTTGCAGAGCCGCCTGATTGCGGGTCTTGGGCTAGGTGGTCCCCGGAGTCTTCCCATCCTGACCCTCTGCCTCTTCAGTGGATACGTGGCCTGGCGGCCAGGCAGATGGAAGAGACCCCAGTGAAAACCTTACCTCGGCCGGTCGCGGTGGCTCACGCCTGTAATCTCAGCACTTTGGGAGGCCGAGGCGGGAGGATCACGAGCTCAGATCGAGACCATCCTGGCTATCACGGTGAAACCTCGTCTCTACTAAACAATACAAAAATTAGCCAGGCGTGGTGGCGCATGCCTGTAATCCCAGCTACTCGGGAGGCTGAGGTAGAAGAATCGCTTGAATCTAGGAGGCAGAGGTTGCAGTGAGCCGAGATCGCGCCATTACACTCCAGCCTGGGCGACAGAGTGAGACTCTGTTTCAAAAAAAAAAAAAATTAGCTGCAAGGAGCCCCATGGCGTGATGGAGCGCTGCTGTAATCCCAGCTACTCGGGAGGCTGAGGCACGAGAATTGCTTGAACCCCGGGGGCAGAGGCTGCAGTGAGCCAAGATGGGGCCCCTGCACGCCAGCCTGGCAACAGAGCGAGACTTCCTCTCAAACAACAACAAAAACCTTCCCTCCTCTTCTCTCCTTCAGACCCCTCTCTCTAGTATTTGTGCAGGGTCTTCCTGGATCTCTGGAGATCCGAGGCCAGACTCCCACCCTGTCAGGCTTAGAGGCTTTGACACTCGCTGTTCCTTCTGCCTGGAACACTATTCCCACCCTGTCCTCACCTGCCGACATTGGTTTGTCCTGCAGTATGTGGCTGGGGGTCTCAGGTCGCTTTGCCCCGACACCCTCCCCATTGGAGGTGCCCTTAGCCGCCGCTCTCTTTTCCACTGAATTCGACCCCCTAGGGTAGTTGGGAGGATTAAATGTGTCCAGGTGTGTGAATCGGGTCATACAGTGTGCACACAGGAAGTGCTCGAACTTTTCTGAGCCCCCCCAACCTTGCTGCTCCTGCGTATTTTCTCAGACAGATGTCGGCAACCTCAGCAAACACAGGCGGTGGTTTTAGTTCAAGCAGATACAAAGCTTCAAGGGGTCTGTACCGGCAGCCCTCTTCCCACAGGGACAAGTGTAGGGTAACTGAGGTGACCCTGTTGCTGCTTCCCTGGCTTCCATCCTACTCTTCTGCCGCTTTGTAGATGCCCAGGGAATGACCCCAAGTGGCCCTGAGTGGTCTAAATCAGCTCACGGTGTTCCCTGTCCTGCTGCACTTGTGACCTAAGATGACCCAATCAAAGCAAAGCCCAGGACTTCAGCTGATGATCCAGCGCACAAAGCCCCTTCTGAGCGAGCTGCAGGAATCTGGACTCGTAAGTGGAACGCGGAAGTGGAACAGCAACAAGGGAAGCTGCAGGGAGAGTGCAGAGCCGAGAGAAGGTCAGAGAAGTAACCGGAGCTCTGGTCACCTCTGACTGGAAGGTCTGAGCCCAACCTGCCTCCAAAGATTCAGATATGTGAGCCAAGTTATCCGCTTAATTAATTAATATGTTTTAGAGACAGGGTCTCCCTCTTTTACCCAGGCTGGAATGTAGTGACGCAATCACAGCTCACTGAAGCCTCCAGCTCCTGGGCTCAAGTGATCCTCCCGCCTTAGCTTCTCGAGCACTTGGGACTACAGGTGTGCACCATCACACCTGGCTAATTTTTAAAATTTTTATAGGCTGGGTGCGGTGGCTCATGCCTGTAATCCTAACACTTTGGGAAGCCAAGGCAGGCGGATCGTTTGAGGTCAGGAGTTCGAGACCAGCCTGACCAACATGGTGAAACCCTGTCTCTACTAAAAATACAAAACTTAGCCGGGCGTGGTGGCGCGCGCCTGTAATCTCAGCTACTCCAGAGGCTAAGGCAGGAAAATCACTTGAACCCAGGAGGCGGAGATTGCAGTGAGTCAAGATCACGCCACTGCACTCCAGCCTGGATGAAAGAGCGAGACTCCTTCTCAAAAAAAAAAAAAAATTTTTATAAGGATAGTGTTTTTGCTATGTTGTGCAGGTTGGTATCAAACTCCTGGCCTCAAGTGATTCTCCCACCTCAGCCTCTCTCGTAGCTGGGAGGGACCACAGGCATGCGCCACTACACCCAGCTAATTTTTAAAATTTTTGTATGGACAGGGCTCTCCCTGTGTGACCCAGGCTGGTCTCGAACTCCTTGCCTCAAGAAATCCTCCTGCCTCAGCCTCCCAAAGTGCTGGGGTTACAGACGTGAGCCACGGTGTGCAGCCTCCACTTTATTTTTAGGCTGCTTTGAGTTTTTCTGCTGCGAATCATCAAAGCATCCTAACAAATATGCATACCTCAAGACTCCTTTTTCCTATCTGCGAAAATGTAAACTAAGGTCACCTGAGTTGATGTAAAGGCTCTAAAAGCCTATGCGAGCCGCAGCCATGGCTGTACTGTTCCCTCTTCTCTCCCCTGGGCCCATGACAGAGCCCGGTGCCTGAGTCACTCAACACACATCTTAACAGATGTGTTAATGAATGATCCAGTGGTAGAAAACTGAGTCCAGGCCGGGTATGGTGGCTCACGCCTGTAATCCCAGCACTATGGGAAGCGGAGGCAGGCTGATCACAAAAGGTCAGGAGGGTGAGACCAGCCTGACTAACATGGTGAAAACCCATTTCTAATAAAAAAAAAAAAAGCCTGGGTGCAGTGGCTCACGCCTGTAATCCCAGCACTTTGGGAGGCCGAGGCGGGCGGATCACGAGGTCAGGAGTTCGAGGTCAGGCCAACATAGTGAAACCCTCTCTCTACTAAAAATACAAAAATTAGCTGGGTGTGGTGGCACATGCCTGTAATCCTAGCTACTTGGGAGGCTGAGGCAGGAAAATCGCTTGAACCTGGGAGGTGGAGGTTGCAGTGAGCCGAGACCACGCCATTGCCCTCCAGTCTGGGTGACAGAGTGAGACCGTCTCGAAGAACAAAACAAAACAAAACAAAACAAAAATACAAAAATTAGTTGGGTGTGGTGGCACATGCCTGTAGTCCCAGCTACTTGCTACTCAGGAGGCTGAGGCAGGAGAATCTCTTGAATGAGGGTGGTGGAGGTTGCAGTGAGCCGATAACAGAGCAAGACTCCATCCCCCCCAAAAAAAGGTTGGGCGCAGTGGCTCACGCTTGTAATCCCAGCAGTTTAGGAGGCTGAGGCAGGCAGATCACTTGAGGTCAGGAGTTCCAGACCAGCCTGGCCAACATGGTGAAACCCCGTCTCTACTAAAAATACAAAAAAAATTAGCTGGGCATGGTGGCGCACACCTGTAATCCCACCTCCTCTGGAGGCTGAGGCAGGAGAATCACTTGAACTCGGGAGGCAGAGGTTGCAGTGAGTCGAGATCACTGTAACCAGGCTACATTCCAGCCTGGGTGATGGAGCGAGACTTCATCTCAAAAAAGGAAAAATAAGAAAGAAAGTGGGTCCAGTTCTGGTGCTGCCACTTAACCTGTAGTGTAACCGTGCCTTAGTTTCCACATCTGTAAAGTGAAGCTGACAAGCACTGTCCACCTGCCCACCCGTCCCACAGGCCTTCAGTCGTGGAGGGAAGACCCAGTGGATGGGAGAAAGCAGACCTCAGATTGGAAAGCAATGGAAGGCATTATTTGAAATGGCTCCTTTGGGGGAGAAAGTTTTCTAAGCCGTACGTGGAGAAACACTTTGGGTTAGGGAACTTGGTGATGGAAGGATTTCATCTGGAGCTCCCAGAACAACTTGGAGAGCTTTCTGTTTCTTCCTAGAATTGGCTTTGTGCAGGGCCCTGGGACGAAGATGCTACACACTCCTGCTTCCTTTATTGCCTTCTCATGTTTCCAAGAAATGCAGCCACAAACCCAGGCTGTGACTCTCCAGGGCTGGCCGACGTGGGGGAGGCAGGCCAGGGCTGGTGCAGTCTCCCAGGTTCTTGCTGGCTTTCTGCCCCTTGCCTGTCGCTATTTTTTTTTTTTTTTTTTTGAGATGGAGTCTCGCTGGAGTGCAGTGGCACAATCTCGGCTCACTACAACCTCTGCCTCCCAGCTTCAAGCACCAGTTTTATTGCCTCCTGGTCACAAAATGGCAGCTAGGTTGACTGCAGACAAGCAGTGGGTGGGCCAAGGCAGACCAGGGAGATGGGAGATGGAGGGGGGGCGGTGGCAGGGACCTTTTCTAAGAGCTCCCAGTATCCAGTATAATCTCCCCTTTGTCCCACTGGTCCACCCCAGAATGTGGGTCACTTTCCCTGGGATCAAGGGATCCATCCCAACTGACAGCAGGAGGGGAGAGGATAAAACCTTGGGGCCAAAGCCCCAAGGCCACATATCTGGTAAGGTGGCTAAAGGCCTGCAAGGCAGATGTACCCCACAGCTGGGGCCCCCATAACACTCGCTCAGCATTCCACATCCCATCACAGCCCCCTTCCAAGCCACATGGCCTGATGTGTCAGTTTGACAAACCGAGGTCTACAATGAAACCCACAAGCTATTGTCAAATACCTTCTTGCTCTCTCTCTTTTTTTTTTTCTTTTTTCGAGATGGAGTCTCGCTGTTGCCCAGGCTGGAGTGCAGTGGCGATCTTGGCTCACTGTAACCTGTGCCTCCCAGCAATTGTTCAAGCAATTCTCGTGCTTCAGCCTCCCAAGTAGCTGGGATTACAGGCGCGTGCCACCAAATGCCTGGCTAATTTTTGTATTTGTAGTAGAGAAGGGGGTTTCACCATGTTGGCTAGGCTGGGCTTGAACTCCTGACCTCAAGGGATCCACCCGTCTTGGTCTCCTAAAGTGCTGGGATTACAGGCATGAGCCACCGCGCCCGGCCTCAAATAACTTCTCATCAGTTCCAGTGACAGGGCCCTGCCCCTGAGCGTGGGTGAGCTGAAAAGGGGCTGCCACTAAGGTATTTCCCTCGCCCAGTGGGGAGCACATGCTTAGTGGTTACTACCAGGGCTTTGGAGAGACTGCTCATTCCCCTCTCTGGAATTTTGCCATCTGAAAAATGTGCTAATAACAGTTCCAACCCTACAGGTTTGTTATGAGGGGTAGTTAATGGCTTCCAAATGCTTTTCTTGGTGCCTGCATAGTTAGCTAAAGTATTGCATTCAGGGCGTGGCTCACACACCTTTCCTGAAGAACCCTCTCAGAACATCCCAGACTGTAGTCATTGTTGACAGAGGCCTGGTCTGAGTCTCAAAGGTAGAGTGAGAGAAGGACGGAGCGTCACAAACTCAAAAGGCCCCAGCGTTGAAATAAAGCACTGAGGGCTTCTGGCTGCGGTGACTGGAGTGGGCCTTCCTCCCCACATGAGAAATGGCCTGTGTTAAAAAATGGCAAAATAAATTAGCCAGGCGTGGTGGTATACGCCTGTAATCCCAGCTACTCGGAGACTGGGGTCACCTGTGATCCCAGCTACTCAGGAGGCTGAAATATGAGAATCACTTGAACCTGGAAGGTAGAGGCTGCAGTCAGTCGAGATCATGCCACTGCACTCTAGCCTGGTTGACAGAGAAAGACGCTCCATCTTAAAAAAAAAAAAAAAAAAGGCAAAATAGGCCGGGTACAGTGGATCACGCCTATGATCCCAGCACTTTGGGAGGCTGAGGCAAGAGGACTGCTTAAGCCCAGTTTGAGACCAGCCTGGGCAACACAGGGAGACCCTGTCTCTATTATAATTTCAAAATGTTTTTATTTAAAAAAGAAAAAAAAACAGCAAAATAACTCTGGGGCTATTAAGTTCTTAGAGGCAAAAGTAAGTCAATTTTGTAGGTTTTTTTTTTTTTTTTTTTGAGACGTAGTCTCGCTCTGTTGCCCAGGCTGGAGTGCAATGGTGCGATCTTGGCTCACTACAAGCTCCGCCTCCCGAGTTCACGCCATTCTCCTGCCTCAGCCTCCCGAGTAGCTGGGACTACAGGCACCCGCCACCACGCCTGGCTAATTTTTTGTATTTTTAGTAGAGACCGGGTTTCACTGTGTTAGCCAGGATGGTCTCAATCTCCTGACCTCGTGATCCACCTGCCTCGGCCTCCGAAAGTGCTGGGATTACAGGCATGAGCCACCGCACCTGAACTTTTTTTTTTTTTGAGACAGTGTCTTGCTCTATCCCCCAGGCTGGAGTGCAGTGGCATGATTTCAGCTCACTGCAACCTGGGTTCAAGCAATTCTCCTGCCTTAGCCTCCTGAGTAGCTGGGATTACAGGCACCCACCACTACACCTGGCTAATTTTTTGTTTGTTTTTTTTGAGACGGAATTCCACTCTTGTTGCCCAGGCTGGAGTGCAATGACATGATCTCGGCTCACCACAACCTCTGCCTCCTGGGTTCAAGTGATTCTGCTGCCTCAGCCTCCCAAGTAGCTGGGATTACAGGCACGCACCACCATGCCTGGCTAATTTTGTATTTTTAATAGGGATGGGGTTTCCCCATGTTGGTCAGGCTGGTCTCAAACTCTGGACCTCAGGTGATCTGCCCGCCTCGGCCTCCCAAAGTGTTGGGATTACAGGCGTGAGCCACCGCGTCCGGCTAAAAGAGAAATCTTCAGCTAATTCCTGCTTTATGGCCAGTTTTTGTCTACCCTCACGGAGCCTTGCCAATGCACTATGCATACAAACGTGTACACAAAGGAGCTCCTGCCACTGGGGGCCCAGAGACGACACTATAGGGACCAGGCAGGGCCATGAGGCCAGCACCCCTGGTGCTAGGTAGGATTCCCTCTTGGAGTGAGGGCTCTTCCCATGAGTCACAAGAGGGCCAAATTACCTTCTCTCGAGCACATCATGATGTGCCTTGGGAAGCACTGTTACCAGCATTCTAGAAGGGAGCCGTGAGATCAAGGATGTGGCCAGGCTCCGGCTACTCTTTACTTATTTTGCTTTTCATTTATACTTGTACCTCTTAAGATTCTCTGCCATGGAATGTCAAACTTTACGTCTCATCATGATGAAAGTAGCTCAGTGTAGGCACAATCAACTCTAAGCCAAGATGCTGACTTTCCCCTTTCCCGCCCCCTTGCACACCCCCCACAGCGTACCCTTGGCAGGTGCACTGCTAACAGTGGGCTGCCATGCTGTGGGCACCGGGCCCCAGGGCCTCCCAGGGCAGGCTCCCATTCGGGCTTGGCTGCTCAGTGGAGGTGGGCTTCTCTGTTGCTCACATGCAAGACGGGAACGGTGTACCTCTGACAGGGCTTGGCTGTGTGTCCCTTCCAAATCTCACGCTGAAATGCGATCCTCAGTGTTGGGGTGGGGCCTGGTGGGCGGTGTTTGGGTCATGGGGCGGATCCCTCATGAATGGCTTGGTGCCCCCTGGCAGGAATGAGTGTGTTCTCACTCTATGACCTGGTTGTTTCAAGGAGCCTGGTCCTCCCCACTCTCTCTTGCATCCTCTCCCGCCATGGGACACGCCTGCTTCCCCTTCGCCTTCTGCCATGAGTAAAACCTTCCTGAGGCTTCCCCAAAAGCAGACGCAGGCACCATGCTTCTTGTCCAACCGGCAGAACCGTGTGCCAAATAAATCTTTTTTCTTAAACAAATTACCCAGCCTCAGGTATTCCTTTATTGCAACACAAAACAGACCGACACAACCTACTTTGCAGAAGTATTGCAATGTTCAGAAACGGTTCTCTCTCACCCCTCACTAAATGGTGCTTTTTGGTTCAAGGTTGTATAGAATGGTACAATTTAAGAAACCAAGGATCTAAGATTTTGCCTAAAAAAAACTGAATCGAATGAAGAATTCGCTCATATTTTTCTACTAAAAATTGAAATACTACAAGGAAACAAAACCAAAACCACATTCAGTTCTTTTATTTAATTTTCTAGTGGACAATTTACATATCTCCCTCACCCTGTCTTTTAAGTTAGTGTGACAATTTTCCATAATAAACTACTTAAAGAGAAGCTTTGGTCAAGAATGGAATGAAATCGCAAAAAAACAAACAAAAAAATTACTGCCTTAAAAAAACCAACACTTTCACCAATTTTATATTCAAACAAAACCACACGGCATTGGCGTGATATGTGTTTTCAGTGTTTCCTTGGGGCTGGCTTCCTCGCCATCGTGCCACGGCACAGCTGCGGTCGGCCACAGTTTGTCATGCTGGATGGCGGAGGCTCACTCAGCTTCACATTATCCGGAGGCCCTGGATGGAAGACTCGAGGGTCTTGGAAAAGGTGGGAAGAGCACTGATGTCACTGAGGAGTGTCTACCCCGAGGTAGGTATGACACCACTCCCTCTTCCTCAGGGAAGGTTCTGCCTGTCCCCACCCTGAACCTGGCCCTGCCCCACCTGAAACAGGATCTCCCAGGACTCACCCCGCAGAGACACTCCAGGCCGGGGCTCCCCCTGCTGGCTCCTCCAGGCCAGGTGTGCCTTTTCCCCACTGCCACACACACAGGCTCTGGGCACACTCCTCACTCCTCTTTTTTTTTTTTTTTAAAGATAGGGTCTTGCTCTGTTGCCCCAGGCTGGAGTGCAGTGGTGTGACCACAGCTCACTGCAGCCTCCAACTCCTGGGCTCAAGTGATCCTCCTGCCTCAGCTTCTCAAGTAGCTGCAACTAAAGGCATGCGTCACTGCACCTGGTTTTTAAAAATATATATATGTATATTTTTAAATAGAGACAGGATCTCACTGTGTTGCCCAGGCTGGTCTCGAACTCCTGTGCTCAAGACAGGAAAGCAGTGAGGAGAAACGAGCCTCAGCTTCCCAAAGTGCTGGGATTACAGGAGTGGGTCAGTGCGCCTGGCTGCACCTGGCTTTTTTATAGAGATGGGGTCACGCTATGTTGCCCAAACTGGTCTCAAAACTCCTGGCCTCAAGCGATTCTCCCACCTCGGCCTCCCAAAGTGCTGGGAAGACAGGCATGAGCCACTGCGCCTGGCTACCTAGAGCTCTTTTTTCTAGCTCCATCTGTGCTTCCGGAGGACCACAGCACGGGCAGCGCCTCAGAGGCAGTGTGCGCTCTCTGAAGCCCAGGGCTGCCCTGGGTGTGCTGCACTTGCAGCCGAGGATGCTCGCCTGTGTCTTCTCAACTCACAGTCCCTCCCTCCAAAACCCATCGCAACTCAGGATGCCGCTCAGGTGCAACCTGTTCCCTGCAGTCCACGCATCCCCCTAGATTCCTCTGTGTGAAAACAGAGGCACTGGCTTCTCTTCTGAGCTCTGCCGAATCCCCTACCCAGCCCCCGTATCCACCTCTCTCTTCTACCAGACAGGCTCATTCAGATTGGATATTCTCAGTGCTCAGCATCATGCATGGCACCCAGGAGATATGTACTAAATGTTTATTAAATTAATTAGTGTCAGCTATAAATATATATCTATATAGTTAAACCTGGGCTGGTGTCCAATAGGGCCTGTTTCCAAAACAGCACTCCATTTTTCCTCAATGAATAAATGGACATCTAGAAGTAAAAATTCCAGTTCACTGAGAATGTGCCGTTCTTCTGCGGATGACTTTTAGGTTTTAAAGAGATCTCTGGCTGGGCGCAGTGGCTCACGCCTGTAATCCTGGCACTTGGGGAGGCTGAGGCGGGTGGATCACCTGAGGTTGGGAGTTCGAGACCAGCATGTCCAACGTGGAGAAACCCCATCTCTACTAAAAACACAAAATTAGCTGGGCGTGGTGGCACATGTCTGTAATCCCAGCTACTTGGGAGGCTGAGGCAGGAGAATCGCTTGAACCCCAGAGGCGGAGGTTGTGGTGAGCCGAGATTCTGCCATTGCACTCCAGCCTGGGCAACAAGAGCGAAACTCTGTCTCAAAAAAAAAAAAAAAAAAAAAGAGAGAGATCTCCAAGGCTGGCATGGTGGCTCACGCCTGTAATCCCACCACTTTGGGAGGCCAAGGTGGGCAGATCACATGAGGCCAGGAGTTCAAGACCAGCTTGGCCAACATGGTGAAACCCCGTCTGTACTAAAAATACAAAACATAGCCGGGTGTTGTAGTGTGCTCCTGTAATCCCAACTACTTGGGAGACTGAGGCAGGAGAATCGCTCCAACCCGGGAGGCGGAGGTTGCAGTGAGCCAATATTGCACCGCTGCACTGCAGCCTGGGTGACAGAACAAGACTCCATCTCAAAAAGAAAGAAAAAAAAATGAGAGATTTCCAGTTTAATGTCTTACATTAGGACATTAAACTGTATACTAGATTTAACATTTTGTTTCAAGAAATGAGAAACATTCTTCTCATAAGAGTTTTGTAAAAATATTCACGGAGCATGGTGGTGCATGCCTGCTGTCCCAGCAGCTTGGGAGGCTGAGGTGGGAGGGCTGCTGGAGGCAAGGAGTTGGTGGCTGCAGTGAGCCATGATTGTGCCACTTACTCCAACCTGGGTGACAGAGAAGGAGCCTATCTCTTAAAAAAAAAAAAAAAAGTTTTAACACAAACAAAATTTGTTCTGTTAGGTAGAAAATACCTTGAAATCCCAAATTGTCATGGCTCCATCGATGCCAGTAGTGCAAAATTTGCGACAATCTTGCTTGTCCACCTCATAAATAGAGACTTGACTGAAAAAAAGCAAAGCAAAAGAGATCGTAAGGTATGTAGTGGAAGTGAACACAAACATTCCTGACTAATAGTGTAAGGGCAGCTTAAGGAAATGAATTATCTTCTTCTTTATTTTTTAAATAGAGCTGGGATGCGGGTCTCATTATGTTGCCCAAGCTGGTCTTGAACTCCTGGGCTCAAGTGATCCTCCTGCCTCAGTCTCCCAAAATGCTGGGATTACAGGCATAAGCCACCACGCTCCACCAGGAAATGAATTATCTTTTAACTCCTGATTATGAACTTATCCATGAACATTAGGCTGCAACAATCTGGCTCAGAAAATACCCCAAAGCATATTATTACCAGATGTCCAGGAAAGACAAAACTGGCAAGGGGAGAAGTTAAGAACTTGCCTTGGTTAGCGTGACCTGGGGAAGCAGGAATGACCCAGCCCACACAGCACTCAAATGCTGGGAGCAGGTTGTGGGTAGGACCACAGCCATGGCGAAAACAGTATTTTTGTTTGTTTTTAAATAAACCAGAGGCATGATGAAGCATGACTGAATTCCATAGCTCCAAACAAAACCTCTCAAATCAGCCTCCAAGACAGCCAGTGCAGATAAGCCAACAGCCCTCCTTGAGTCTGAAGTGAATCATCATAAATGTTAGCAGCAGACACACCACTAGATTCCGACCAAGCTAAGCAGGGGAACAGATAAATGAAACAACTTGTCTTAGCCTAATTATCTGGAAGCTTTCAAGACAATCATCCATTGCTCAGACAATATTTTTCTTTCTCCTTTGAGATGTCTAGAACTTACCCGCCTCTTCCCCGACGCTGGGAAGGGGATGGCAAACTATGGCACACACTGCCTATGCCCGTACAGCCTGTGAGCTTAAATAAAAAAAAAAAACAACAAAGGCCAGGTGCAGTGGCTCACGCCTGTAATCCCAGCACTCTGGGAGGCCGAGGTGGGCAGATCACGAGGTCAGGAGATCGAGACCATCCTGACTAACACAGTGAAACTCTGTCTCTACTAAAAGATACAAAAAAAAAAAAAAAATTAGCCAGGCATGGTGGCGGGCGCCTGTAGTCCCAGCTACTTGGGAGGCTGAGGCAGGAGAAGGGCGTGAACCCAGGAGGCAGAGCTTGCAGTAAGCCAAGATCGTGCCACTGCACTCCAGCCTGGGTGACAGAGACTCCATCTCAAAAAAAAAAAAAAAAAGGGGGGCGGGGTTTTACATTTTTATTTTATTTATTTATTTATTGAGATGGAGTCTCACTCTGTCACTCAGGCTGGAGTGCAGTGGTGCGATCTCGGCTCACTGCAACCTCTACCTCCCAGGTTCAAGCGATTCTCCTGCCTCAGACTCCCGAGTAGCTGGGATTACAAGCACCTGCCACCAGGCTGGCGAATTTTTGTATTTTTAATAGAGACGGGGTTTTGCCATGTTGGTCAGGCTGGTCTTGACCACCTGACCTCAAGTGATCCGCCCACCCCAGCCTCCCAAAGTGCTGGGATTACAGGCGTGAGCCTCTGCACCTGACCCGGCTTTTACGTTTTTAAATAGCTGGAAAAAAATTAAAAGGAGACTATTATTTCATGAAGTGAAAATTACATGAAATTCAAATTTGAGTGTCCATAAAGTTTGACGGGAACACAGCCACCTCATCTGTTTACATCATCTGTGCCTGCTTTCCTGCCACAACCAGAGTTCAGTAGTTGCAACAGAGACCTATGGCCTCTAGGAGTCTAAAATATTTACTATCTGGTCCTTTACAGAAAAAGTTAGCTGACACAGTTCTAGTGCAAAGAGCACCTAATTTCTGCAAATAAAAGTAGACTAATCAGCAAGGGTTTGTTCTTTTCATTTTTCATCTAGAAGTGTCAGAGAGGCAATGAGAGCTTTTTCTTTCCTTAACACTTGGTCTGTATAGAAACGTAAGAGAAACTCACAAGAAGTAACTCGGAGCCATTCAAGACAGAGAAACCTAAAGAATGGAGAAAAGGTGAGTTTTGCTATAGAAGGAGAAACCTGAAGAATGTGGAGAAAAGGTAAGTTTTGCTATGCCTTCAGGTTCTTTTTTTTTTTTTTTTTTGAGATAGGATCTCACAATGTAGCCCAGGCTGAAGTACAGTGGCACAATCACAGCTCACTCCTCCCAAGTAGCTGGGACTACAGGTGCGTGCCAACACAGCCAGCTAACTTAAAAATTTTTTTGTAGAGATGGGGTCTTGCTGTGTTGCCCAGGATGGTATTGAACTGCTGGCCTCAAGTGATCCTCCTGCCTTGGCTTCCCAAAACGCTAGCATTACAGGTGTGAGACATGGTGCCAGGTCTCTGGTTCTCATTTTTCAATACAGCATTTGCAGCCTATTTTATATACAGCTGCCCCTTCTCCGCTGAAGATGAAGCACAACCTGCATTTCATTGTAATTCTCTCAAACAGGAAGTCTAGAGGTTTCCATTACTTCTCCCACCATCAATACCACAATAAGATTCTAAACATAAAAGGCTTCTCAGTAAGGGAAAATCCCATGGGACCCAACTCTGAACACAGTAATTTAGAATATCAAGCATATATTTCTCCTCCAGGTGCCTTTTTTTTTTTTTTTTTTTGAGACGGAGTCTCACTCTGTCACCCAGGCGGGAGTGCAGTAGCTCAATCTTGGCTCACTGCAACCTCCACCTGCCCGGTTCAAGCAATTCTCCTGCCTCAGCCTGCCGAGTAGCTGGGATTACAGGTGTGTACCACCATGCCAAGCTAATTTTTGTATTTTTTAGTAGAGATGGGGTTTTGCCATGTTGGCAAGGCTGGTCTCGAACTCCTGACCTCAAGTGATCTGCCTGCCTCAGCCTCCCAAAGTGCTGGGATTAAAGGTGTAAGCCATCATGCCCAGCCTCTCCTCTAGACCTTAAAAATCAAACTTTCAGGCCAGGCACGGTAGCTTACGCCTGTAATTCCAGCAATTTGGGAGGCTGAGGTGGTTGGATCACCTGAGGTCAGGAGTTTGAAACCAGGATGGCCAACAGGGTGAAACTCCGTCTCTACTAAAAATACAAAAAATTAGCCAGGTGTGGTGGCACACGCCTGTAATCCCAGCTTCTTGGGAAGCTGAGGCAGGAGAATTGCTTGAACCCGGGAGGCAGAGGTTGCAGTGAGCCGAGATTGTGGCATTGCACTCCAGCCTGGGCAACAGAGTGAGACTCTGTCTCAAAAAAAAAAAAAAAAATTAAACTTTCTGGACAAAACACAATTCTGTTGTCTTACATAATTACATATACCTGATGAAAACCCAGTCGAGACACTCCTCAGCTTTGTCATCATGATGATAAGAAATTCTGTTCCTTTAATTAAATAATCTTCTTATTTGTATCCATTACTTGAAACGACAGCTACAGTTACCTTTTCCAACAGGCTGTAACTTCGCTTTCTGTTATGTGTGCACTACTGTGGGAACGCAGCATTCAGGAATGTCTCCTTTTGTTCTCGAGTAGCTGAGAAAGGGTACCCTAGGAAGCAGCTGCCCTGAGGCCCCACCACCTCAGATTGCAACAAGGTCTGCACTGCTCCTGCTGGCTGCTGCCTTGTAATCTGCACCTTGAAGGACAGAATGACCAGGTGGTGGCGACTCCCTCCCTACCACGAGCTGGAAATGAGAGCCTGGCGGTCGGGAAGATACAGACTTCTTGCTGCACTTGTCCCTGAAAGAATGTCTGGGCCTGAGGGGCATAGAGCTTTTGTAGGAACCCAGTAAGGAAACAGCGAGGGGCAGGAAGGCACCTTGTCACCTGACCACCTCTCTACAGACGGCACCTACGTGATGCTATTCTGGTGCAGCGTCTCCAAGGCCGTGTTGCGGTCCTCAGTTGTGGCTCTCTTGTCCATGTTGCGGAAGCGTTCCATGGCAGACATGTTGCGTTGGATGCTCTGTTTTGGAATATCTAACTTGGAGACGAAGGTCAGGCAGCCGCGGTCATCGTAGTTAAAGAGCATTGGGCAGCAGTCATGGCCCTGAAACAAGACTCAGTCAGTCCCTGGAGGATGCACTGCCCACCGCCCACCTCCTTGGCAGAGTGTTCACCACGACAGGCCTCTCTTACTCTTTTTTTTTTTTTTTTTTGAGACCGAGTCTTGCTCTGTTGCCCTGGCTAGAGTGCAGTGGCACAATCTCAGGTCACCACAACCTCTGCTTCCCGGGTTCAAGTAATTCTCCTGCCTCAGCCTCCCAAGTAGCTGGGATTACAGGCGTCTGCCACCATGCCTGGCTAATTTTTGTGTTTTTAGTAGAGACGGGGTTTCACCATGTTGGCCAGGCTGGTCTTGAACTCCTGACCTCAAGTGAACCACCCGCCTTGGCCTCCCAAAGTGCTGGGACTACAGGCGTGAGCCATCGTGCCCCACCCCCTCTTACTCTTAAAAGTGAGCGGCCGGGCACGGTGGCTCACACCTGTAATCCCAGCACTTTAGGAGGCCAAGGTGGGCGGATCACGAGGTCAGGAGATTGAGACCATCCTGGCTAACATGGTGAAACCCCATCTCTACTAAAAATAAAAAAAATTAGCCCGGCGAGGTGGCGGGCGCCTGTAGTCCCAGCTACTCAGGACGCTGAGGCAGGAGAATGGCGTGAACCCGGGAGGCGGAGCTTGCAGTGAGCCAAAATTGCGCCACTGCCCTCCAGCCTGGGCGACAGAGCAAGACAGTCTCCAAAAAAAAAGTGACCTCTGAGGCCGGGCACGGTGGCTCATGCCCGCACTTTGGGAGGCCAAGGTGGGTGGATCACCTGAGGATGGGAGTTCGAGACCGGCCTGACCAACATGGAGAAACCCCGTCTCTTCTAAAAATACAAAATTAGCCAGGTATGGTGGCGCATGCCTATATTCCCAGTTCCTCGAGAGGCTGAGGCGGGAGAATCGCTTGAACCCGGGAGGCAGAGGTTGCGGTGAGTCAAGATCACCCATTGCACTCCAGCCTGGGCAACAAGAGCAAAACTCCATCTCAAAAAAAAAAAAAAAAAAAAAAGTGAGCTCTGTTTCTTCTAAAAAACTGTTCTGCTTTGTGCTAGGGTGACAGAGCACACATTGTTCCCTGTCTGAGCATCACATACAGTGCACCCCGAGGGAGAATGAAGAAAAATACTCACAGCAGCCACGACGCTGTTCTCTGAGACAAATGACACACTTAGGAGCGGCAGGAACTCTGTCTTCAGAGTCGAGACCCTGAACACAAGAACATGTGTTATCCCAAGATGCAACAGACTATTAGCTTCTTTACAGACACAGATGATCACAAAGGACCCATTCTCACAGGGGCTTCTGCAGTATCAATGGGCACTTATGTTGAAAAGGAGCCCCTGACCTCAACTTGCAGGCCTCTCAAGACAGGGGCAGCCCTGGGTTCCGGCTCTGCCTCCTTCTGAGGCCCTGCCCACTGACGACAAACTGGTTCCCAAAGCCCAGTCTTTGCATCACGCCCTTCCACCCCCAGCACAGCTCTAAAGGGATCACCCCCATGATCCCACGGTCCACTTTCCCGGGCCACTTCCGCCTAAAGTGGCTTCTCCCTGCTCTTAGCTCCTAGAGCTCTTCCTGTTACTATGACTTGGCAGCAGACACCTGTGCTAGGACCTTCTCCTTGCCTGTGCTCACCGGAGCTCCGAGAGGGCTGTGACCACACAGATCTGTGCTGACGGCCAGGCACTGTGTTAGGAGCTAGAGCTACCAAGATGAACCAAACGGTCTTAGCCAGGAGCTCACACTCGAATGGGCCATGTGTGTGTATGTGTGCCTGCAGGGACATGTGTGTGCATGTAGTTATTTGCTCTTGAATGTGGCAAAGAGATTACACAGATATGGCAGGCAGACACACTGGCTGATGAGTTAGGAGCACCTCACTTCATGCAAGAAACGATGCATTCAAAAGCTGACTGTGGCTGGGCATGGTGGCTCACACCTGTAATCTCAGCACTTTGAGGGGCTGAGGTGGAAGGATTGCTGGAGGCAGGAGTTTGAGATCAGCCTGGACAACATAGTGAGACCCAGTCTCTACGAAAAATTAAAAAAAAAAAAAAATTAGCCTAGAGTGGTGGTGCACGTCTGTGGCTCCAGCTGCTTGAGAGGCTGAGGTGGGAGGAGAACTTGAGCTCAGGAGTTCCAGCCTGGGCGACAGAGAGTGTCTCTCTAAATTAAAAAATAAAAAAAAGCTAACTGTATATGTCTCAGGACACCCTTCATAAAGTTGGCATTGAATTGAAGAACTAATGTGTCATCTTAAGCCCTTAGTGCGGTATACCTGACTTTTACTACATGAGATATTTATGTTGGAGGAGTGGAAAGGTGGAGCATGTAATCTGACTTGCAGGACTGGAAAAGGGAAAGAAGTCAGTACGAGGGTAGACAGGGACTTGTAATAAGTGTATGCTAAGAACTTACTGTGTCACAATAAACCATATAAAAATCAAGTAACACTGGCATCAAAATACAAAAGTATTATCAAGTATTAAAAGGCAAATTACCAAATGTATATAAAAATGTATAAAATAATCTTATTTCTGTTAAAAATGAAAAGATATATAAGTGCCTGTTTATGTAGGGAAATCTTCTGAAAGACTACATTTTATAATGGAAGGGACAATCTTTCTTTTTTTCTTTCTTTTTTTTGAGATGGAGTCTCGCTCTGTCGCCCAGCCTAGAGTGCAGTGGCGCAATCTCGGCTCACTGCAAGCTTTGCCTCCCAGGTTCACGCCATTCTCCTGCCTCAGCCTCCCGAGTAGCTGGGACTACAAGCGCCCGCCACCACGCCTGGCTAATTTTTGTATTTTTTGTAGAGACAGGGTTTCACCGTGTTAGCCAGGATGGTCTCGATCTCCTGACCTTGTGATCCGCCCGCCTCGGCCTCCCAAAGTGCTGGGATTACAGGTGTGAGCCACTGTGCCCAGTCTTTTTTTTTTTTTTGAGACAGAGTCTTCCTCTTGTTGCCCAGGCTGGAGTGCAGTGGTGCGATCTTGGCTCATTGCAACCTCTGCCTGCTGGGTTCAAGCAATTCTCCTGCCTCAGCCTCCTGAGTAGCTGGGATTACAGGTGCATGCCACCACACCTGGCTAATTTTTATACTTTTAGTAGAGGCGGGGTTTCTCCATGTTGGCCATGCTGGTCTCGAACTCCTTACCTGAGGTGATCCACCCGCCTCGGCCTCCCAAAGTGCTGGGATTACAGGCGTGAGCCACTGCACCCGGCCTGAGGGGATAATCTTTAAAAAAATATGTAAAACTAGCTAAAAAATGCACATTTAATCCTGTTAGGAAAAACATATCATGTCTGAAATATCATGCTGTTTACACTGGGTGACTCTTACTGACCTGACAGGGAGTAAAGGTCACCCAGTGTGATTGATTTTTGATACCCAAGTGGCCATGTCCATCACAAAACCTTTAATGGTGAGTTCCCTTTAGCTATCAATGGAAAAGGAACACCAGGGAAGAACAAAGATTTATAAAAGAAGAAGGATTCCAATCTTCTCTCTTCCTCCAACATATACTGAACAAAATGAACTCTGATGTCTGGCCAAGTACTTTATGGCTGAACAGACACGCCACTCACAAAGAAGCCACCGTAATTCGAGTCCTTCCAGCCACAGCAGAGAAGTGGCATCAATGCTTTTTAAGCCTTACTGAATGGAAGGCTCAAATTAATGAAGTCATCGTTCGCTGACTTCCCCCAGTAAGAATATATCTCCTATTTAATTTAAGGCCGGTGAACGGCACTTACATTTTGTAAGGAATTCAGAGTAACAGACTAAACTAGCCTTTTTTTTTTTGAGATGGAGTCTTGCTCTGTTGCCCAGGCTGGAGTGCAATGGCATGATCTCGGTTCACTGCAACCTTCACCTCCTGGGTTCAAGTGATTCTCCTTCCTCAGCCTCCCGAGTAGCTGGGACTATAGGCACCCGCCACCATGCTGGGCTAATTTTTGTATTTTTGTAGAGACAGGGTTTCACCATGTTGGCCAGGCTGCTCTCGAACTCCTGACCTCAAGTGATCCACCCACCTTGGCCTCCCAAAGTGCTGGGATTATAGGTGTGAGCCACTGTGCCCAGCTTAAACTGGCCCTTTTTAAGTGACCCTTATCAGTAGCCAACCAGGAGGGTTCTTGAAAGGAATCATTATCAGTACTTCCATTAAGAAGTATTTCTGGAAGACCTAGGTCTTTAAAATTTTCCAACCGGAGAATTTGTGTCTGTGCCTGTCACGGTAAAAGCTGACTTGCAGTTTTTTTTTTGAGACATAGTTTTGCTCTTGTTGCCCAGGCTGGAGTGCAATGGCACAATCTCGGCTCACCGCAACCTCTGTTTCTTGGGTTCCAGAGATTCTCTAGCCTCAGCCTCCCGAGTAGCTGGGATTACAGGCATATGCCACTATGCCGGGCTGATTTTTTTTTTTTTTTTTTGAGACGGAGTTCTGCATTTGTTGCCCAGGCTGGAGTACAGTGGTGCAATCTTGGCTCACTGCAACCTCCGCCTCCCAGGTTCAAGCAATTCTCCTGACTCAGCCTCCTGAGTAGCTGGGATTACAGGCATGTGCCACCACGTCCAGCTAATTTTCTGTATTTTTAGTAGAGATGGGGTTTCTCCATGTTAGTCAGGCTGGTCTCAAACTCCCGACCTCAAGTGATCCGCCCGCCTCAGCCTCCCAAAGTGCTGGGATTACAGGTGTGAGCCACTGCGGCTAATTTTTGTATTTTTATTAGAGACAGGGTTTCACCATGTTGGCCAGGCTGGCCTTGAACTCCTGACCTCAGGTGATCCACCCATGGCCTACCAAAGTACTGGGATTACAGGTGTGAGCCACTGTGCCCAGCAGGGCTAATTTTTGTGTTTTTAGTAGAGACGGGGTTTCACCATGTTGGCCAGGCTGGTCTTGAACTCTTGACCTCAGGTGATCTGCCCACAGCCTCTCAAAGTGCTAGGATTATAGGCGTGAGCCACTGAGGCCTGCCTGCCTGCAGTTTTCATTGAGGTGTTTTTTTTTTTTTTTTTTTTTTGAGACGGAGTCTTACTCTGTCGCCCAGGCTGGAGTACAGTGGCATGATCTTGGCTCACTACAACCTCTGCCTCCCAGGTTCAAGCAATTCTCTGCCTCAGCCTTCCGAGTAGCTGGGAGTACAGGCGCCTACCACCACACCTGGATAATTTTTTTTATTTTTAGTAGAGACAGGGTTTCACCATCTTGGCCAGGCTGGTCTTGAACTGCTGACCTTGTGATCCACCCACCTCGGCCTCCCAAAGTGCTGGGATTACAGGCGTGAGCCACCACGCCTGGCCTGATTAAGGTTTTTATGTTTGTGCCCTGTGCTAACACCCCAGGAAGGGCAGTCCTGGTTCAGCTGGTGAGAGATCCCACCCCTTGTTCCCCACCTTCCAAATGAAAGGCAAATACTCACTGCACACTTTTTGAGGCATCAGCAACAGACACGGTGCTGTCGTGGCTGACCCAGGCCAGGCGGCTCCCACTGGCAGAGAAGCTTACCCCGTGGACCCAGCCACCAGTGCCACTGCCACCAAACTCTGACATCAGCTGCCCAAAAGGCATCTTGCTGCCCCAGGGCGTGCTGGCTGGCTTTTCATCCACTTCTTTAATGTAGGCAGAAAACACTCTGTTTAAAGGGCAGAGAGAAAAGGAAAAAGCAAATGAAAATATATGTATATAGAAACAGGCCATAGGCAGCTGCCACAAGGAATCTCAGAATGCAAAGAGGTTGACTCATTAAAAAAAAATAAAACATGAGCTGGGCACGGTGGCTCAAGCCTGTAATCCTAGCACTTTGGGAGGCCTAGGTGGGTGGATCACCTGAGGTCGGGAGTTCGAGACCAGCCTGACCAACATGGAGAAACCCCGTCTCTACTAAAAATACACAAAATTAGCCAAGCGTGGGGGCGCATGCCTGTAATCCCAACTACTCAGGAGGCTGAGTCAGGAGAATCGCGTAAACCCAGGAGGTAGAGGTTGCAGTGAGCCGAGATCACGCCACTGCACTCCAGCCTGGGCAACAAGAGAGAAACTCCTTCTCAATAAATAAATAAATAAATAAATAAATAAATAAATAAGGCTGGGTGCGGTGGCTCATGCCTGTAATCCCAGCACTTTGGGAGGCCAAGGCGGGAGGATCATGAGGTCAGGAGATCGAGACCATCCTGGCTAATACGGTGAAACCCCATCTCTACGAAAAATACAGAAAATTAGCCGGGTGTGGTGGCAGGCGCCTGTAGTCCCAGCTACTCCGGAGGCTGAGGCAAGAGAATGGCGTGAACCCAGGAGGCACAGCTTGCAGTGAGCTGAGATTGCGCCACTGCACTCCAGGCTGGGCAACAGAGCGAGACACCGTCTCTAAAATAACATAACATAACATAACATAACATAACATAACATAACATAACATAACATAACATAAACTAAACTAAACTAAACTAAAATAATAAATCATGATAGGTAAGTCCAGATATTCAAACCTCTCAAGTAACAGAATTATTGTTAGAGCTATCTACAGGCCAACCCAAGTTTGGCAAATCCATATTCTAGTATATATATATATATTTTTGGGGGACAGAGTCTTGCTCTTGTTGCCCAGGCTGGAGTGCAATGGCATGATCCTGGCTCACCACAACCTCCGCCTCCTGGGTTCAAGAGATTCTCCTGCCTCAGCCTCCCAAGTAGCTGGGATTACAGGCATGTGCCACCATGCCTGGCTAATTTTGTATTTTTAGTAGAGATGGGGTTTCACCATGTTGACCAGGCTGGTCTTGAACTCCTGACCTCAGGTGATCCACCTGCCTTGGCCTCCCAAAGTGCTGGGATTACAGGCATGAGCCACCACACCTGATCCCCCGCTCCAACTTTTTTTTTTTTTTTAAGAGACGGGGGTCTGGCTCTGTTGCCCGGGATGGAGTGTAGTGGTGTGATCAAAGCTCACTGCAGCCAACTTCTGGGCTCAAGTGATCCTCCTGCCTCAGCCTCTCGAGTAGCTGGGACTACAAGTTCGTATTATGCCCAGCTAATATTTTAAAATTTTTTGTAGAGATGGGGTCTTGCTGTGTTGCCCAGGCTGGTCTCGAACTCCTGGGATCAGGTAATACTCCTGCCTCAGCCTCCCAAAGTGCTGGGATTACAGATGTGTGCCACTGCGCCTAGCTAATCCATACTCTAGATACTATCAAAGCACCTACTGTGTGTCAGGCTGTGGGTGCCAGGTTCTGAAGTAGTGATCACAAAAGACCTGTCCTCATGGACTGCACATTCTGGGGAGATCTTGCTGTCCCATCCCTCCCTTGCCCACATGAGACCTTGCTAAATGGCCACAGCATTCTTTCCTGTCTACCTTACCATCATTCTCAACACAGTACTCCAGGAAGCCTGCGCAGTCAATGGTGGGAGAGCAGAAACTATTTGCCACCCTGCAACAAACTAATGGTGTTGACCCTTTTAAAGACATACCCCAAGAGAAAGCCAAGGGAGGCTGGTGACAAGGGGTGGGCAGGCTCCCTGGACCCTCAGGCCCACTGTCCAGTCTCTGTGGCAGGAATAGCTTAAGATGGAGGCAGGTCCTTTATAGGTGGTGTCGCCCGTTTCCACTAACTCACTCTTTTATCTAATTCCACACAGCTGTGTTTGAGGATGTTCTGGCCCAGAGTTAAGGGCAAAGGGGAACGGCTGGAAATCTACCCTTTAGGGCCCTTTCGCCCTCCAATGTGATTTCTACTTTGTACACCTTCTTCTCTCCAAAAAACTGCTGAACCTAAAGGCTCCCTAAAAGAACCGAGGTATCCCCCCTACCACCCCAAATGACAATGGCAGTACAGAGGCTCTGGAAGATGCCTGGCAGAGGACTGTGAGTTATGTGAGGTTATATGACGAGACAGTAGAAACACTGTGCTTTAAATCTGCATCATGACAGCGGCTGCTTTAGTCTTAGAAGGCCAAGAAAGAACCAGTGGCTCTCAGCCACCAACTCAGGAACACAAATGGGACAGACCCATACCCACAGGACTGGGCCAGGCGCAGTGGCTCATGCCTGTAACCCCAGCACTTTGGGAGGCCGAGGCAGGTGGATAGCTCGAGGCCAGGAGTTTGAGACCAGCCTGGCCAATATGGTGAAACCCTGTCTCTACTAAAATACAAAAAAAAAAATTAGCCAGGCATGGTGGTGTACGCCTGCAATCCCAGCTGCTTGGGAGGCTGAGGCATGAGAATCACTTGAACCTGGGAGGCAGAGGTTGCAGTGAGCCAGGATCACACCACTGCACTCCAGCTTTTGTGACAGAGAAACTAGGGGAAATTAATATTAACAAAATAACTGCAACCTATTTTCACAACCATCAAAGAATCCAGGTGGTGTGGGTTAGTGCCACCTAGTTCTATTTTCCAATGACTCTGGTTAAGAAATCACAAGTAACACAGGTCCAGAATATAAAGTGCCTTGACACTCCCATGACCTCCATCCTCTCCGCCAAACTCAAACACATCTCTCTCTCTTTTTTTTTTAAGCTTTGAGTATTCCTGGATATAAACCACTAGCCTGGTTTTCTGGGAATTCTCCACAGTTACTGAAGAAAGTGTATCCCAGCTGAGTGTAGTGGCTCATCCCTGTAAGCCCAGCACTTTGGGAGGCCAAGGCAGAAGGATTCTTTGAGCCCAGGAGTTTGAGACCAGCCTGGGCAACATAGTGAGACCCCATCTCTACAAAAAATAAACAAAATCAGCCAGGCATGGTGGCTCATGCCTGTGGTCCCAGCTACTCAGGAGACTGAGGTGGGAGGATTGCTTGAGTCCGGGAGGTCGAAGCTGCAGGGAGCTATGATCGCACCACCACACTCCAGCCTGGGTGACAGAGCAAGACCTTGTCTCAAAAAAAAAAAAAAAAAAAAAAAAAAAAAAAAGTGCACCTCATCTCCCAACCTACCATATAGTCAACACAAAGCAACATTTATTTGCTTTGCTTTCCTTTCAGCTAAAGGGAAAAAAGCATATTCTTGAGAAAGAACAACTTTAAAAAGCAATTACATGGAATTCCATGGTATGATCCTTAAAGTTCTTAGCAAAGTGGCTGCATTTCTTCTAGCTTCAAGCTAATGACAAAATAAAAAGCTTTAACTGAAAGAACAGCACAATAACAGCTTAGCAGCGCACTGTTTAGCTATGTTTTATTAATTGTTTCACTTTGGAATTTGCAGAGACTGCTGCCTGGAATATGAAATGAGAAAAATACTGTTGTCAAGAAAGACAGGGAGAAAGGGAGACACAGAAAGAGATGGTAAGAAAGAGACAGAGACAGAGACAGAGAGAGTACATGCTAATCCTCCCCTCTAAACCATAGATATTCTTACACTTAAGGAAATCTTCGCTGGCCCCACCCTTGCCTCTCCCTCCTACCCCACTTCCAAGTGGATTTCTTTTTACCTCAGTGACTTATGAACTTGTTCTTTTAATCACCATGCTTGAGCTCCTTTTCTGGATCACAAACTGCTTCCATTTTTTTGTTTTGTTTTTGTTTGTTTTTTGAGATGGAGTCTTACTCTGTCGCCCAGGCTGGAGTGCAGTGGTGTGATTTCAGCTCACTGCAACCTCCACCTCCCCGGTTCAAATGATTCTCATGCCCTAGCCTCCCAAGTAGCTGGGATTACAGGCATTTGTGACCACACCAGGCTAACTTTTATTTATTTATTTATTTTGAGACAGAGTCTCGCTCTGTCGCCCAGGCTGGAGTGCAGTGGTGTGATCTCGGCTCACTGCAAGCTCCGCCTCCCGAGTTCACACCATTCTCCTGCCTCAGCCTCCCGAGTAGCTGGGACTACAGGCACCCGCCACCACGCCCGGCTAATTTTTTGTATTTTTTTAGTAGAGACGGGGTTTCACTGTGTTAGCCAGGATGGTCTCGATCTCCTGACCTTGTGATCCGCCCACCTCAGCCTCCCAAAGTGCTGGGATTACGGGCGTGAGCTACTGCGCCCGGCCTCTTTTGTATTTTTAGTAGACACGGGGTTTCACCATGTTGGCCAAGTTGGTCTTGAACTTCCAACCTCAGGTGATCCGCCCACCTCAGCCTCCCAAAGTGCTGGGATTACAGGTGTGAGCCACAGCACCAGGCCTCATTTTTGAGTCCCTCACAGTGCCTAGCGCAGTACCTTGCAAAGAAAAGGAAACTTACAGGCCAGGCACACTGGCTCATGCCTGTAATCCCAGCACTTCAGGAGGCCAAGGAGGGAGGATCACTTGAGGCCAGGAGTTCAAGACCAACCTGGGCAATGTAGCAAGACCCCGTCTCTACAAAGAATAAAGACAATTTTAAAAAAATTAGCCAGGTGTGGTGGCATATACCTGTAGTCCCAACTACTCTGGAGGCTGAGGCTGGAGGATCGCTTGAGCCCAGGAATTGGAGGCTGCAGTGAGCTATGATGGTGCCACTGCACTCCAGCCTGGGTGAGAGTGAGACCCTGTCTCAAAACAACAACAACCACAACAAAACAAAAAACAAAGAAAGAGAACCTAAAATTATTTGTTGAAGGATGAAGAATGCACGGCTCAAGTTTATCAGTTCTCACTGGTTCCCACCTGCATTTGAAGTCACATGATCCTGCTGCCAGCAAAACGTTGTTGGGATGCCAATCCAAGCTGAGGACTGTGGAGCGAATCGGCTTTTTAATGTGCTTGCTCACCCACCTATGAGAGGGGAAAACTGTTTCAGTTTATCCACTCAACCAGCATCCCCAAATGACCTACAAATGTATGTCAGGTGAAAATACCTAAGTAGGCCACACTTTTCCTTAATTTAAAAAAAAATTATAAAACAATTCAGAATATTATTTTTTTCAGAATAAACTTTTTCAGATAGGTTTCTATAAAAAAAGATTCTATAGAAAAGTAACAGAGCATTCAACGTTCTTCTGTCGGTCACCAGGCCTTCTGCCAGAGACAAGGTTTTTTGATACCAGGTTATGATCTGAGACTGGCTAATTTTTGTATTTTTTGTAGAGATGAGATTTCTCCATGTTGCCCAGGCTGGTCTCAAACTCTGGGGCTCAAGTGATCTACCGGCCTCAGCCTCCCAAAGTGCTGGGATTACAGGCATGAGCCACTACGCCCAGCTGACAAGGTGCATTGCTAAAGGACAGAAAGGAAAAGAACCATGAACAGGCCTTCTCCACTCCTGGCCCTGATGTTCTCAGCACAACAGCTGGTTTTCAGCAGTCCTCATTAGTAAGCATAGATATTGATTAACTCAGTTATGTTTTCGTGAGATTTCGGATTACATAGGACGTTAACCTCTGAGATAAAAACTGAAGTTTGAAAATACTTCAATTTTTATTATGAATATTCAGTGATTTGCTGAATTTTTGGTGAATTTGGGGTTGTAAGACAGCTTAATATCCTTCCCAAGTCTCCACGAATCTGCAAATTCTTTTTAATTTCTTTCACTGAAAAATCACAACCAAGAAATTAGAAGAACCTCATGTTGGGGATTAGCCTCTAATTCGCTAGCACCATCCAAAAAAGATGATTTATGTCTAGGACCAGTCAGTATTTTGGCTTAACTAATTCATTTCTGCCCCCAAACTGCTGTTTAAAAACCAATCACGTCTGGTTGCTCAACAGTTGGGAGACTAAATATTGAGCCAATGCCTTTCCTTCAATGCTAAATTACCTTTCTATAGAATCACTTTCTTTCTTTTTTTTTTTTTTTTGAGATGGAGTTTCGCTCTTGTTGTCCAGGCTGGAGTGCAATGGCGTGATCTCAGCTCACCGCAACCTCCACCTCCCGGGGTCAAGCAAGAATCACTTTCTTTTATTTATTTATTTTTTATTTTTTTGAGACAGAGTCTTACTCTGTCATCCAGGCTGGAGTGCAGTGGCGCAATGTCAGCTCACTGCAACCTCTGCCTCCTGTGTTCAAGCAATTCTTGTGCCTCAGCCTCCCGATAGCTGGGATTATAGGCTCACGCCACCACGCCCGGCTAATTTTTGTAATTTTAGAGGAGATTAGCTTTCACCATGTTGGCCAGGCTGGTCTCAAACTCCTGGTCTCAGGTGATCTGCCTGCCTTAGCCTCCCAAAGTGCTAGGATTACAGGCATGAGCCACCACGCCTGGCTACAGAATCACTTTCTTAGTATCCTGTCTGAAGAAGTTCATTCTGAAAAAGACAGCCAGGTGCAGAGGCTTGCAACTATACTCCCAGCACTTTGGAAGACCAAAGCAGAAGGATTGCTTGAGTACAGGAATTTGAGATCAGCCTGGGCAAGAAAAGTGAGAACCTGTCTCCACAAGTAATCAAAAAATTAGCCAGGTGTGGTGGTGCAAACCTGTAGTCCCAACTACTTGGGAGGCTGAAGTGGCAAGACTGCTGGATCCCAGGAGTTGGAGACTGCAGTGAGCCGTGTTTGTACCACTGTACTCCAGACTGGGTGACAGAGAGAAACCCTGTCTCAAAAAATAAATAAATAAATAAAATAAAAAACCAAAATCCCCCACAAAGTCTCTAAAAAAGGAGAAAAAGACAGTATTTCGAATTGTTTCATAATGTATACATATTTTTTGAGACAGAGTCTTGCTCTGTTGCCCAGGCTGGAGTGCAGTGGCATGGTCTCGGCTCATTGCAACCTCTACCTCCCTGGTTCAAGCGATTCTCCTGCCTCAGACTCCCAAGTAGCTGGGATTATAGGCATGCACCACCACACCTGGCTAATATTTTGTATTTTTAGTAGAGATGGGGTTTCTCCATGTTGGCCAGGATGGTTTCGAACTCTTGACTTCGTGATCCGCCTGCCTTGGCCTCGCAAAGTGCTGGGATTGCAGGCGTGAGCTACCGTGCCTGGCCTTTATAATGTAATTTTTTTAATTAAGGAAAAGATGGCAAGCAAAATAATTAGTTCATATGGCTGAATTATAAACTTCTGAGAAGTTGTTTTAAAGTACTCCTATGAAATATGAAATAATTGTTCTACAGCTGAGAAACTGCCCTAAACATACAGCTTGTTCAAAGACAATACCTTGTACCATAATAAAGTCCAATTTACCTATACTTGACACTAATTCTCAACGAATAAAAATGTAAACAATTACTGAGGTTGAAGCTTAACTTGGAAGAAAAGTTTCCTGTAGAAATTTGTAAGATTGCAAGGAGTACCAGCTGACATAAAGTTTAGCCTTGAGAGAATATTAATGAAGTTAGTTTCCTATCTCATTACAATGAAACTTCCAAATAGTTTCTAGCAGGTAACATTTTGTTAGCCTTGATTTCACATTTGAAAGAAAAATGTATGTTTCAAATTCGTAACTCAATTTTTTTTTTTTTTTTTGAGACGGAGTTTCACTCTTGATGCCCAGGCTGGAGTGCAATGGCGTGATCTCGGCTCACCGCAACCTCTGCCTACTGGGTTCAAGAGATTCTCCTGCCTCAGCCTCCCAGGTAGCTGGGATTACAGGCATGCACCACCACACCCCGTTAATTTTTTTGTATTTTTAGTAGAGACAGGGTTTATCCGTGTTGGTCAGGCTGGTCTCGAACTCCTGACCTCAGGTGATCCACCTGCCTCGGCCTCCCAAAGTGCTGGGGTTACAGGCATGAGCCACTGTACCTGGCCCATAACTCAATTTTACCGCAAATTCCCAATCTCTTTTTGAAGAATAAAATTTCTGAAGTTTTACTAAATTACAAAGGTAACATGATAATCCCCTTCTTTCAATTTCAGCAGAATACAAATAACAAAACAGCTACAAAGAGTCATGTATACTCTGCTATTTTTAGTAGAAACACAAACACTGCCAGTTTAGTAGTAAATGACAACTTTACGTTGAAGGATATTTACCAGTCATGCTGAACACATGCCACACAGAAAAATAATTTTTTTTTTTTTTGAGATAGAATCTCACTTTGCCGCCCAGGCTGGAGTGCAGTGGCACGATCTTGGCTCACTGCAACCTCTGCCCTCCGAGTTCAAGTAATTCTCCTGCTTCCTCCCAAGTAGGTGGGATTACAGGTACCTGCCACTGTGCCTGGCTAATTTTTGTATTTTTAGTAGAGATGGGGTTTCACCATCTTGGCCAGGCTGGAGAATAATTGTTTCCTTATCAAAACAAACAGGAAGGAGTAGTTAAAATAAGTTTTGGCCATAAAATAAACCTGTGTTTTGACTGGGTCAGCAAGAAGTAATTTAAAAAATGTGCAATAGCTGATTAGACTTCTAAGATTCTGGTGAGTTTTGACTTCAACAGTTTAAACAAGTAAAATATTACACCAAGACACAGATTTGGTTGGCAAATAAGCTTTAAAGAAGGAACATTGACCAGGCGTGGTGGCTCACGCCTGTAATCCCAGCACTTTGGGAGGCCGAGGCGGTGGATCATGAGGTCAGGAGTTCATGACCAGCCTGGCCAAGATGGTGAAACCTTGTCTCTACTAAAACTACAAAAATTAGCCGGGCACGATGGCAGGTGACTGTAATCCCAGCTACTCAGGAGGCTGAGGCAGGAGAATTGCTTGAACCAGGGGGCGGACGTTGCAGTGAGCCATGATCGTGTCACTGCGCTCCATCCAGCCTGGGCAACAGAGTAAGACTCTGTCTCAAAAAAAAAAAAAAAAAAAAAAAAAAAAAGAACATTGTTATCTGTAGGAATCCTACATAGATATCCTGTGAAAAAAAAAAAAAAAGAAAAAATATTCCTCAGGGAACGGAGACTCTTTCAATGTTATTATTTGTAAATGAGAGTAAGAAAACAGCAATTTGCGCAGTATAGAGTGAGAACAGTAATAGCATCTTGCAGAAGAAACAAGTTAGGCGATCAGAACATGGACACAATAGCTCTATGTTAATATAAAAAACGTGCGATTTAACTTAACATGCACATGAGAAGGGAAAATGCTCAGACAGAATCGAGAATTTCAGAGAAAAAACCACACAACTCCGGATGAGAAAAACTGGAGTTATGGTGAGCCCTCACACAGCAGTGCAAATGTAAATTCTATAGAGAGGGATAGAAAAAATTCAGATGTCACTCACCAGTCATTTTCAGACTCAAAGTAACAAACAGAAATGAGTCGTGCTCCACTTCCCACAGCAAATTTGTTCTCTAGGGGGGACCACTTCACAAAAGTAGCTGCGCGATTAATTCTCAGGATCACCAGGGTTGGCTTCCAAACACCATCTTTCTGACTCCAGACATAGGCATTGCGGTCTGCCCCACAAGTGACAATGCGGTCGCTCTTGGGAGCCCAGTCAATACCTGCAAGTGAGACATGGGTCATCTGCTTTGCCCAGTCAATGACAAACAACTGCGGCACAGGCAGGTGGGTGGCACTGGCATGCCAGGATGAGACGTGGTCTTGGGACCTTCCTCCCAGGCACATCCTTCCCACTATCTATGTCCTGATCACCGCCTCAAGGAAAGGCAAGGATGCTTCTCTGCAAAGCGTCTGGGACTCGGGATTGTCTATGAGGTCATGTAGAAGAGCTGTTTTATAATTACAGACTTTACAAAACTAAACGGGGCCATTCTTTCCACCCATTCACACATTTCTAAGACTTCTAAAGATCTGAAGATTCATTACTTCTTTCTTTCCTCTTTATTAGATTTTTGTGTGTGTGAAAATAACTGTATTCATTAACACACCTCATTCTATGATATTAACCAACAGTCTGCTACATGGCATTCAACTAAAACAGCATACAGGGTAAATAAAAATAATCTTTAGTGTAAAGAGGGGGAACTATATATTGTGATTCATCATATATTCTTCTGAAAGTCACTGCCAGTTGAACCATACTGAAAACCTTTTCTACATGATGCAGGTCCTGTGAAAGAATCCTTGTTTCTTTGCATCTAAACCAGGAAGATACCTAAATATGTATCTGAATGTAAGGTTTATTTTTCTTATTTGATGAGACTTTACTTATCTGGTACCTCTGTGAAGAATCCCAAAGTCAAGGTCAGTTTTTCATATACCAAGACTCAAGGTCAGTTTCTTATATACCAAGAGCAAAATTCACCATGACTCATTTAACACTTATTGATGAGGTATTTTCTTTTCTTTTCTTTCTTTTTTTTTTTTGAGATGGAGTTTCACTCTTGCAGCCCAGGGTGGAGTACAATGGCACGATCTCAGCTCACTGCAACCTCCGCCTCCCGGGTTCAAGCGATTCTCCTGCCTCAGCCTCCCGAGTAGCTGGGATTACAGGCAGATGCCACCATGCCCGGCTAATTTTTGTATTTTTAGTAGAGACGGGGTTTCACCATGTTGACCAGGCTGGTCTCGAACTCCTGACTTCAGGCGATCTGCCTGTCTCAGCCTCCAAAGTGCTGGGATTATAGGCATGAGCCACAGTGCCTGGCCTTGATGAGGTATTTTCTATAAATATAATTTCACATTAAAAAGTACAGAAATATTACTAATAAATATTTATTACAGATCTCTCTCTAAAAATTAATAATTAGCATTCTTGACATTTATATGGAAAAAAGACAAATATACCTCTGAGCCTCAATTACCCATAAGTCATAGTGACTGAAGAGTTAGGCCGGGCGCGGTGGCTCTTTGGGAGGCCGAGGCAGGCGGATCACGAGGTTAGGAGATCGAGACTATCCTGGCTAACACGGTGAAACCCTGTCCCTATTAAAAATGGAAAAAATTAGCCGGGCGTGGTGACAGGCGCGTGTAGTCCCAGCTACTTAGGAGGCTGAGGCAGGAGAATGGTGTGAACCCGGGAGGCGGAGCTTACAGTGAGCCGAGATCGCACCACTGCACTCCAGCCTGGGTGACACAGCGAGACTGTGTCTCAAAAAAAAAAAAAAAAAAAAAAAAGTAGTATGAAGAGTTTAGTTTATTCATTCATTTACCCACATGAAATATCAGCTCAATTTTTTGTACCACTGAAGGGAAGAAAATATGAGAATGTGTTCTAAGTGATGTTTATTTTATTTATTCATTACAAGATAATTTTGCTTGCTGTCCTCTTTATTAGATTTTTTTTTTTGAGACAGGGTCTCACTTTATCACCTAGACTGGAGTGCAGTGGCGTGATCATAGCTCACTGCAGCCTCAACCTCCCAGGCTCATGAAATCCTCCTACCTCAGCCTCCTGAGTAGCTGAGACTACAGGTGCAAGCCACCATGCCTGGCTAATTTTTTGTAGAGATGGGGTTTCACCATGTTGCCCAGGCTGGTCTTGAACTCCAGGGCTCAAGTGATCTGCCTGCCTCAGCCTCCCAAAGCACTGGGATTACAGGTGTAAGCCTGATCAATATTTATTATTATTAAAAAGAAAAATCATTATCTTTTAGAGATGCAAACTGAAATATGAAACAATATAATGTCTGGGATGTGCTTCAAATTAGTACAGGAAAGGAGAAAGTGAATTGAGAAGAACAAGATTGGCTGTTACTCGATAATCGTGGAATGCAGGTGATGGGTATAAAAGGCTCATTATACTATTCCACTTTTTTAAAAATCTGTTTAAAATTTTCCATGGTAACAAAACATGTTTCTTAAAAATATTTAATACAAAAGAATAAAACCTCAGAACTCTGATATCCCTGATGTTTGCCACACTTCTTTTCTTTGTAGTATGGACTAGTTTTTTCTTCTAGAATGCTTCAGAAAATATTTTTTTCCCCTAAAATTACTATCTTTCTGAGAAAATATGTCTGATCCTTGATCTCCTGCCCCAGAGTTATATTTAGATTTTTCCAACAAGTTATTTCAGATCTAAAAAATGCCATGTGAGCAGCTAGACAGAAAACAGGCCCAAGTTCAAAGGACCCCAAAAGAGAAGTAGAGGGAAAAAAACACATAACTAAATATTTCACATTTTTGGCGATTTCTTTGGTCTTTCATCTTTGCCTTTTCTCATTTAAAAGTATTTCCTTTTAAATTCTAAAATTCCAATTAATTTTTTTTTTTTTTTTTTTTGAGACAGAGTTTTGCTCTTATTGTCCAGGCTGGCGTGCAATGGCACAATCTCGGCTCACCGTAACCTCCGCCTCCCAGGTTCAAGCAATTCTCCTGCCTCAGCCTCCTGAGTAGCTGGGATTACAGGCATGTGCCACCACGCCCAGCTAATTTTGTGTATTTTTAGTAGAAATGGGGTTTCTCCATGTTGGTCACGCTGGTCTCGAACTCCCGACCTCAGGTGATCAGCCCGCCTCAGCCTCCCAAAGGGCTGGGATTACAGGCTTGAGCCACTGCACCCAGCCTAATTTTTTATTTTTTGGAGACAGAGTCTTGCTGTATACCCCAGGCTGGAGTGCAGTGGCGCCATCTCAGCTCACCGCAACCTCTGCCTCCTGGGTTCAAGCGATTCTCATGTCTCAGCCTCCTGAGTAGCTGGGATTACAGGTGCTTGCCACCACACCCGGCTAATTTTTGTATTTTTAGTAGAGACAGGGTTTCACCATGTTGGCCAGGTTGGTCTCAAACTCCCGACCTCAGGTGATCCACCCGCCTCAGCCTCCTAAAGTGTTGGGATTACAGGTGTGAGCCACCGCACCCGGCCTAAAATTCCAATTTAAAATATGAGTATTCTTATTCTTAGGCTATGAGGCCACTGGCAAAGGAACTTAAGAAAATAGGCCAAACCTAATAGAAATAAGATTGTGGGAAAGGAACAGCAACAAAAATAGAAACGCTGTCTTTGGTGCTGCTTTGGAAATATACTCAGCTACTGGTGCTCAAGAGCATTATTTATAAATCACTGGTCAAAGCAAGGGTGGCCATGAGTTATTGCTGAAGAATGCAGGACAACTTCTGTAAAGGATGTAGAATAGCAAAACATGCTAAGTTCTCTCATTTGGGTAAGGATATCTCTAAGCTTATCAGTATTTTAGGTGATTAGAGGTAAAATTGCAGAGTCCAACTAAAAGAATAAAAAATCAGCCTGGGCGACATGGTGAAATCTATCTTTACAAAAAAATTAGCCGGGTGTGCTGGCGCACACCTTTAGTACCAGCTCCTGGGGAGGCTGAGATGGGAGGATCACTTGAGCCCAAGAGGTTGAGGCTGTAGTGAGCCATGATCCTTCTAGCCTGGGTGACTGGGCAACAGAGCCAAGACCCTGTCTAAAAGAAAAAAAAGGGTCACACCTGTAATCTCAACACTTTGGGAGGCCAAGGCAGGCAGATCACTTGATGTCAGGAGCTTGAGACCAGCCTGTCCAATGTGGTGAAATCCCACATCTACTAAAAATACAAAAATTAGCTGGGCATTGTGGCAGGCACCTGTAATCCCAGCAACTCGGGAGGCTGAGGCGGGAGAATTGCTTGAACCTGGAAGGCAGAGGCTGCAGTCAGCCAAGACTGTACCACTCCATTTCAGCCTAGACGACAGAATGACACTCCATCTCAAAACAAACAAACAAACAAACAAACAAACAAAAACAGAAAAAAGACAAAAACTCAATGAAAAAATGATCAGGATTTATGAACAGGACAGTCACAAGGAAGAAAAACTCTCATGGCTAATACACGTCTGAAAGTATCTCAACTTTTCCATGAATCAGGAAAATACAACTTACAGAAGCAATGGATGAACCTTTCATGCATTCTTCAGTCTTCCCATCTCAAGTATGTGGCGGGGTGTGGGAAAATGAGCACTCTCATACAGGACAGGTGGGAATGATGGCAATCTGATGAGGCCTGGCAACACTGCACTGCAGATATGCATACCCTGTGGTATTAACACATCTACCATCTACAAACATTCACACATACGTACAGAAATCAAGGGATGCCTATTCAGCACTTTCATGTAATATGGAAAAATTGAAACAACCTAAATGTTCTTCAGTGGAGGAAGGAGTAAATAAATGAGGTATAAAATGCTAAAGAGTGGTTAAAAGGAATAAACTTGATCTAGACAGCAACATAGATGGATCTCAGAAACAATCATGAATGCAAAAGCAGGCTGCCGGAGATGCATAGTATCATGCCATTTATGTAGCTTCAAAAAAATACTAGTCAATAGTCCTAAAGATTGTTTTCTCTTTTTTCTTTTTTTTGAGATGAGGGTCTTGCTGTGTCACCCAGGCTGGAGTGCAGTGGTGTGATCACAGCTCACTGCAGCCTTGATCTTGTCTCAAGTGGTCCTCCCACTTCAGCCTCACAAGTAGCTGGGACCACAGGTGCATGCCACCACACCGTGCTAACGGGGGGTCTCATTATGTTGCCCAGGCTAGTCTTGGATTCCTGGGTTCAAGCGATCCTCCCGCCTCAGCCTCCCAAAGTGCTGGGATTACAGGTGTAAGCCACTGTGCTTGGCCTAAGCTTGTTTATGAATATGTATGTATGTAAATGTATTAAAAATGGACTGGAATGGTGTCATAGCAAATTATAGTCTGCCTTCCAGGGGAGAGGAATAGGACTGCTGGTGAGAGGTGACTTTACCATCATCAAGAATAATATTCCTTATTATTACATCCTTTTTCCTTAAGTTTCCTGATACAGGAAAAGAAATTACTTCCTGGCACAGGGAAAAAGTTGGTAATTCTGGTGGCGATTATCTGATATGGGTGTTTATTATATTACTTTGTTCTTCTCAATATTCTGGAAAGTCTTCCTTACCCTAAAAACACAAAGGAAACTTTTGGAAGACACTTGGAAATAGTTTGGCGCACGTTTTCGTGTTGTCTACATTTTCATGTTATCTAGCTTTCAATTTCACGTCTCATCTCCTAATTTTAGCTCTTTAGTCCTCAGGGTAGGTTCAGTGCTTTCCATAGCAACGGTAGAGTGCTGGGTACCAGCTGGGGCCACAAGAAGCACTTAACAACTAAGATCATTATAGTATTTTCTTTAAAATTTTAAGGAAATTCAGTAAGTGCTGCATGACTTTAAATATTACGGGCCAGGTGCGGTAGCTCACTCCTGTAATCCCAGCACATTGGGAGGCCGAGGCAGGAGGATCACGAGGTCAGGGGTTCGAGACCAGCTTGACCAACATGGTGAAACCTATCTCTACTAAAAATAAAAAAAATTAGCCAGGCATAGTGGCGCGTGCCTGTAATCCCAGCTACTCAGGAAGCTGAGGCAGGAAAATTACTTGAACCCGGGAGGTGGAGGTTGCAGTGAGCCGAGATTGCGCCATTGCAGTCCAGCCTGGGCGAAAGAGTGATACTCCTTCTCAAAAAAAAAAAAAAAAAAAAAAAAATTATGGCCACCTGGGTTTATTAGGCTCTTTATCTAAAAGGAAGAGTGCCTGATTTGGAAATATCACACTAAGCTCACGGCTATCTTCCTTTACCTGTGATGTGTCCGTTGTGCTCCTTGAGTTCATGAGCTTTCACCCACTGGCTCCCGTTCTTCTTATAGATGTGCACTTCGTGATTATTGGGACTGAGGGCAATCTCTGGAGACACAAGTCAAACAACAGTTAACACCTGAACTTGCAATTGTCACCAAAAAGGGGACATGTCACAGTTGTTTTAAAAGCAGACTATAGTAAGGAAAAGAAAAACTTTTGAAAAAGTAGTTCCCAAATTCACCTCTGAATAATTCCATTTTTTTTTTAACCTTTACTTGGACCCTGTATTTTATAATGCTTTACAGGAAAACTAAGATTAAAATTCATTTTCCCAGAGACACGTACAACTGTCAATTAATGATTCTAACCAGCGAAAAATAAACAATGTTAGTGTACTTAGCTAAAATAACTTTAGATCAGGGTAAAAATGTTTGACAGTTTCATTCACCTGTGCAATATTATTAGAGCTAAATCTAAATTTCTGTTTGTCTTTTTGAAACACTGAAAATAGGTTATGGACTTCCATTACTGCTATCATGGACCCAGGCTGGAACCACTAGTTTATATTAAAAAAATTGATTCTGCTGATAAACTATACTGAAATTCTCCTTTACAATAAAGCCAATATAAATCACAATACTTTGTTTTCAAGAGTAATTTCCTGAACTAATCCAAAATATAATACACAAAACGGACTTTTTAAAAACTCATACAGGTTGAGCATCCCTAATCTGAAAAGCTGAAATCTGACATGCTCCCAAATCCAAAACTTTTTGAGTATCAACATGACACTCAAAAGGTCATGCTCAAACGCAATGCTCTCTGGAACATTTTGGATTTCAGATTTTCATTTTTTTCTTTTTTGAGATAGTGTTTTGCTCTCGTTGCCCAGGCTGGAGTGCAATGGCGCGATCTTGGCTTACTGCAACCTCCGCCTCCCAGGTTCAAGCGATTCTCCTGCCTTAGCCTCCGAAGTAGCTGGGATTACAGGCATGCGCCACCACGCCCAGCTAATTTTGTATTTTTAGTAGAGACAGGGTTTCTCCATGTTGGTCAGGCTGGTTTCAAACTCCCGACCTCAGGTAATCTGCCTGCCTTGGCCTCCCAAGGTGCTGGGATTACCAGCATGAGCCACCAGGCTCAGCTGGATTTCAAATTTTCAGTGCTCAAATCGTATATATTATGCAAATATCCCCAAATCGTAAGTCCAGAAAATTCTGGTCCCAGGCATTTCAGATAAGGGATACTAGACCTGTATTCATGTATCTTTTTTTACCCCATCTAGTTCATCTGTTTTTTTTTTAATTGAATTTAATTTTTATTTTTAGTAGAGACAGGGTCTCACTATGTTGCCTAGGCTGGTCTTTAACTCCTGGCCTCAAGCAATTCTCCTGCCTTGGCCTCCCAAAGCACTAGGATTACAGGCATGAGCCACGATGCCCAGCCCCTCTTTCTTTTTATTGGTTTCTTAAAATTAAAATTAGGATCTATGGGCCAGGCGTGGTGGCTCACGCCTGTAATCCCAGCACTTTGGGAGGTTGAGGCAGGCAGATCACCTGTGATCAGGAGTTCGAGACCAGCCTGGCCAACACGGGGAAACCCCGTCTCTGCTAAAAATACAAAAATTAGCCAGGCCTGGTGGCACGCGCCTGTAGTCCCAGCTACTTGGGAGGCTGAGGCAGGAGAATCGCTTGATCGTAGGAGGCAGAGGCTGCATTTTGGGCCGAGATCACGTCACTGCACTCCAGCCTGGGTGACAGAGTGAGACCCTGT
Organism: Homo sapiens; assembly: GCF_000001405.40. Lineage (NCBI taxonomy): Eukaryota > Metazoa > Chordata > Mammalia > Primates > Hominidae > Homo > Homo sapiens. The sequence continues at coordinate 99,336,512 of NC_000007.14, read as the reverse complement.
CTCAAAAAAAAAAAAAAAAAAAAAAAAAAAATTAAGACCTATGATCCAAACTTTAGGCCAGTCATTAATAGTCCCCACCTACACTCACTTTCCTACCCTCCTTAGGAAAGCTACATCTATCTGCTTTACAGATAAAACTGTGGAACTAGGTAAATATCTAGCTATAAAATCCTAAGGACTTAAGAGTGCTTTCTGGTAAATAGTTATATATTTCTCTCACTTTCTCACATGTATATAGAGATTTCAAAAGCCAAGTCCAAATTTAAACCTGGAAAATGTTATAAATTTCAAATTACAATGTCACAAAAAATGTTGACTTAATATGCTGAATTTATCAAGTAGTTTAAATGAGGACAATGATAGCTTGCATCTGTATTAAAAATAATTGGAAATACTCCAAAAGCCTATTATTAGATGGGAAAGTGGAAACAGAAGATATAGGAAAGTTGGCTATGAAGCTCTGTGAGATGATCACAAAACACATGCTCTAAATTCACTGTCCTGCTAGGTTATACATTTTCAATTACCCAATACAGAGGCTTTTTTTTTTTTCTTTTTTGAGACTGAGTCTCACTCTGTTGCCAAGGCTGGAGTGCGGTGGCACAATCTCGGCTCACTGCAAGCTCCGCCTCCCAGGTTCACGCCATTCTCCTGCCTCAGCCTCCCGAGTAACTGGGACTACAGGCGCCCGCCACCACACCGGGCTAATTTTTTGTATTTTTAATAGAGATGGAGTTTCACTGTGTTAGTCAGGATGGTCTTGATCTCCTGACCTCGTGATCTGCCTGCCTTGGCCTCCCAAAGTGCTGGGATTACAGGTATGAGCCACCACGCCCAGCCCTGAAATGCTTTAAAAAGATGGTGAATCTACAGATTCAAAGTAATCTCTGTCAAAATCTCAGCTGACGTCTTAAAAGAAATTAACAAACTGATCCTAAAATTCATATGGAAATGCAAGCGACACAATAACCAAAATAATCTTGAAAAGAACAAAGTTGGAACTTACACTTCTTGATTTCAAAACTTACCACCAAGCTATAGTAATCAAGACAGACTGGTCCTGAAATTAGGATAAACATAAAGAACAATGGAATAGAATTGAGAGTCCAGAAATAAACTCTCATCTTTACAGTCAGTTGATTTTCAAAAAGGGGGCCAAGGCAATAAAACAGAGAGGATAGTTTTCAACAAAAGGTGCAGGAAAAACTCGATTATCTTGGCCGGTGTGGTGGCTCATGCCCACTAAGTATATCCCAGCACTTCGGGAGGCCAAGGCAGGTGGATTGCTGGAGGCCAGGAGTTCGAGGCCAGTCTGGGTGACATAGCGCATCCCTGTCTCTACTGAAAATACAAAAATTAGCCAGGTGTGGGCCGGGCGCAGTGGCTTACACCTGTAATCCCAGCACTTTGGGAGGCCAAGGCGGGCAGATCACGAGGTCAGGAGATTGAGACCATCCTGGCTAACAGGTGAAACCCTGTCTCTACTAAAAATACAAAAAAAATTAGCCGAGCATGGTGGCTGGTGCCTGTAGTCCCAGCTACTCAGGAGGCTGAGGCAGGAGAATGGTGTGAACCCCGGAGGCGGAGCTTGCAGTGGGCCAAGATTGTGCCACTGCACTCCAGCCTGGGCGACAGAGCGAGACTGCGTCTCAAAAAAAAAAATATTAGCCAGGTGTGGTGGCGCATGCATGTAATCACAGCTTCTTGGGAGGCTCAGACATGATAATCACTTGAACCTGGGAGGCGGAGGTTGCAGTAAGCCGAGATTGCACCACTGCACTCCAGCTTGGATGACAGAGCAAGACTCTGTCTCAATAAATAAATAAATAAATAAACACAGAAAAAAAGAAGAAAAAAATGAAAACTGGATATCTACATACAAAAGGAACCCTATCTTACAGGATACACAAAAATTAACTCAAAATGGACCAAAGTCCTACATAAAAGGACTAAAGCTTTAAGACTCTTAGAAGGAAACACAGGCATAGGCACACATTGTTGTGATCCTGGATTATGCAATGGTTTCTTTGATACAACAGCAGAAGTACAAGCAACAAAAGAAAAATAAGCGAAATTGGACTTTTTCTCCCCAATCCTGCTCTTTCTGTGTTTTTATTATTTAATTATTATTGTTATTATTTTTTTTTTTGAGAAAGAGAGTCTTGCCCTGTCACCCAGGCTGGAGTACAGTGGCACAATCTCAGATCACTGCAACCTCTGCCTCCCGGATTCAAGCGATTTTCCTGCCACAGCCTCCTGAGTAGCTGGGATTACAGGCAGGTACCACCACACCTGGTTAATTTTTTTTATTTTTAGTAGAGATGGGGTTTCACCATGTTGGCCAGGCTGATCTCGAACTCCTGACCTCAAATGATCTGCCCGCCTCGGTCTCCCAAAGTGCTGGGATTACAGACATGAGCCTCCATGCTCAGCCTTGTGACAAAGCGAGACTCTGTCTCAAAAAAAAAAAATACATATATATGTGTGTGTGTGTGTGTGTGTGTGTGTACACACACACACAGTTTTTCTATTTTTTTTCGTAGAGACAGGGTTTCCCCATGTTGCTCAGGTTGGTCTTGAACTCTTGAGCTCAAGATATTTGCCTGCCTTGGCCTCCCAAAGTGCTGGGATTACAGGCAGGAGCCACTGCACCCAGCCTCATCTTGTCATATTATCTGTCACTTTGCTTGCTGAACTGTGCCTACTTCTAAGAGCATTCTCCATCCCTTTCTAGTTTGCTGGAGCTAGAAAACTAGAAACTCAAGCTGACTAAGAATAACATAGTAAATACTAGTTAATAATGCTCTGAGTAGCTCAGGAGCAAACCACTTGTCTCTGAAACAGCTTATTCTAGGTCCTAGTGCTCTGACTAAATGTGAACTTGGTATGTAACCTCTGCAAAGCCCTTCCTTCACTCTGGGCCTCAGTTTATCTATCTGTAAACCAAAGGACTGACTTAGTTCCCTTCTGAATGTATATAATAGATGTATGTTCTTTGCACATGTGATACTGAGATATGTGAGCCCTAAATGTGTCTAAAGATGAAATGTACCAAAGGTACCAAAATACAAAAGCAAAGTTAATAAAATACTTACGAGTACGATCCCTGTTCCAGGCATGACAGGTGATTGGCTCTAGTAAAAACTGATGCAGTGACATTATTCTTAGTGTTTTCAAAGGAGAGAAAGCTGCAATGAACAATAACAAAAAGCATTTTATACAATAGGGAAAAGGCAAGTAACCAATGTTTAAGTTGCCTGAGGATCTTAAGATGTTCGGAAATAAATAAAACATTGTCCTCCCATTAAAAAATAATCTGGCCAGGCACGGTGGCTCACGCTTGTAATACTAGCACTTTGGGAGGCCAAGGCAGGTGGATCACAAGGTCAGGAGTTCAAGACCAGCCTGGCCAACCTGGTGAAACCCAGTTTCTACTAAAAATACAAAAATTAGCTGGGCGTGGTGGCACACGCCTCTAGTTCCAGCTACTCGGGAGGCTGAGGCAGGAGAATTGCTTGCATCCAGGAGGCAGAGGTTGCAGTGAATCAAGATCATGCCACTGCACTCCAGCCTGGGCGACAGAGCGAGACTCTGTCTCAAAAAAAAAAAGGCCGGGCATGGTGGTCACACCTCTAATCCCAGAACTTTCTTTGGGAGGCCAAGGCAGGCAGGTCACGAGGTCAGGAGATCCAGACCATCCTGGCTAACACGGTGAAACCCCGTCTCTACTAAAAATACAAAAAATTAGCCGGGCATGGTAGCGGGCGCCTGTAGTCCCAGCTACTTGGGAGGCCGAGACAGGAGAATGGCGAACCTGGGAGGTGGAGCTTGCAGTGAGCCGACATCGCGCTACTGCACTCCAGCCTGGGCGACACAGTGAGATTCTGTCTCAAAAAAAAAAAAAAAAATCTATCTCATTGTCAAAACTTAACCATCTGAATAAATCTAGCATTGTAACAACTAATGTGGAATTTATTCTGTTCAGGGTCGTCAATGGACTCTTAAACCATGGGTACAGGATATTCCTAGTCTCAAATTATCATCCCACAGATTGCTTATTAACTACAAAGAGAAAAAGATGCCTTTACGTTGAAGAAATCTGGCAATCACCACGTAATCACCATGTTATAAATAGTGGATCAATCTAACTGGATGGGCCTCCTGATGGCAGTCCACATGAAGTACACATCGTCACTTATAAATAGTGACTTAACGTACCATCCAAACCAGAACACTTCTGAGAGCAAAAATAAATAATAATTATGCCAACACAACAGGTCACAGGGCTATCCTGGAGAAACCTGGGAATATGGTCAACCTACCAATGAAGTCTCTATGCCAAACATATTTACTCTAAATCCAATCAAGATTCAGATCTAATTTTCAGTTTACAAGAAATAAAGGATAAAGGAACTAGTCAAGCAACACAAGGAGGAAATAAACAGTTAAAGCCAGGGTGTGTGCCATTCTATAGAAGAACTGGCCTGGACTATTCCAAAAAGGCAATATGGAGGCAGGATGAGAACTGTTCTAGAGAGCTATGAAAACCAAATTTGATAAGTGAAAGTTGATTATAATATAATTTCTTTTTTTTGAGACAGAGTCTCACTCTGTTGCCCAGACTGGAGTACAGTGGCACCATCTCAGCTCACTGCAACCTCCACTTCCTGGACTCAGGTGATCCTCCTGCCTCAGCCTCCTGAGTAGCTGGGATTACAAGTGTGCACCACCAGGCCCAGCTAATTTTTGTATTTTTAGTAGAGATGGACTTTCACCATGTTGGCCAGGCTGGTCTTGAACACCTGGCCTCAAGTGACCCGCCCTCCTCAGCCTCCCAAAGTGCTGAGATTACAGGTGTGAGCCACTGTGCCTGGCCCATAATCCACATTTTAAAAAATGGGCAGAAAAGATGTATTTTGTATAACAGGGAAAATTACAATTTAAACTAGATATTACATATGGAATTATTTTCATTTTCTTAGGTGTGATAACGGTATTGCCATTAGATAGGAGAATGTCCTAGCTCTTAGGAGACAAAGATAATGATGAAGTGTTCAGGGATGAAGTATCATGATGTCTTCTGTAACTTCTTTTCTTTTTTTGGGTGGGGGGCAGGGGAGATAGGGTCTTGCTCTCTCACCCAGGTTTGGAGGGCAGTGGTGCAATCTATGCTCACTGCAGCCTCCGTCTTCTGGCCTCAAGTGATCCTCCCACCTCAGCCTCCTGAGTAGCTGTGGCTACAAGCATGCACCACCAAGCCCAGGTAATTTTTGTAGAGATGGGGTTTCACCATGTTGCCCAGGCTGCTCTGACTGGGCTCAAGTGATCCACCTGCCTCAGCCTCCCAAAGTGCTGGGATTACAGGCATGAGTCACCATGCCCAGCCACTGTAACTTATTTTCAATAGTTCAGGACAGAAAATATATAGAATGTGAATGTGGCAAAATGCTAACTGGTGAATCTAGGCAAAGAGTATGTAGGCGTTTGTGATAATACTTTTTAAACTTTTAATTGTAACTAAATGAAAAGCAGGAATCTGCAAAACATTAAATTAAAAATTCTCTATTTTATAGGTACCCAAATCTAGATACACTTGAAGAAGCAACCATTAACTGAAATGGGAACATTTTTCAAAAAGCAGCCAGCCTTCCTCTACCCCCAACTTTATCATTTCCAGGAGGCACCCTCACAATAAACTCAAGTTTCAACACACGTAAGTATGTGTCATGTTAACCTTGGGTGGAGGCTGAAATGTGAGATATGAATTCTGATGCAAGCAGGAAATGAATGGAAGGGCCACTAGAAGGTTGTAAAGTGAACAATGAAAGTTCAGCTGACAAAGCAGAAATCAGTCTCAGAAAGCAGAAGCAGCACCTCTGCTAATTGTAAAGGAACCCAGGCCAGGCATGGTGGCTCAAGCCTGTAATCCCAGCACTTTGGGAGGCCGAGGTGGGCGGATCACCTGAGGTCGGGAGTTCGAGACCAGCCTGGCCAACATGGCGAAACCCTATCTCTACTAAAAATACAAAAATCAGACGGGCATGGTGGCAGGCACCTGTAATTCCAGCTACTCAGGAGGCTGAGGCACAAGAATCTCTTGAACATGGGAGGCGGAGGTTGCAGTGAGCCAAGATGGTGCCACTGCACTGCAGCCTAGGTGACAGAGTGAGACTCTGTATCAAAACAAAACAAACAAACAAACAAAAAGGGGGGGGGAACCCAAAGGTAAGTGCAACTTTAAATAAAAAACATCTGATACCTTGAACTGGCAGAGAAATGCTAGCATTTCATATTCTATTCTAAGAGTGAAGATAGTTAAGTCATTACTTTTTTCTTTTATACAGTCGAGAAAGCAAACTACAACTAACAAAGAAAAAGCTTAGGAATTGGCAATTTAAAAAAATTTTAAATGCATTCAAATGAGAATGTTTAATTTGTTTTTTTTTTTTACAAGAACTTCCAGATGCTCACTGCATGCTTCTCTCTTTATCTCTGATATCAGATGCTCACTCCAAATTGTTCCATCACAACAGATTTTAGTAACAGCTACTCAAAATAACATGCTGTTATAACTCCTTAATTAAAAGCGCTTTAGTTCAAAAGCCACATTTGATAAGCTTATTTGTTAACTAAAAATAAAATCGGTCTGCAAATCAGAAATTTGATGTGAATATCTACGTGCCATAAAAGTACATGGTTCATGTCCAGTTGAAAAGTACAGCTGCAGACAAAAGGCTTTCTCATGTTCAACTCAGTGTTTTATAAGCAATGTAGCAAAGACTTCAAAAGAGGTGGCCATTTACACAACAGTGTAATTACTTCTAAAATTGCATTTCTAATTTTGCCATATCATTCAAGTTCCATATTTGGACATACACTTAAGACCTGTACTTCTTTTATAATCAGGTGGCTATTTTAAGTCTGCAGGCCAAGACAACACTCATGTTTGTCAAATTTAGAATGCACCTAGCAAACACCACTTGCATTCATGAAACCCAGTGAATGCAGAAGAAATTCCTAATAGCTTGAATTATGTACCAAGAAAGGGTACCTTCTGTCATAGGGTGATAATTATAATTTCTAAACTATGGTTAATGTTTAAGTGAAATCTGAAAAGCTTTGTCTTAATAGAGCTAGAGAGGGAGAAAAGGGGACAAATAAAAATGCCAGGAACTCCTCATCCCTTTTCTTTATTTTCTTTTTTTTTTTTTTGAGACGGAGTCTCGCTCTGTCGCCCAGGCTGGAGTACAGTGGCACGATCTCGGCTCACTGCAAACTCTGCCTCCCGGGTTCACGCCATTCTCCTGCCTCAGCCTCCCGAGTAGCTGGGACTACAGGGGCCCGCCACCACACCCGGCCAATTTTTTTGTATTTTTAGTAGAGATGGGGTTTCACCGTGTTAGCCAGGATGGTCTCGATATCCTGACCTCGTGATCCGCCTGCCTCGGCCTCCCAAAGTGCTGGGATTACAGGCGTGAGCCACCGCGCCCTGCCCCTCATCCCTTTTCTTTTCCTCCCTCCCTCCCCCCTCATCCCTTTTCTCTCTCTCTGAGTTTTTTTCTCAGACAAGGTCTTGCTCTGTCACCCAGGCTGGACTGCAGTGGTGTGATCTCAGTTCACTGCAACCTCGGCTTCCCAGGGTCAAGCCATCCTCCCACTTTAGCCTCCTGAGTAGCTGGGACCACAGGCATGCATCACTATGCCCTGCTAATTTTTTAGTTTTTTGTAAAGACAGGGGTCTCCCTATGTTGTCCAGGCTGGTCTCAAACTCCTGGGCTCAAGTGATCTGCCCACTTCAGCCTCCCAAAGTGTTAAGATTGCAAGCATGAGCCACCATGCCCGGCCCCCACCCCTTTTCTTTATCTATCACTGAGTACAGAGTCATTCTGATGTATGGCTAGCCATGGGCTCTGAAGCCGAGGCTGGGTTTGAACCCTGGCTTTTGACACACACTAGCTATGAAACCCTGGGCAAGTCACTTGATATCTCTAAATCTCATTTTTTTCTTCTGTAAAGTGGATATACCACTGAGATCACAAGGAGAATTAAATGAGACATGTGAAAGCAAGTAGTACAGAGCCTAGCCTGAAATACATGCCAGCAGGTTCCCTTTCTCCCTTTGACCCAAGGCTTTTCTATTTTTTAAATGGAGTTTTGCTCTTGTTGCCTAGGCTGGAGTGAAATGGTGTGATCTCAGCTCACCGCAACCTCCGTCTCCCGGGTTCAAGCGATTCTCCAGCCTCAGCCTCCTGAGTAGCTGGGATTACAGGCACGTGCCACCATGCCTGGCTAATTTTGTATTTTTAGTAGAGACGGGGTTTCTCCATGTTGGTCAGGCTGGTCTCAAACTCCTGACCTTGGTGATCCACCCGCCTCAGCCTCTCAAAGTGTTGGGATTACAGGCGTGAGCCACTGCACCTGGCCAACTCAAGGCTTTTAAACCAACCATAGAACCCACCAGTTAGTTTCCTCTGAGCTTGGAAACGTTGACATATGCTATAAATTCTTGGCCCTACTCCTTTGGAGCTTGAAAATGCCCACAAAAGTGGGCATTTCTGTCCCCTGTTTAGGGTCAGTTTTCAAGACCGTGATTCACCTAGTTCCTAATCACTCTCATTAGCCAATCTAGCAACATCAAGTACTCCAACAAGGTCACCACACCCTCCTCAACATTCAGACAGGCTCCAGTCCAGGCACCAGCCTCACCAGCAGACCATTTTAAACTTCTTTATATAGGATTTGTTTCAGCATTGGATGAGACAACTAGATCAAAGTATCACCACTCCGCGTCCAAAATAGGAGTTTTCCGAAATGGTCCCTTCCTTTAACTGTGATTAACAGATGAACTCCAGAAGATCTCTGAATACTTTGTGGGAGAAAATAGCCATATAAGCTGGGTGTGGTGTCTCACACCCAAAATCCCAGCACTTTGGGAGGTCGAGGTGGGAGGATAGCTTGAGCTTAGGAGCTCCAGACCAGCTTGGGCCACATATGGAGACCCTGTCTTTACAAAAAATACAAAAAAAAAAAAAAAATTAGCCAGGCGCAGTGGCTCATGCCTGTAGTCACAGCTACTCGGGAGGCTGAGGCAGGAGAATCGCTTGAACCCAGGAGGTGGAGGTTGCAGTGAGCCAAGATCACACCACTGCACTCCAGTCTGGGTGACAGAGTGAGACTCTATCTCCAAAAATAAGTAAATAAAAATAAATGAAAATTAGCCCAGTGTGGTGGCACACGCCTGTAGTCCCAGCTACTCAGGAGGCTGAGGTGGGAGGATCTGTTAAGCCCAGGAGGTCGAGGCTGCAGGAAAAAAAAAAAAAAGGAAGACAACAACCACAGTTACCCACTCCCTAACAGGACAAAAACACCTTCCTGACTGATGCCCCTCCTCTGTTTTTAGATACCTGAAAACCCAGGCCCTATGTGAAACCACAAGACTAGATAAAATTGAGGAGAGAGGGCAGAACTAAGATAATCTCGGCAATTTAAGCTACGAGTTGACATAGACAGAAGGTTCCAAAGCTGCAGGAGAACAGATGGCTTTATAATCAAAGATTCTAAGCTATAACTGATTAAGTGCCTATCATGTTCCCAGCAGTGTTGTAAATACCGGGATGGGGCTAGAAACATAAATAAGGCTGACACCATTCTGGTCTTCAAGTCTGGAGGGTTGGTGTTTGGGGAGAGTGGAGGAGATAGAAAAGGAAAGGAAGACGGATATGCATAGAATGCCCAGAAGCAGTAATAATAGCTAATATTTATTGATCACCTACTCTCGGCCAGGAACTATTCTAAGCAATTTATGCAAATAAGCTCACTTGATTCTTAGCAAAACGGTAAGAATCTTTTTATTGCAGATGAGGAAACAGGCGCAGAGAAGCATCTTCCCAGGATCACTCAACAAAGTGGTGGTGCCAGGACTGGCATAAAAGATTCCACTAAATGAATAAGAGCGCCGAGAAGGGTGCAATTTTGACTTGGGGGAAGGCGGTACTCATGCAGGGAAATCTTAAAAGAACTCGGGAGAAGGTTTTTCTCGAGATCGAGAAGGTTCCCCATTAACCGAAGGATTGAGGGCTGCCCTAGAGAGCAGGCAAACATCCTATGGGCGCCTACTGTATGCAGGGATCGACTCTAGACACTAAAGAGATGAATAGTCCCGCGGGTCGCTCGATTACGGGAGATCCTCCTACTTGACACAATTTTAGAGACGGTGACAAATGCCCCCAGCAGAGGTGCAAGTAGGACCCTGGGGGCGCAGAAGGGGCCGTTAATTCGGGCATCGGAGGCGGCTAGGAGCTCGAACATCCTGAGAAAAGCTGCAGGGGATCCACGGAGAAAGGGGATCCCCGCCCCCTCAGGAGGCCCCGGCAGGGAGACCCGGCCGCGCCTCAGCCTCGGGGCCCCGCGGCCTGAGCCCCCGTCTCACTGCCCCCGCGGCAAGTCCGGCGCCAGGCCTGGACAAGAGAGGCCGACAGGGTGAGACGCTCGCCCCTGCTGGCCGTTACCTGGGATCGGGGGAGTCCGGACGGGCTCGGAGCGGAGGATTCGCGGACTCTGGGCAGTCGACGCGAACAGGCTCCGTCGGGCGCGGGCGGAGGACGGAAGCCCAGAGGGAGCGGCTGACAGATCCCGGAAGTGGACACGGCGCCTGCGCGTTGCGACCGCGCGGACGGTCCGCGCATGCGCACAGCTCGGGCGCGCAGTCCGGGGTTAGGCAGGCTGCAGTGGAGGAGGGTACGCCGTTCCATTGGCGTGGTACTGTCGGCGGCCCTTCAGAGGAGATGCTGCCCCACGGAACGCCTGGCAAGTGCTGGCGAAGCGGCATGGGCGTCCCACTCCGTTCCTCAACCAATTTCCTCACAATCGCGAGCCGAAGTGTGGCGCTTTGGCAGTTTCGCAAGGTCTTTTGTCAGGAGATGAGTTACTGAGGATTGGGGGTCTTTGGAGCTCTTGGACCTGAAGAACGATTAAGTTTTTCTCCCTTCAGAGAGCCAAGGTCAGAGCCAGTCTACCTCAGCGCTGCTCCCTGCAGGGAGCCTCCGCCCCCGCCGTGCTCCCTCTGTGGAAAGCCCCTGAAGCCCCCCAGGAACTTTCTCGACCCTTCCTGGGACAGAATCCCCTGCTCCCAAGCAGTTCCCTGCTCCCAAGATGGCGCAGCAGGGATAAAAGGGTTGGGGGAACTTGGCAAGGCCCCCAATTCACAGAGGACAGAGCCTGCCCCGCAGATGCAGCCTCCAAGAAATGCCCTGATCCCCACCTGCAATCAGGCTGCTGCCCTTGAACCCTAGAAATTCTGGAGCATCCCCAGCCCCCACAGATGGGGCTAATCGAGAGCTTTTCTTTTTTCTTTTTTTTTAGACAGGTTCTCAACCTGTAGCCCAGGCTGGAGTGCAGTGGCGCGATCATAGCTAACTGCAGCCTGGAACCCCTGGGCTCAAGCGATCCTCCCGCCTCAGCCCCCCGTGGAGCTGGGACTACAAGTGCACACCACCACGCCTGGCTAATTTTTATTTTTTGGTAGAGACAGGGTCTTGCTGTGTTGCTTAGGCTGGTCTTGAACTCCTGGGCTCAAGCGATCGTCCCTCTTTGGCCTCTCAAAGCCCTCAGATTACAGGTGTGAGCCACTGTGCCTGGCTAATTTTTATATTTTTTGTAAAGATGAGGTTTTCCTATGTTGTCCAGGCTGGTCTTGAACCCCTGGGCTCAAGCAATCCTCTAGCCTCTGCTTCCCAAAGCGATGTGAGCTCCCCCCCGCCGCCGCCCAGCGCCATGCCAGGCCAACCAAGGGCTTGTCTCCTTCCCTTTGGTATTGTAAGGTGAGGTTTATGTAGGTATACTTGTCAAACTCTCAATTTCAGACCCGCTGTGATCTTTTTGAGACGGAGCCTTTCTCTGTCGCCCAAGCTGGAGTGCAGTGGCGCGATCTCGGCTCACTGTAACCTCCGCCTCCCGGGTTCAAGCGATTCTCCTGCCTCAGCCTCCCGAGTAGCTGGGACTACAGCTGCGCGCCACCATGCCCGGCTAATTTTTGTATTTTTAGTATAGACGGGGTTTTGCAATGTTGGCGACGCTGGTGTCGAACTCCTGACTTCAGGTGATCCCGCCTGCCTCAGCCTCCCAAAGTGCTAGGGTTACAGGCGTGAGCCACCATGCCCTGCCAGACCCGCTATGTTCTTTGGAGTTAGTGCAGAGTTCCCCAACTCCTTGGCTGCTGACGGGTGTTGGTCTGTTGCCTGTTAGGAACCCATTGGCACATGAGGTGAGCAGGGCGAGCCAACGAAGTGTCATCTGTATTTACAGCCGCTCCCCATCTCTGGCATTACGGCCTGAGCTCTGCCTCCTGTCCAATCAGTGGGGGCATTAGAGTCTCATAGGAAAGTGAACCCTATTGTGAACTGCATATGCGAGGGATCTAGGTTGCATGCTCATTATGAGAATCTAATGCCTGATGATCTAAAACCACCCCACCCCTCTCCCCTAGCCCCTGCCCCCTTTTCCGTGGAAAAATTGTCTTCCATGAAACCGGTCACTGCTGCCAAAAAGATTGGGGACCACTGAGTTAGTGAATCCAGCTGTTCATGGAACATCGCTTCACTGAAATTCTGATTTTAACTCTGACCTGTGGTTACAAAGTCTTTGGTCATAGGGTAATCGAGCAGATAGTGTAGAAAGATCATTGTAAATTCATTACCCCCTCCAAGAGACAGCTTGGGAAAGGGAGGACAGCAGGTGTGGAAAGCAGGGATTCCTTGTGTGTCTGCAAGTTACTTGAACCAATTCCCAAGTATGTAGAGGAGTTTATGAAGATCCCACCTCTTTACAAGGAACACTTACTGCTTTGATGGAATTTATAATCTGGGTAGATGAGAGTAACACATGCAAATTAATACCAGACTTTATGATAAGTGACAAGAAATGTTAGCCCCAGAAAAAAATAACAGATATTTACTATTATTAATCTCTGGTTCTGATTTGAAATAGTATTTTGCAATTTAGCCTAACCAAAGCTTACCATTTGATGCATTTCACTTTTTTTTTTTTTTTTTGAGATGGAGTCTCACTCTGTCACCCAGGCTGGAGTGCAATAGTGCGATCTTGGCTCACTGCAACCTCTGCCTCCCAGGTTCAAGCGATTCTCCTGCCTCAGGCTCCTGAGTAGCTGGGATTACAGGCACACGCCACCATGCACAGCTGATTTTTGTATTTTTAGTAGAGACAAGGTTTCACCATGTTGGTCAGGCTCGTCTCGAACTCCTGACCTCATGATCCTCCCGCCTCGGCCTCCCAAAGTGCTGGGATTACAGGCGTGAGCCACCACACCCGGCCCACTTCATATTTTATGAGTCATTCCAGATGGTAGAATCTTAGCTCTAAGCGGGGCTCTTCTGTAATTGAAGAAAAAGAAAAATTTTGACACTTGAGGAATTTTTTTGTTTTGTTTTGTTATGCGACAGTGTCTGGCTCTGTCACCGAGGCTGGAGTGCAGTGGCGTGATCTCAGCTCACTGCAACCTCCACCTCCCTGGTTCAACCGTTTCTCATGCCTCAGCCTCCTGAGTAGCTGGGATTACAGGCGCGTGCCACCACACCTAGCTAATTATTGTATTTTTAGTAAAGATGGGATTTTGCCATGTTGGCCAGGCTGGTTTTGAACTCTTGGCCTCAAGTGATCCACACACCTTGGCCTCCTAAAGTGCTGGGATTACAGGCATGAGCCACCAAGCCTGGCCTGAAACCTGAGGGTTTTGATACAAGGCAGGGAGGGTTGGGGGGCTGGCCACCTGCTCTGGCCTTACTGGTTATACCATCGTGCCCTGCTATAAAAGCCAACCATCAGGGTTCTAAGGAGGGTGAGTTACTTTTAATGTTTGTTTTTAAGGCATGTGTGATGTAGTATCCAAAATGCAGACTCAACCTTTTAAAAGATTAGTATCATGGGTGAGGGGCAGCTGTCTGGGCTGGTGGTACGTGGGTAAAAGGATTTACCAAGACAGTTGTAGATAAAGGCAGATTTGTTAGAGAAAGTAGGAAGGTACGAGAAGGCAACAGGCAGAATCAGCAGAAGAGCAGCCAACTGCAAAGAAAGGCTTGCTGGGGATTTTATGGAATAGTGTTTATGCTGTAATTGTTGGGCGCAGGAAGATTGTGAGTTATTTGCAGAGGAGGGCTGTGTGTCTGGACCATAAAGAATGGCAGACTTGTAGTTTACCTGCTTCTTTTTGCTTCCCCCTGCTCCCACCATCCTGACTCCTTTTCCCTAATTAGACTTAACAATTAGTGCCAGGGAAGGTGGTACTTAGAAGTGGGCAATGGAAGAGAGGGAGGGGTTGGACACTACCGTGGGCTGATTTTGTTTGCTTTGCTGATTGGATTGGAATTGGAATTGAGTTGAATTAGAATTTGGTCAAGATTCAAGGCATCAAATATTTAATAAATACTCACCAAGTGCCAACTATTGTGTTAATAAGAGTAGAGTAAGATCCTTCTGTTCTCAAGTAACTTAGAGATTAGGATATGACCAGTCCACAAAATATTTTATCTTATTTTTAGACCAGGGATGCTGCTAAAATAATTTTAAATAAAAGGAAATGCACAATACCTTGAATCTGGAAGGTCCTGGTTAACATTCGTTGAATGAAAGTGCAAATGAATGAAAGAAAACAATTTGGATGTCAAAGGACACAGAGGTTACTGCTAGTTGAGAATGGAAGGTGGGGCTTATATAGACACATCAGGAACATAATCCATCATAGTTTAGGAAGGTTACATGTTTGTAAAGGCGTAAGGATTTCCTTCTCAGGAGAGCTTGATTTAATAACTGGAATGTGGAGTTGGAGAGTAAGAAGATTGTTTCTTGCTTGTTGTGCCAACAGCTGAAATGGTGAACAATTACTGCAGATCTTCCAATAATGCCTGCCATCTAGTCACCAAAAAAACTGTTGGAAATACTGAATCAATGCCAATAAAAGCTATAAACAAACAAAAGGACAAAACTATTAATGCATATTGTGTGTTATTAGTTAACAATAATCCTTATGCTTTAGATATTGTCCTAATTGCTGGGTATGTTCCCAGTGAGGAAAACTTCCTATGGAAAGGATTTTGTAGAGTTCAATACAGGTGAACTGAAAAGTGCATGTGGATTTTTCCACTGCTCACTCAGTTCATTTCCATAGGACAGAGATGGGACCAGTCACGGGATGTCTAGGGGCACAGGGTAGTCTCAGGTGGTGTGTATAAATAGCATATTATCGCAAATACCATACTTGTAAGACAATCATACAAGCAGACTTGGGAATTCCCTGTGTTACTTACCTAATTTAATAAGTGAAATCTGTAACCCATGAACCTGTAAATCTCCTCAAGGCCAGAGCCACTTAGACATTTTGTTACCGACACATTTTTCCATGTTATGCAAGCTTAGATTATTTTAATAAAATCATTCTGGAGCCATCTAGCACCCTCATCCACCAGTCATTTCATTAGCATAGAGAGACACACTTATCACTCCAGAGATTGCAAAGGTCTTAAAAGCTCCTGTGTGAGGAACTGGGAGCTAAGACCAAATATTATAACAAAAGATGTTTCAGTTACTGATGGACAAGTACAAGGTGTGTGGGAAGGGACACAGAGCTTCCATATCCTCTGGGCACACCACCCTCCCAGCACCACCACGTGTTCTCTAACCCAGATGCTCTCCAAACCTCATCATTTAAGGTTTTTATGGATGTTCTATAATGTAGGCATGATTGATTAAATCACTGGCCATTGGTAATTGAAATAAATCTCCAGCTCCTCTCATCCCTGGAGGTGGAGGGGTGGGACTGAAAATTCCTACCCTCTAATCACAGAGTTGGTTCCTCTGGCAATTAGTTTCTTTCTGGAACCATCTAGCACCCTCATCCACCAGACATCTCATTAGCATACAAAAAGACACTTACCACTCCAGAGATTCCAAGGGGCTTAAAAGCTCCTACGTGAGGAACTGGGAGCTAAGACCAAATATTATAACAAAAGAGGTTAGGCTGGGCACGGTGGTTCACAGCCTGTAATCCAGGCACTTTGGGAGGCTGAGGTGGGTGGATCACCTGAGGTCAGGCATTCGAGACTAGCCTGGCTCACCCGGCAAAACCCTGTCTCTGCTAAAAATACAAAGATTAGCCTGGCGTGGTGGCAGGCACCTGTAATCCCAGCTACTCGGGAAGCTGAGGCAGGAGAATCGCTTGAACTGGAGATGCAGAGGTTGCAGTGAGCCGAGATCACCCCACTGCACTCCAGCCTGGGGGATACAATGAGACTGTCTCAAAAAAAAAAAAAAGATGTTCCTCTCACCCCTGTTATACAGGGTAGTATAACAATTTTAAAAGCTCTGTGTCAGAAACAAAATAGATATTTCTTTTTTTGTTTTTTGAGATGGAGTCTCGCTCTGTCGCCCAGGCTGGAGTGCAGTGGCGTGATCTCGGCTCATTGCAACGTCCGCCTCCCAGGTTCAAGCGATTCTCTTGCCTTAGCCTCCCGAGTAGGTGGGACTATAGGCATGTGTCATCATGCCCAGCTAATTTTTTGTATTTTTAGTAGAGATGGGATTTCTCCATGTCGGCCAGGATGGTCTCGAACGCCTGACCTCAAGTGATCCACCTTGGCCTCCCAAAGTGCTGGGATTACAGGTGTGAGCCACTGTGCCCGGCCTATATTTCTTATTATGTCACACTTGGATCATTTTATGTGTCAACTTGACTAGGCCACAGGGTGCCCAGATATTTGGTCAAACAGGATTCTGGGTGTTTCTGTGAGGATACTTTTGGGTGAGGTTGACTTTTAGATCAGTAGATTGAATAAAGCAGATTGGCCTCCCTAATGTGGGTGGGCCTCATCCAATCAGTTGAAGACTTGAATAGAACAAAAGGCTGACCCTCTCCTGAGTAAGAGAATATTCTCCTTCCTGATGGCTTTTTTTTTTCTCAATCCTGGAGCCAATCCAAGATCAATTGTTGCACTTAATTTTTGTTTCTTTAGTCTGATCTGGAACAGATCTTCACCTCAGTGTTTCTTTTTTTTTTTTTTAGAGATGGGGTCTTGCTGTGTTGCCCAGGGTGGAGTGCAGTGGCTATTCACAGGTGTGATCATAGCTACTATAGCCTCAAACCCTGGGTTCAAGTGAGTCCTTTGAACTAGAACATTGGCCTTTTCTGGTTCTGCAGAAGCTTCCAGCCTTCAGATTTGAACTGGGACACTGGCTCTGCAGATTTTGGACTTGCCAGCCTTCATAATTGTGTGAGTCAATTTTCCATCTCTTTATATCTCTATCTAATATCTCCTATTTGTTCTGTTTCTCTGAAGAATCCTGACTAGTATAACAGGTATTTCCTAAGACTCCCCAACCTTGGAGGGCCCCAGACTCCTGAAAGGCTGTCAAAAGTACTGCTTAGGGCTGGATGTGGTGGCTCACACCTGTCATCCCAGCACTTTGGGAGGTCGAGGTGGGCGGATCACCTGAGATCAGGAGTTCAAGACCAGCCTGGCCAACATGGTGAAACCCTGTATCTACTGAAAATACAAAAATTAGCTGGGCGTGGTGGCGCACACCTGTAATTCCAGCTACTCCAGAGGCTGAGGCAGGAGAATCTCTTGAACCTGGGAAGTGGAGGTTGCAGTGAGCTGAGATGGCACCATTGCACTCCAGCCTGGGCGACAGAGTGAGACTCCTTCTCAAAAAAAAACAAAAAAAAACAAAACAAGTACTGCTTAGGCTCTCAGCCACCTGTTCTGGAATCACCAAGTAGCCCTTGGGGTAAAACAGTCCTGCTGATGGGCTCACTCTCTTACATACTCTGTTCTCTTGGACATTGACCTGGTAGGTATTTACTACCTCATTAGTGCTCTCTTATCTTTGAGTAGATATTTTGTATATTTTGCCCACTTTTCTAATTATCACTAATGGGAGGGTTGTCTGTTGCCCCAGTGCTCCATTATCAGAATCATTCGGCAAGTAGCCATTAAAAAAAAAATCCCATTTGTCCATTTCAGTTTGCTAAATCTTGTTGCATTTAATTATCTATCTTTAACTCACTATTATGTTGTTGTTTGCTTTACTGTACATGTTAGTTGCAGGTTGGGGAGGATATCTAATTCTCATTCAATAGAGTGCATATCATTGTGTACTATTGCAAACGTAATCACCATGGAGTTCATTAAGTGTTAAATAATTAGATAATTCATGTTTAAATGTTTATATTATGCAGAAATGTTTGGAGGATTGTTTTATAGATGTTTGAGAGGGTTTTAGTGATATTTGGAGAAACTGGAGTTTCTGCACAGGCTAGGAATACATTCCTATTTTCTCATTTAAAATAACTTCATATGGGCTTATTTGATCTGAGAATTGTTTTCAGGAATGAATTAACCTGGGAGGATCGTAGTTCTAATTGTAGCATATAGTGTACCTCTGTTTTGCATGCTTATATCACAAATGTATTTGTAGGCTTCTTACCATATCACGCTCCCAAGGAAGATGTTGACAAAAGCCTCGTAATCCCCCACCTGGAGAGAAGTTAACCAATACAAGAGTGTCTCTAGGAGGAGATTTAAAGTGGTAGAAAATCGCAAGTCTAATGGTTATTTTTATAGGAACCCTGAATGAAATAGCTGGTTTGCTCATGAGCGTAACCATTCTTGCTTGATTCTTACTTCTGCACCCAGATCTTAAGTGCAAGTGAGCCCAAGAATATGGGCCCATCCACACCTGCCCTCTAGGTGATCTCACAAGCTCTTGGCTTCAGCCACCACCCATAGACTGCCAACCTGCAGATCTGCATCTCAGTTTGTTCCTGACCCCTGTTAATTCATACTGCTCCCTCATGACAGTCTCCACCTGGTGTCTCATCACCTCCCACCTCAGTTCAATTGATGTCAAACCTGATGTTTGCCTCTGCTCCCCACCTCAGATTCTGCTCTCCTCTACCTCTCAGACCAAGGTATCATCATCCACCACAGATTGATTAATGGCCCCCAGGAAGTTAGTTACCAAGTCATAGCACCTCCACCTCCTATGTATTTCTTTTTTTCCTTAAAAACTTTCAAACCTACAGAAAAGTTGCAAAATATGTGAGAATAATGAATATCAATATACCTGTTTCCTTAAATTTACCACTTGTGAACATTTTGTCACATTTGCTTTCTCTCTCTCTCATATATATATATATATAAAATATGTGTATCTGTGTAATAGTAATAGTGATATAATTATTTGTTGAGTCATTTTGTAAGTCACAGACATGAGACTCTTCACTCCTCATACTTCAGTATGTATCTCTGGAGAACACGGAAGTTCTCTTTTACAACTGTAATACAATTAAATTTAGGACATTTAACATTAATTCAATGTTATTTACTATAATAATAAATATGTTAGTTACAAATCTTAATATAACAAATTAATATGTTAGTTATAAGTTTATATTCAAATTTCACTTGTGCCAATAATGCCTTTTTTTACTTTAAAAAAAATTTTTTTTTTCATTTTTCGGACAGTCTTGCTCTGTTGCCCAGGCTGGAGTGCAGTGGTGCAATCTCAGCTCACTGCAACCTCTGCCTCCAGGGTTCAAGCGATTCTCGTGCCTCAACCACCTGAGTAACTGGGATTACAGTTGCAGGCCACTATGCCTGGTTAATTTTTGTATTTTTAGTAGAGATGGAACTTCACCATGTTGCCCAGGCTGGTCTCAAACTCCTGGACTCAAGTGATCTGCCTGCATCAGGCACCCAAAGTGCTGGGATCACAGGTGTAAGCCACTGTGCCTGGTCAATAATGTCCTTTCTAGCTTTTTTTTTTTTTTCCCCGCAATCCTGGAGCCAATCTGAGATCAGTTGTTGCACTTAGTTCTTATCTTTCTTTAGTCTAATCTGGAACAGTTCTTCACCTCAGTCTTTTTTTTTTTTTTTGAGATGGGGTCTTGCTGTGTTGCTCAGGGTAGAGTGCAGTGGCTATTCACAGGTGCAGTCATAGCTACCACAGCCTTGAACTCCTGGGCCCAAGTGACCCTGCCTCAGCCTCCCAAGTATCCCAAGTAGCTGGGACTAGAGACAAGGTCCTCAGCCATTTTTTTTGTTTTTGGCTTTTGTGAAATTGGGAGTCTTTTTTTTTTTTTGAAACAAAGTCTTGCTCCGTCACCCAGGCTGGAGTGCAGTGGTGCAATCTCGGCTCACTACAACCTCCGCCTCCTGGGTTCAAGCGATTCAAGCCTTCTGAGTAGCTAGGATTATAGGCGTGTGCCACCACACCTGGCTAATTTTTGTATTTTTAATAGAGACAGGGGTTTCACCATGTTGGTCAGGCTGGTCTTGAACTCCTGACCTCGTGATCTGCCCGCCTCAGCTTTCCAAAGTGCTGGGATTACAGGCATGAGCCACGGCACCTGGGGAGTTGGAGTTGGGAGACTTAAACAGCCCACACCAGTTGTTTTCTAGAATGTTGGAGTTGGGAGTCTTAAACAGCCCACACCAGTTATTTTCTAGAATGTTCCTTGATGGAGGTGGACACCTTAATCAAGTGATCAAAGTTGACATCACGAACAGAGTTTAGGTTGACATCATGTATCTTCCAGTGTGCTGCAGTAGGTGAGATACAACTTCACCTACATTATATACAGGACCTGAATCGGATCATGAGGAAACCATCGGACACATCTCTTTCACCCTTAGAATAAAGTCTGCACTCCATAACAAGTCACAGAGGTCTCTGTGGTCTATCACCTTTGTCTCTGACCACGTCGTCTATGTGGTAGACACTGGCTGCCCACACAACACCTTTCCCTACTTGGCTTCCCTACTTTTGTTCTGGTGGCTTTCAGGGAAGCTAGGCCCTCCCCAAGTCCAGGGAGTGAACCACGATTGGTCCATGTCTAATACAGCAAGCCCATTCCCACTTGCCACTAATTGGTTTTGGGATGGCCGTGTGCCATCAATTTCTGCCAATCAACACTCACAAGTTCGTTTCATGGGGAGCTTCTGGAAAAAAATGTACTCCTTGATAAAAGGATGGCAAGTTCAGGCCGGGCACGGTGGCTCACGCCTGTAATCCCAGCACTTTGGAGGCCGAGGCAGGCGGATCACAAGGTCAGGAGATCGAGACCATCCTGGCTAACACGGTGAAACCCCGTCTCTACTAAAAATACAAAAAAATTAGCCGGGTGTGGTGGCGGGCGCCTGTAGTCCCAGCTACTCGGCGGGGCTGAGGCAGGAGAATGGCGTGAACCCGGGAGGTGGAGGTTGCAGTGAGCCGAGATCGTGCCACTGCACTCCAGCCTGGGCACAGAGGGAGACTCCGTCTCAAAAAAAAAAAAAAAAAAAAAAAAGAGATGGTAAGTTCTCCGCTCACTGCAAGCTCCGCCTCCTCGGTTCATGCCATTCTCCTGCCTCAGCCTCCTGAGTAGTTGGGACTACAGACACCCGCCACCATGCCTGGCTAGTTTTTTGTATTTTTAGTAGTGACGGGGTTTCACCGCATTAGCCAGGATGGTCTTGATCTCCTGACCTCATGATCCGCCCGCCTCAGCCTCCCAAAGTGCTGGGATTACAAGCATGAACCACAGCACCCAGCCCTTATCTTTTTACTAGCTTAAACATGGCAGGGGAAGATATGATGCCTAACGCTGTTGGCAATCACCTTGACAGGCCCAAGGATGCTGCAGGATGGAAAGGTGGAGACCTGGCGCTTTCACACCGCACTCATTCTGAAACCATCTGCCGGGGCGGGGTGGGGTGTGTGTGTGTGTGAGATTGTTAAATGTCTCTGCCACGTATGCCATTGTTGGCTCAGTGTGCTGCCACCTGCAGCCAAGCACACTCTTAGCTGACACACCCTACCTACCTCCTCCTGCTCTCCCACTCTTCTTCCCACAAGCCCTCTCTCCCCTGGATGCCTAACTCCTACTCACCTTAAGCTTCAGCAGAGACATGACTTCTTCCAGACACATTCCTTTATCCTCCAAGACTGGGCCGAGTGCCTCTCCTGTAGCACCCTGTACCTACTCCTACGGGAGCCTTTCTGATCACCAGACCTAATTCCCATAATGCATTTCTCCCTTTAGTCTGGTTACTTTATTGCTGCCATATTTAAAGTTGGTTTTTAAAAACATCTGTAGGCCAGGCACAGTGGCTCACACCTGTAATCCCACCGCTTTGGGAGGCCGAGGCGGGCGTGTCACCTGAGATCAGGAGTTCAAGACCAGCCTGGGCAACATGGTGAAACTAAATCTCTCTAAAAATCTCTACTAAAAATACAAAAATTAGCCAGGTGTGGTGGTGGGCGCCTGTAATCCCAGCTACTTGGGAGGCTGAGGCTTGAGAATCACTTGGACCTGGGAGGTGGAGGTTGCAGTGAGCTGAGATTGTGCCATTGTACTCCAGCCTGGGCAACAAGAGCAAAACTCCATCTCAAAAAAACAAAAACAAACAAAAAACATCTGTAGAGGGAAGTTTTATGGAAGTATTACTGCAAAGCTACAGAACACATTTTTTATTAGCCTAAGCCAGGGCTCAGGAAGAAGTGGAAAGAAGAGTCCCTTATAATAGCTGACAGGTTCCCTTTTAGCCTTTGATTCAACCATAACTCAAGGTTGACCTTTTCATGACAAATCCCTAGCCGGAGGACAAGTGTTGAAGTCCTACGGAATGCTAGGAGAAACTGGGCAAGTGTCTAATTGCAAAGTCACACTGCCGGGAAAGTGGAACCTGTATCTGTCTGACTTCAGAGGGTACAGATTTGACTTATGTGATTATAGAGGTGAAGGCTGGAGCAAAGTAAGGGCAAAATGCAGGGACATACATTCTCATTCAATATTAAGTGGGACTTTTTGACCATGATCATTAGTCAAAACTGGAATGGGGCCGGGCACAATGGCTCACACCTGTAATCCCAGCACTTTGGGATGCCAAGGTGGGAGAATCACATGAGCCCAGGAGTTAAAAGCTAGTCTGGGCAACATAGTGAGACCCCATCTCTACAAAAAACAAAAAAAATCAGCTGGGTGTGGTGGTGTGCACCTGTAGTCCAAGTTACTTAGGAGGCTGAGATGGGAGGGTCCCTTGAACCTGGGAGATTGAGGCTGCAGTGAGCTATCACACCACTGCACTCCAGTCTGGGCAACAGAGTAAGACCCTGGTTTTGGTTTTGTTTTGTCTCAAAACAAAACTAAAAACTGGAATGGGCTGCCTTTTTTCACTGGGAAGGTTCACGTAGAAGTTGGATTATCATTTCTTTCAGGGATATTATGGGGGGGAATCCCCAGCTGCTTCAGAATTGGTCTAGATGCCCTTTAAATGCCCCTTCCAGCCCTAGAATTTTGTAATACACAATTCTAAGATTCTGTGATTTGGTGTCTCCCGGGAAATCCACACGCAGCAGTTAGAGACCCTGCCACCAGAGGGCAGTGTTATCACATTTGGTCCAATTGCATAGAAGGAACCAAAGTTCCCTCCAGGGCTCCGACTAGAGAACGCCCAGTTGTTTATTTTTTTGAGATAGGGTCTCGCTTTGTCACCTAGGCTGGAGTGCAGTGATGCCATCAGAGCTCACTGCAGCCTCGACCTCCCGGGCTCAAGTGATCCTCCTTCAGGCTCCCAAGTAACCGGGACTACAGGCGTGCACCACCATGGTTGGCTAATTTTTACATTTTTTGTAGAGACAGGGTCTCAATATGTTGCCCAGGTTGGTCTTGAATTCCTGGCCTCAAGTGATCCTCCTGCCTCGGCCCCCCAAAGTTCTGGAATCACAGGAATGAACCACCTTGCCCAGCCGAGAGTGCCAAGTTCAGAACTATCACAGGGGTGATGTGCCCTTTTGTGAAGGTGGAGAGGGACCCACCAAAGAAGTAGTGTTCCTCTCTCCACCACCCCAGACAGTGATTTCTGCCTGCCAACAGATTGGAGAGAGGTCAGAATGCTGGAAGACACGCCATTCCCAGAGAGCCAGTGTGTTCTGAGGGCTGGGAACTGGCAGGGAGCCCTCCCTCATGGCGCTGCCCCCACCACAGCTCTCCAAAGACTAGGAGGGCAAGGAAAGGAAAGGGTCGAGGAGTATTAGAAGATCACAACGGAAACCCTGCCACGGGAGGGAGGGTTGACAGACTCAGGAATGTTCAGCCTAAAGAAGAGAAAAATTGTAGGGACCTATTTTGAGAACTGATTTCCATGAAGGTTGTTCTGTAGGGCTTTGGGTAGAAACACCAGGTCAGCGGCCGGGGCCAGTGGCTCATGCCTGTAATCCCAGCACTTTGGGTGGCTGAGGTGGGGGAATCACCTGAGGTCGGGAGTTTGAGTTCAGCCTGGCCAACATGGTGAAACCCCGTTTCTACTAAAAATACAAAAATTAGCCAGGCATGGTGGTGCATGCCTGTAATCCCAGCTACTTGGGGGGCTGAGGCAGGAGAACCGCTTGAACCCGGGAGGCGGAGGTTGCAGTGAGCCGAGATCGCGCCATTGCACTCCAGCCTGGGTGACAGAGTGAGACTGTCTCAAAAAAATTAAAAAAAGAAAGAAATAGCAGGTCAGCATGCAGATGCCACCGGGGGGCAGGTCTCATCTGGATTGAAGGAAGAACTTTCTGGCAATGTCAGGAAGGACACTACCCTGGGAGGCAGCTCATTCTTTCATTTACTCTATATGTGTTTACTATGTGCACACTTCAGCCCTGGTAGTCTCTAGTTGCTGAGGATATAGTAGTGAACAAAACAGCTAACTGCCTGCCCTCACGGAGCTGACCCACTGGTGTCTGGACATCCTGGGAGATGAGGTGGAACGTGCAGGGGCCATGTGGAGCATTAGCTTGGATGGACTTGACCTGCTCCGGAGATTCCGTAACTTTCTTGGCTTTAAGAAACCTAGTTTGTTTTCATTTCTCTGATACAGACTTTCAAAATTTGGAAAGAACTTCACCAAGACTGTATTGTTTTCATGGTTTCCAGTAGAAGCAAGCCTGTGAATTAGTATATAGGGATGCAACAAAATTTTTTTATATGGCAGTGGTAAAAATTGCCTTTGGATAAGTCTTAGGAAAAGAAAATTTCTCCATTTAAAAACAAGCTCTAAGTCTAGTGTAGTGGCTCATGCCTGTAATCCCAACACTTTGGGATGCTGAGGTGGGAGGATTGCTTGAGCCTAAGAATTCAAGACCTGTCAGGGCAACATAGTGAGAACCCATCTCTAGAAAAATAAAAGCCTGGCATAGCTGCACGTCGGTACTGCTACTGTACTGTACTGGAGGCAGAGGCAGGAAGATTGCCTGTACCCAGGAGTTCAAGGCTGCAGTGAGCCATGATTGTGCCACTGCACTCCAGCCCGAGCCGCAGAGCAAGACTCTAAGAAAGCAAAGAAGCTCCAGTTGGTCTATTTTTTTAATGTTTCTTTTATTTAAGCTATATTGGGACATTAACATTGTCAACATGAGGAATTCTTTGTAGAGAACAGCCGGGTCACAGACATTACATATTCCGTCCTTGACATGACCATGTAGGAACTCAACTGAAACAGATCCATCATTACTGTCATCCAAATGCTTACTGCCGTTCCAGAGAAGCCCCACTCATTTTCATTCCTCTAATGGCGGGTTTTACATTCTCAAGCTCATTTTCCACCATAGCGCTCTTTATTCTTCACCACCTGTCTCTTCCTGGCTTGCACTTTCTTTTGCATAGTAAACATTCTCAGGACAGACCCAGTTTTCCATTTTCATATTTTCTCCCTCTGAATGGACTGCAGTTGAGATCTGTATTACCCTGGAAAGAGAGAGAAAGAGAGATGGTGAGCAAGGTGAGCAAGTCCATGTGGGTCAGAGCTGGGAGCTCTGACATCTTTGCTCCTGTCTTGCTGGAAAGACAGCTCCCTGGGATGCCTAGGAAGCTTCTGCAAAGGCTTCCTTCCTAGTAATGGATACTGTTGAGTTATACCTAGCTTGTTCTGCATGAGGTTTTGAGGGTTTAGAGACACCTTTGGGCATAATGTGCCCATACAAGTCATTGAGTGGGCTCAGAGTGCAGTGCCCTGGGATACAGAGCTCTCCCTGAGAGCCTGCCTGTGATGTGTCACAAGGGGTTTTGCTATTGTGATGTGACCATCTTCCAAAGAAAGAAAAGCTACTTCATGTCTCATCCCACAAATGGATTTTTAAAATTAGTAAGGTTTCCTTATGGAGTTTATGGAATACTTGCACCCAGTAGAGCCATTCACAGCCTCACCCCTGCCTACCCTACCCTGCTAGCTTCATCCCCCACCGCGCTGCAGCTCTCTGAGCCCATCTACTCCAGCCAGCCTGTGCCCTTGTGCACATCCCACCTTTGCACTTTTGTGTGTGTTGGGCCTTCTGTCTGGAATTCCCTTCTCTCCTCTGCCTGGTGAAGGATCGGTTTTATTTATTCTCTTAAATTTCTGTTAAAATATTTTATATTTATGTTTTTAATTTTTTTCTTTTCAGTTTTTTTTTATTTTTTTATTTTTCTGGAGACGGACTCTCACTCTTGTTGCCCAGGCTGGAGTGGCACAATCTCGGCTCACTGCAACCTCTGCCTCACAGGTTCAAGCAATTCTCCTGCCTCAACCTCCTGAGTAGCTGGGATTACAAGGACCTGCCATCATGCCTGGCTTATTAAATAAAAACAAAATGGATGGATCAGGACATGGAGAGTAGACCCCAGAGGCACAGCCTCATCACCTCTGGGTGCCGGTGGCAGGATAGCAGCCTGATGGCATGGAAGTAGATCCTTGCTGTGACAGAGCAATTGTACCAGGTCCAGCCAAACCAGGGCAGGGGACCTGCTTTAAAGGATGTCTAATCCTGGAGCCTAAGACTCCTAGTGGAAGGAGCTGAACTGCCTTCTGAGTCTGGGTGTACAGGAAGCCTCATGAGTAGTTCCCACCTAGGTCAGAGCTCACTGGGAGGGATCCCTTTCAGGTTTTTGCCTGAAAGGTAAAACACATTAATGCAGAGACAAGCTTCTGATTTCCTTAACTTCCTGACCTAACCATTATTTCAGGGTTAGAGAATTCAGAAAAAGATTCTGTGCCCCATATTTTATCTCCTCCCTAAGCAAACGGTCAGATAAAGCTCAGCTTCACATCAAAGTTCAATGGGGTTATCGCTTTTGGCCAAAACCCAAACTGACCACCATTACTGAAAGATAGCGAATCGTAACTGAGCAGGGAAACTTACCCTCCTCACTAGGGGCTGATTCAACAAGCTGTTGATTCAGTGAGGCCAGATATAATTCCCAGAAGCCACGGAGGTCGGTGCTTAGGGTTCAGCCCCACCCCACCTCCCAAAGCGAACCAGTCTTTGATTTTTTGCTGCCCTGATTAATCCCACATAGAGGGCAACCATATCAATCTCCACAGTAACTTCAAATAAAAGATAACTTGCCTTTTCATAGCACAGGGTGTGTGTGACCATGAGCAAGTCACCAAACTTCTCCAAGCTCATTTTCCTCACCTGACAAACGGGGATATTTATACCTACCTTGTAGGGTAGAAAAGAGAGTGAAAAGCATTTTCCATGCACTTAGCCACCACCACGCTCATTTTTTACATTTTTTTGTAGAGATAGGGTCTTGCTATGTTGCCCAGGCTGGTCTCGAACTTCTGGCCTCAAGTGATCCTCCCACCTTGGCCTCCCAAAGTGTTGGGATTAGAGGCGTGAGACACTGCGCCCAGCCCTTTCAGTTGCCTTTTCTTTCTTAGCACTTGGCTCTTGTTAAAGGAGAAACCTCCACACCCTGGCTCCATGTATCTGGGTGGTTCTCAAACTCAGTCACACATCTGAGTCACCTGGAGGGCTTGCTAAATCACAGATGCTGGGCCCACCCCCAGAGCTGCTGATGCATAGGTCTGGAGCCAGGCCTAAGAATAGGCACTTCTAAGAATGTCGTAGGTGACACTGATGCTGCTGGTCCCGGGACCATGTTTTGGGATCCACTCCTCCAGAATCACATTCTGTGCCTTACCCCTCATTTTCCTTTTGCTTCTGTCCATGGGAAAAGGAGTGATTGATCTTGTTTTTGGAATAAGGAACCAGGAAGGCAGAGCTGAGCCCCATCTAATCTCTCCTTTTAGATCTACTCCCAGGGATGATGGGTTCTGATTGTTCCTCTCCTAGGAATAGTGGCTACTCCCCGGGGATCAAGCCTGCATTTGTTCAGTTCTGGTTTTTTTTTTTTTTTTTTTTTTTTTTTAGACAGAGCCTCGCTCTGTCACCCAGGCTGGAGTGCAGTGGCGTGATCTTGGCTCACTGCAACTCGTGCCTCCTGGGTTCAAGCAATTCTAGTGCCTCAGCCTCCCGAGCAGCTGGGATTACAGGCGTGTGCCATCACGCCTGGCTAATTTTGTATTTTTAGTAGAGTTGGGGTTTCAGGTATCTTTAATTTTGAGGCAAAGTATGAGGATGCCTATGGTGGACACACATTAAAGCCCCATCCTCAATCTAGAATTATGGCATATTAAAACTGGTATTTGGGTCAGGCATGGTGGCTCATGCCTGTAATCCCAGCACTTTGGGAGGCTGAGGCAGGTGGATCACAAGGTCAAGAGACTGAGACCATCCTGGCCAACATGGTGAAACCCCGTCTCTACTAAAAATACAAAAATTAGCTGGGCATGGTGGTGTGCACCTGTAGTCCTAGCTACTTGGGAGAACTGCTTGAACCTGGGAGGCGGAGGTTGCAGTGAGCCGAAATCCCACCACTGCACTCCAGCCTGGTGACAGAGTGAGACTCTCAAATAAATAAATAAAACTAGTATTTTGACTTTTTTTTCTTTGAGATGGGGCCTCACTGTGTTGCCCAGGCTGGAATGCTAGATCATTGTAACCTCAGACTCCTGGGCTCAAGGGATCCTCCTATCTCAGCCTCCTGAGTAACTGGGACTACAGGTGTGCACCACCATGCCTGGATAATTTTTTTTTATTTTTGTAGAGACAGGGTTTCACTGTGTTGCCCAGGCTGGTCTTGAACTCCCGGGCTTAAACCATTTTCCCCCTTGGCCTCTGAAAGTACTAGGATTTACAGGCACAAGCCACTGTGCCCAGCCTATTTTAACTTTTATATATTTATCTCCAATATTTTTTGTCCTTGATTAGTTCTGAATTAAGGGGAATAAAGACTACTTTAAATTGTTTCCTTAAAATCCCACCTGCACTCAGTGTTCAAGAAATGGTAGCTGTGATGATAATTATCATTTTCTTAGTGTTAGAGACCTGAATTCAACCAGGATTGATGAAATCTCCAGTGAAAAATGATATTGTGGGGGACACGAAAGATAACACACATTGCCATAAGCTTGTGGACGTCCCTGTGACTGTACTAAGCACCTAGGTTCCAAGGCTAGTGTCAAGTGGCATCACACTTGGGAACCGCCCTTCTGTGCAGATGGGGGAACATCAGGTCGGCCAGCACCTGTGATACAGGTGAACAGCACCCCACCCGAGGGCTGTGACACTCTAGAGGAGTTTTGCAGCTGAAGAAGGAGGGGAAGAGCTTTGGGGTTCCTGTTGCATGAGACTGGGTGTGACAAAGACTGGAGCTGGGGAGCAGGGGGAGTATGGCTGGGTCACATAGTACCAATACTAGCAGCAAAGCCAGTGCAGGGAAGGAGCGCTCTGAGCGAGACCGTCCAGAGCGGAGTCCACACCTACCAGTTGTGGCCTAGGACACGGAGGGCCTCACTCCTCAGAAAGGGTTTTCGAGGTGCCTGTCTTGGACACCTGGATGATCTCCACAGAGGTGATGCCCTTGCCGGCCACGCGGTGTCTGGTGCGCAGCTTGTTTAGGGCAGTCTCTGCCATGCCAGCCCGGTCCTCAGCGTCATCCAGCTCATGCACCGTCTTCCTGTATCGAGCCAAGGTCTGGTTGGCCTGGTCCTCCTGTGACAAAGGCACGGCGGGAAACGGGGCATAAACGTGGCTGGTTCTGGTTAAGTGTGCATTAAAAAAAAATTTTTTTTTTGAGAGACAGTCTCGCTCTGTCGCCCAGGCTGGAGTGCAGTGGTCTGATCTCGGCTCGCTGCAACCTCCACCTCCTAGGTTCCAGCAATTCTCCTGCCTTAGCCTCCCAAGTAGCTGGGATTAAGGTGCCCGCCACCACGCCTGACTAATTTTTGTATTTTCAGTAGAGATGGGTTTCACCATGTTGGCCAGGCTGGTCTCAAACTCCTGACCTCAGGTGATCCACCTACCTCGACCTCCCAAAGTGCTGGGATTACAGGCATGAGCCACCATGCCTGGCCTCTTTACAAGTTCTTATCTCTGGTGTGTAGTGTCTGGTCCTCCCTCCCACTGGATTCCAAGGAGGAGACACCATGGACATGAGCCTCGCAGAGTCATCTTAGGGCCAGTGCTTGCTTCTTTCCCTGTGGTTAATTCCCAGCAAGGCTGGCGACCCGCACTGAGAAACAAGAGTGAGGGAAGGAGGAGTGGGGAGGCGCATGGACACCCACCGCCTCCTCAATCTGCCTCTTGTAGACCTTCAGCTTGTTCTGAAGCTTCTCCACCAGCGCCTGCATGCGCTGATTGGTCTTGTGGTCCTCCTCTGTCTGGAAGACCAGCTCTTTGAGGCGACGCTCATTCTTACACAGTGTCTTGACTGTCTCCACGTGCTGTTTCTGTTCCCCATCCAGCTCTGTCTCTAGTTCCTTGATCTGTGGGAGGAAGAGAGGAATGCGGCTGAGCGAACGTGTGTGTTTTGTTTTTTGTTTTTCTGACAGGGTCCTGCTCTGTTGCCCAGGCTGGAGGGCAGTGGCGTGATCATGGCTTACTGCAGCCTTGACCTCCTGCGCTCAAGTGATCCTCCTGCCTCAGCCTCCTGGAACATGTGGTTTTGAGCTTCAGAGCTCAGTGGCCTCAGACAGGGGCGTTGTGGCTGCAGTGTCCACTGCCTGCCCAGAGGTGAGGGGATGGACCCTGGACAGGAGAGTTGGGTGGGCTCTGGCTTTTATAGGCCATGCTGTGATTGTCAGACACTTTCTCTTGAGCCTCAAATTCCCTCATCTGGGAAATGGGGGTGTTAGGGAGTCAGACAAAATGATGGAATCTTCTGGGCCCTTCCAGCTCTGGCATTTCATGGGGTAAAGACTAAGGCTTGTTTTCTTTCAGTTAGTAAAAAAAGGCAAGGAGAATATTGGGGACTGCTCTGCTTGAGGCTAAGGACATTCTGGGGAGGAAGGTGACAGGGAGGGAAAGAGGAGAGGAGAACTTGAGAGAAATTAGAGCTCTTCCCTCAATTTCCTTTTCTCTTTCTTTCCCTCCCTTCCTTCTTTCTTTCTTTCCTTCTTTTCTCTTTTTTTCTGAGACAGGGTCTGGCTCTGTCACCCAGGCTGAAGTGCAGTAGTGCTATCATAGCTCACTGTAGCCTCAACCTCCTGGGCTCAAGCAATCCTCCCAACTCAGCCTCCTGAGTAGCTGGGACTACAGGCATGTGCCACCACACCCAGCTAATTTAACATTTTTTTTTTAAGAGATGGAGGTCTCACTATGTTGCCCCGGCTGGTCTCAAACTCCTGGCCTCAAGCGATCCTCCCGCCTTGGCCTCCTAAAGTATTAGGATTACGGGCGTGAGCCACTGCACCTGGTCCTTTCAATTTCTTCTTAACAGTTGCATAACCCGATTCTTCATCAAATGCAGGACATGTTTTTGGCAAAAGACAGGCATCTCACACACATACCCCCCGCCCCGCCAGATCCCCATTCCTCCCTTGGCTGAGCCCTGCATCGCCCTTACCCTGGCCTCCAGCTTCATGATCGTTCGCTTGCCGCCTTTCAGAGCCAGCTGCTCGGCCTCCTCCATCTTGGCTTGCAGGTCTTTGATGGTGACCTCGTAGTTCTTCTTGATCTTCTCCAGGTGCATGCAGTGGTCCTGCTCTTGCCGGAGTTCTTCTGCCATGCGGGCAGCCTGCAGGTGGGGAAAAGAAGAGCAGGGGTTGGAGCTGGGTGCTACCCAGGCTCATAGCTCCTTTGAGAGATGTGAGGCCTTGTCTCCCGGTCTCTAGGAAACCAACTGGTTGACAAGGGAAGCCCCGCTGACATGCTGCTGGGGTTTGGTGGAAGGGGTGCTCTATGCTCCCCTTTGCCCCCGAGAGGGGAGGGGGAGCCAAGCTCATGCCTCCCATCCCCACAGACTCCCAGCAGCTGGGCACACTCAAGCCAAACCCTACTGACTGCTGTCTCCATGAGGGGCACAGCATGGAGGGTGAGAAAAGCACAGCCTCTGGAGTTGGAAGACCCAGGACTGTGTCTGGCCCTGAGTGACCTTCAGCATGTTGCTTATCCCCTCTCAGTCCCTTTCTCCTTACATTCATTCTACAAATGTTCATGAGGGTCTACCGTGGGCCGGACATGGGCCTGTGCTCTTGGGAGGTAGCAACAAGTAAGACCAGCAATGTTCCTGAACTCCTGAGATTTCGATCAAGTGAGAGGAGCCTGATGATGAAAATCTGTATTCCTTCATCTTCCAAGTGGGGAGTAAACAGAACCCACCACTCGAGGCTGGTGTGAACACCCGAAGGGATACTGGGCTGAGAGCACTTGGGGGCATATCCTGCCAACATCCTCCACTGCGTCCCCAGGCTCATCCACCAATGTCCTCCTCTGCGTCCCTGGGCTCATCCATCTTCCTTTTACTAGCCCTTCCCTCAAGGCTGTTTGCTTTTATTGTTATTGTTATTATTTCATGTTCTGAGACAGGGTCTTGTTCTGTCGCCCAGGCTGCAGTGCAGTGGCGGGATCATGACTCACTGCAACCTCAAACTCCTGGGTTCAGGTGATCCTCCTGTCTCAGCCTTCTGAGTAGCTGGGACTACAGGCACATGCCATGATGCCCGGCTAATTTTTAACATTTTTAGTAGAGACAGGGTCTTGCTATGTTGCCCAGGCTGGTCTTGAACTTATGGCCTCAAGCAGTCCTGCTGCCTTGGCCTCCCAAAGTGCTGGGATTACAAGCGTGAGCCACCATGCCTGGCCCAAGGCTGTTTTAATGCATCTCATTGCCAAAAAGGCTGCCCAGATGAACCCACTTTGATGGCTTCTTTGATGCAAGACCCCGGGCCTTGTGCTATAATCTTTCACATAATCACCTAGAGCTTGTAATTCTTTCTTACTTTCACGTGTGTGGCTTTTTTAGAAAAGCCTTGGGCTCCTCCAGAGCAGGGCCACATTCTCCCTGGCAGGGAACCATGCTCGGGTCCACAGTGGCCCACGATGGGAGGAGGTGGCCTTCCTGCCCAGGCAGCCTGGTCCTCAGCAGGCGCCTAGGCCCTGCCTGCTAGCAGCAAGGGGCACACGCACTTACGTCCATCATGGCCTTCTTGGCCCTCTCTTCGGTCAAGCGGAACTCACTGATGAGCTCCTCATGCTCGTTGGAGATGCGCTGGACATCTGACTCCAGCTTGCGTTTGACCACGAGGAGGCTCTGGTTCTGGAGGAAGAAATGGAGATATCACTATGAGCCAGGGGTCTGCATGGGCCTTCCTGTGTCCAGGAAAGAACATGACCTCTGCCAGACATGCTTGCCAGACCCCAACAGGAAATGGCCCTGGGCCCTCTGCGTGGGGTATGGGTCCCTCTCCTGCATTCTTTTTTTTTTCTTTTTTTTTTTTTTAGGCAGGATCTTGCTCTGTTACTCAGGCTGGATTATGCAGTTGTGCAATCACAGCTCACTGCGGCCTCAATCTCTTAGGCTCAAGCGATCCTCCCACCTCAGCCTTCCAAGTACCTGGGACTACAGATGCACACCACCACACCCAACTAATTTTTCATATGTTTTTAGAGACAGAGTCTGGCTATGTTGCCTAGGTTGGTCTTGAACTCTTGGCCTCAAGCAGTCCTCCCACCTCTGCCTCCCATAGTGCTGGGATTACAGACGTGAGCCACTGTGCCTGGCCAGGATTATATATTTTATTTTATTTTTATTTTTGAGTCAGAGTCTCTCTCTGTCGCCTAGGCTGGAATGCAGTGGCATGATCTTGGGTCACTGCATCCTCGACCTCTGGGGTTCAAGTGATTCTTGTGCCTCAGCCTCCCAAGTAGCAGCTGGGATTATGGTATGCATCACCACACATGGCTAATTATTGTATTTTTAGTAGAGATGGGGTTTCACCATGTTGGCCAGGTTGGGATGTGTGTGTGTGTGTGTGTGTGTGTGTGTGTGTGTGTGTGTGTGTGTATATATTTTTTTTTTTTTGAGATGGTCACTCTGTCACCCAGGCTGGAGTGCAGTGGCATGATCTTGGCTCACTGCAACTTCCGCCTCCCGGGTTCAAGCAATTCTCCTGCTTCAGCCTCCTGAGTACTTGGGATTACAGGTGTGTGCCACCACACCTGGCCAATTTTTGTATTTTTAGTAGAGACGGGGTTTCATCATGTTGGCCAAGCTGGTCTCGAACTGCTGACCTCAGGTGATCTGCCCACCTCAGCCTTCCAAAGTGCTGGGATTATAGGCATGAGCCACAGTGCCTGGCCCAGGCTGGGATATATTTTATATCCTGGACTTTTAAGTCACAATTTTACAAAAAGCTCTGCAGATGAGTTTTGAGGATTTGCTGAGTGGGGTGCACTGCCTGCCTCTGAGTTTTGAGGGGGGCTCACGTGGTTTGGGCACCATCCCGGCCTCACCCCAGCACCCCCTAACCCCCGGAGTGTGGGTGCGAGTGGCACTGACCCAGGAGCCCTGTCCTACCTGGATGTTGATCTCGTTGTGCCATTCGGTGATCTCCACCACTTCCTGCTCCAACAGCTTGCGTGAACGCTCGCTGCCCTCCAGGGCTGAGCGCACCTCCTCCAGCTCCGTCTGCAGCAGGCTCAAGCGCCGCTCCTGCAGGTTGTACTGCTTCCGCAGCTCCTCGTGCTGCCTGGCATCCTCGTCCATCTGGACCTGCAGGTCCTGGGGGGCACAGGGACCCAGCCTCAGCCCATACACTGGGCCGTGGTATCACCTTGGGGGTGGCCAGGCGTGAGGGCGCTGTGACCTTTATCGACTGGGTTCAGCAGGAAACTGGGCAGGCGGGGAGGCCACAGAAGAAGAGTGAGGAACAGACCTGGTCTTGGGAAGTTTATGGTATGGTGGAGCCCCAGCAGGGCCAGGACCCAGGAAGTTATCTAACATAAGGTCAACATGAAGTCAAACCTTTCCTGATGATAGAGCACCTGGTGTTCCCAGCACAGCCTTCTCCAGGAGGCCTTCCCAGTGACCTCTGCCAATCATATTCTAATCCTGGCTAGGCTGATGCTCCGCTCTCTTCTGTCCTCTTATTTCTCTCTCTCTCTTTTTTTTTTTTTTTTTTTTTTTGAGACAGAGTCTTGCTCTGTCCCCTAGGCTGGAGTTCAATGGCATGATCTCAGCTCCACTACAATCTCCGCCTCCCGGGTTCAAGTGATTCTCCTGCCTCACCTTCCCAAGTACCTGTGATTACAGGTGCCTGCCACCACACCTGGCTAATTTTTATATTTTTAGTAGAGATGGGGTTTTGCCAGGTTGCTCAGGCTGGTCTCAAACTCCTGACCTCAAGTGATTTGCCCACCTCGGCCTCCCAAAGTGCTGGGATTACAGGCGTGAGCTACTGCGCCTGGCCTGTCCTCTTATTTCTCCATAGGACTTATCACCAGTTTTAATAATACAGTTTTATTTTTGTTGCTGTCTGCTTGGGGATGTTTGTCTGTTTTGTCCACTCTGTTTTGTTTTTGAGACAGGGTCTCTGTCACCCAGGTTGGAGTGCAGTGGTGTAGTCACAGCTCACTGCAATCTCCAACTCCTGGGCTCAAGCGATCCTTCCACCTCAGGCTCCTGAGTAGCTGGAACTACAGGCACGAGCACCACCATGCCTGGCTAATTTTATTTTTTGTGGAGATGGGGTCTCGCTATGATGCCCAGGCCAGTCACGAACTCAAGCCTGGCGTCAAGCAATCCTCTCTCTTCAGCCTCCTGAGTAGCTGGGACTACATGTGAACACCAAATGTGTCCAGCATTGTCTTGTCCACTCTTGGACACCTAAAACAGTACCTGGTTAGGGCACATCTCCAGTTAGCAAGTGTTGGATGTGTGGTTCCAGCCATGTATACTGTAAAGACCAGCCTCATAATGGAATGATTGTAAAGGGGTCTTCAGCTCTGTTTGTGTTTATTTTTTAAAGCAAGTAGTGGGTATATGAGTTTTGTTGTGTTCTTCATTTCTCTATGTCTGAAATAGTTTATAATAAGTAAAAAATGATTTTACAAATCAAGACAGGGCTGGGCGTGGTGGCTCACGCCTGTAATCCCAGCACTTTGGGAGGCTGAGGTGGGTGGATCACCTGAGGTCAGGCATTGGAGATCAGCCTGGCCAGTATGGTGAAACCCCATCTCTATTAAAAATACAAAAATTAGCTGGGCGTGGTGGTGGGTGCCTGTAATCCCAGCTACTCAGGAGGCTGAGGCAGGAGAATTGCTTGAACCTGGGAGGCAGAGGTTACAGTGAGCCGAGATTGCACCACTGCACTCCAGCCTGGGTGACAAGAGCAAAACTCCATCAAATAAATAAATAAATAAATAAATAAATAAATAAATAAATAAATAAATAAAATAAAATAAAAATCTAGACGGGCCCAACTTCCTGTTTCCCTCCTTTGGTCCATCTTTCCAATTGTCCAGAATCTGGACTTTCGGTGGTTGAGGGCCTCTTCTTTATATAGTCCCCAAGCCTCCTGTTCCCTGGACTGCCAGCCACCCCACATTCTCTTATGCCTTTATGCTAGCTGAAGACATGCATTGAGTTAGCCCCCTTTAGGCCTTCAGACTCAACCAATGATGGTGTGCCTTGTATCTCATTTCTCCTCCTCCCAGATCGCTACCTTGATTTGCTGTTGCAGCCTTTTCAATGTCTTTACAAGTTCGCTGTTGTTCTTGTTGGCGTGGTCCAGCTGGATTTCCATCTCATTCAGGTCCGTCTCCATCTTCTTCTTGAGCCGAAGTGCCTCTGCCCGGCCCTTGGCCTCTGCCTCTAGGCTGGCCTGCAAGGACTCGATTGCCCGCTGGTGGTTCTTCCTGTAAGTCCAAGCAGAGAAGACCTTGGCATACTGGGCTGGCTGTTCAGTCTGTGCTAAGCCTTCCTAGAGAAGAGGTCTCAGCATCAGCATGAGTACAGGCACCATGTCATGAAATTAAACAAACCCTTAAAAAGGTGCAAGACAGGGATGAGGGTTTCATGCTTTGGGGAAATAAAAGGAAGGTCATTTTGTTGTTTTAGAGTCACTCTGTGGCTCAGGCTGTAATGGAAAAACCGTCACATTCTGTGATGGTGTAGTAGTGTGATCATAACTCACTGCAGCCTTGAACTCTGGGGCTCAAGTGATCTTCCCATCTCAGCCTCCCCAGTAACTGGGACTACAGGCCATACCACCACACCCAGCTATTTTTTTTTTTTATTTTTATTTTTTATTTTTTTTTTGTAGAGCGGGGTTTTGCTATGTTGCCCAGGCTGATCTCAAACTCCTGAGCTCAAGGGATCCTCCCATCTCAGCCTCCCAAAGTGCTAGGATTACAGGCGTGAGCCACTGCGCCCAGCCAAAATTAAATAACCTTTATGCTTCAACGGATACTTTTAAGAAAGTGACAAGACTACCTAATGCTAGATGACGAGTTAGTGGGTGCAGCGCACCAGCATGGCACATGTATACATATGTAACTAACCTGCACAATGTGCACATGTACTCTAAAACTTAAAGTATAATTAAAAAAAAAAAGCGACAAGACAACCATAGAATGGGAAAAAATATTTGCAAATCATATCTGATAAGTCAAGTGTTCAAAATATATAAAGAACTCTTACAACTCAACAATAAAAAGAAGCAATCCAATTTTTGAAAGGGGCAAAGAACAGACTTTTCTCCGAAGATATACAAACAGCCAGTAACCACATAACAGATTCTCTGCTTCATTAACCATCATGGCTAAAATACTACATCTAAAGTGTTCATAGGCCGGGCACGATGGCTCATGCCTGTAATCCCAGCACTTTGGGAGGCTGAGGTGGGCGGATCACTTGAGGTCAGGAGTTCAAGACCAACCTGGCCAACATGGTGAAACCCTGTCTCTAGTAAAAATACAAAAATTAGCTGGGCACAGTGGCACATGCCTGTGATCCCAGCTACTTGGGAGGCTAAGGCAGGAGAATTGCTTGAAACCAGGAGGCGGAAGTTGCAGTGAGCTGGGATTGCACCACTATACTGTGGCCTAGGCAACAGAGCAAGATTCTGTCTCAAAAAAAAAAAAAACCAAAAAGAACCCCCAAAAAAACCAAAAAAGAAAAACCCAAAAAACAAAGTGTTCATAAACTAGACACGGTAGTGTGAGGTACAGTCTTTATTTCCATTTCATAGATGAGGAAACATGTTCAGCAAGGTTCACCTGAATTGCCCAACGTCACGCGACTAGTAGGTGGAAGAGACTGGGGTTTCTGGACTCTGCTCCATCACACTTCCCAAGAGTCAGCCTCCCATCCCACCAGCTCCATACCTGGTAGCCTCAAATTCTTCTTCTTTCTCATGGATTCTTCGGTCGATGTCAGCTTTAACCTGAGCCAGTTCCAACTGAATTCGAATCACCTTGCTCTCTTCAACCTACCAGAAATATAACCATGAGTCTTTCTGGCCAAGAAGATGTGCAGTGCCTGGCCAAGGGTCCACAGTCCCCAAGGTGATGACCCCATGGTTACCTCCAGGGAAGACTCAGCTTCTTCCAGGGCCACCTGGAGTTCTTCCTTTTCCATCTCCAATTTTTTCTTCAACTTCTGCAGTTCATGCACACTCCTTCCTCCCTCACCCAGCTGATCAATGAGATCCTTTATCTCCTCTGAGATAGAAATATTCATGTTAATAAGACTCGGCATTCCAGGGTCATGGCAGGTGGCACCGTCATTCCTCCATTGGGGTAAGAAGCAGGCCTCCCAAAGTGCCAGGATTGCAGACATGAGCCACCACACCTGACCATAATCTTATTTCATTGTCATGACAACCTTATAAGGAGGGTAGAATTATTTCCTCATTAAATTAAATTAATTAATTAATTAATTTATTTTTGGGACATAGTGTTGCTCTGTTGCCCAGGCTGGAGTACAGTGGCATGATCTCGGCTCACTGCAA
Source organism: Homo sapiens (assembly GCF_000001405.40). Classification (NCBI taxonomy): domain Eukaryota; kingdom Metazoa; phylum Chordata; class Mammalia; order Primates; family Hominidae; genus Homo; species Homo sapiens. The sequence goes on along the minus strand of NC_000007.14, from coordinate 99,297,369 downwards.
CATCCACCTCCCAGGTTCAAGCGATTCTCCTGCCTCAGCCTCCCAAGTAGCTGGGACTACAGGCGCCCGCCACCATGCCCTGCTAATTTGTTGTATTTTTAGTAGAGACGGGGTTTCACCATGTTGGTCAGGCTGGTCTTGAACTCCTGACCTCAAGTGATCCGCCCGCCTCAGCCTCCCAAAGTGCTGGGATTACAGGCATGAGCTATCACACCCGGCTATTTCCTCATTTTATAGATGAGGAAAGTGAGGCACAGAAAGATTAAGCAACTCGCCTAAAGTTACACTGCTGAATGCTGAAGTGCTTCTACAAAGCACTTGCTAGAAAGTCAACATTTATTGAGCACCTACTATGTGCCAGGTACTCAACTGATGATGTGCTCAGGATGAAGGGGACTCTGGCTGTGTCCCCTCCCTACAGGCCCATCCCATCCACCTGCCCTCAGACTCACCCTGCAGGGTCTTATTCTCCTTCTTCACGGACTCTAGATGCTCCAGAGACTCCTCGTAGGCAGTCTTGATCTTGAAGCTCTCTGTCATGTACATGCGGCACTCCTTCTGCGAGCTGTCCACTTCCACCTGCAACTCCTCACACTTCTGCTGCCACTCAGCCAGCATCTTGTCAAAGAGCCTCTGCTTCTTGTCCAGGGCAGCAGCTGCAGCATTGGCCTAGGGAAAGTTGGAAATGGCCTCTAGGGGTCCAACCTCCTTGCCTCTGTCCCCTACTCCCACCCCCCCACCAACCTCTCTTCCCTCCCTTTCCCCAGTAACTCTTGAGACTACGGACTCCTTGGGAATTGGAATGTAATTCAACAGCTATGGCAGAAGCACAGAACAGAGAGTCTGCAAAGAGCTGCATGCCAGTTCTAAAACTTCCCCCGAGAGATGTGTGGCCTGGGACATTCCACCTTATTTTCCCAGGTTAGAATTCTCTCAGGTGTAAAATGAGGAGTTTGGGCCACAGCGGCCTTCCCAGATTTATGACATTCAGCCTAACTCCCCTTAATATATTTCACTGTAATGTAGTAATATACACTACACATCAACTCAAAACTTACTATTCTTAGACTTTATTTTTCTATAGATTTCATCCGTCTCATAACTCCCTGGCAACTATTTGCTGTTGTGCTATATTAGCTTTTATAAAGTTTTGCTTTGTTTCTTTCGTGGGGTAGCAAAATCTTTTTGAGTTTTAGGACTTTTTTTTTTTTTTTTTTTTTTAAATTGAGATGGAGTCTCACCCTGTCACCCAGGCTGTAGTGCAGTGGCATGATCATGGCTCACTGCAACCTCCGTCTCCTGGGTTCAAGCGATTATCCTGCCTCAGCCTCCTGAGTAGCTGGGATTACACAGGCGTGCGCCACCACGTCCGGCTACTTTTTGTATTTTTAGTAGAGATGGGGTTTCACCATGTTGGCCAAGCTGCTCTCAAACTCCTGACCTCAGGTGATCTGCCTGCCTCAGCCTCCCAAAGTGCTGAGATTATAGGCTTGAGCCACTGTGCCCAGCCTTTTTTTTTTTTTTTTTTTTTTTCCAAGAGATGAGGTCTCACTCTGTCACCCAGGCTGGAGTACAGTAGCATAATCATAGCTAACTGTAGCCTCAGCCTCTTGGACTTAAGCAATCTTCCCACCTCAGCCTCCCAAAGTCCTGGGATGACAAGCATGAACCACCTTGCCAGAACTTTTTTTCTGAAACCTCTCACATGGATATGACCTCCTGCCTACGTGGCCACTTCATGGAGCCACGTTCTTGTATTGGGCTGCATGTGGCTCCTCACGGCCAGCATGAATCATGGTTCCATCTAGACCAAGACCAGAGAGGTGTATGCCAGTGGAAATCCTATTTAATTCTCATAGAGACTGGCAACTCAGTTTGAACCAGGGATGCAAATAGGAATAGTTAGCCACGCAAAGTATGTGGGATGTAGTTTGTGTAAGAGAGAGGGGAACAGGGAAGGTGCATCATGTAACTTTCTTTTCTTTTTTTTTTGGAGCCAGAGTCTCGCTCTGTCACCTAGGCTGGAGTGCAGTGGCACGATTTGGCTCACTGCAACTCCACCTCCTGGGTTCAAGTGATTGTCCTGCCTCAGCCTCCCGAGTAGCTGGGACTACAGGTGCCTGCCACCACGCCCGGCTAATTTTTTGTATTTTATTAGAGACGGGATTTCACCGAGTTGCCCAGGCTGGTGTCGAACTCCTGAGCTCAGGCAATCCGCCTGCCTCGGCCTCCCAAAGTGCTAGAATTACAGGCATGAGCCACCGCGCCCGGCCGTATTATGTAACTTTCAGGGGCAAATTTTACCCTGCTTGTGACCCTATTTATTTATTTGAGACAGGGTCTCACTCTGTCAACCAGGCTGGAGTGCAGTGGTGCAGTCATAGCTCACTGCAGCCTTGAACCCCTGGTTCAAATGATCCTCATGCCTTAGCTTCCCAAGTAGTTGGGACCACAGGCATGTGCCACCACACCTGGCTAAATTTTTAATTTAAAACTTTTTTGGGGGCTGGGCACAGTGGCTCACGCCTATAATCCTGGCACTTAGGGAGGCCAAGGCGGGTGGATCACTTGAGGTCAGGAGTTCGAGACCAGCCTGGCCAACATGATGAAACCCTGTCTTTACTAAAAATACAAAAAATTAGCTGGGCGTGGTGGTGGGCACTGTAATCCCAGCTTCTCAGGAGGCTGAGGAATGAGAATTGCTTGAATCCAGGAGGTGGAGGTTGCAGTGAGCTGAGATCACGCCACTGTACTCCAGCCTGGGCAACAAGAGCCAAATTCCATCTCAAAAAAGAAAAAAAATATATATATATATTTTTTTTTTCTTTTTTTCTTTTTCTTTTTCTTTTTTTTTTTTTTTTTTTTTTTTGAGACAGGGTCTCCCTGTGTTGTTCAGGCTGGTCTTGAACTCCTTGGCTAAAGTGGTCCTCCTGCCTTGGCCACCCAGTGTGTTGGGATTAGAGGCATGGGCCATTGTGCTTGGTTTTGTGGCCCTGTTTAAACAGTAGCTTGTTGAATGTTAGATCTCGGAAGAGTTCATGAACACGTGCTCAAGCAGCAGCCGTTGTCCAGCAAGCTCCTGAAGGCACCCCTGCATTGCACCTTCTTGAACCATGTGTTTCTTCCTGATGACCCCAGACATGTGACAGCCTTGCCCTAGCCCTGCTGTGGGCTCTCTGCCCCGGTAAATAGGCAGCTTTGAGCATTTGACTCTCTGACCTTCTCCAAGTCGATGGTGAGGTCCTCAACTTCTGCCTGGAGTCTCTGCTTATTTTTCTCGAGGGAGGCGGCCCGGGCCTGGGCAGTTTCAGCTGCTTCTTCTGCCTCCTGAAGCCTGGCGGCCAGCTTCCTCCTGCAAATGAGGGCCAGAGGGGCTGTCAAGGAAACATAGGCACTTACAGGCACCATCTCCACACTGCCAGGGTCAGAGTGTGGTGGGCATGGTACTAAGCTCTGGTGTCAACATTGGAAACGATGCAGAGTGTTTACAGGACAGCCACAGCTGTCCATTCACTCTCTCATTTATTCATTCAACAAACACTTACTTTCTCTACCCTGCGTCAAGGATTGTTGCAGGTGTTAGGGATGCAGCAGTGAATAAAACAAGCTAGGATACCTGCCCTAACAAACGAAATGTTTGTTCTGGAGCTGGGAGGAGGCAGGCAATACATGCCCTATAGAACATAAGCACTGCAGTGACAAATAGAGCCAGGAAGGGGACAGGCAGTCCAGGTGGGAGGGGGTGACAATGTCAAATACAGACTCAGGAGAGACTCTCTGAGAAGGGGACACAGGAGCAAAGGTCTAAGCCAGGGAATGGAGGGGCCCTGAGGGTGTCTGGGGCAGAGACAAGCTTAGGGGTTGAGATTTAGGTTTAGCCCAGGAGTGGGAGCCTTGGGGGAGGACCAGGTAGTGCCCAGCAGCCTCCATAGCAAAGGCCTGAAGGACAGAGGTGGAAGTTGCAGGAAGGCAAATTTAGCTTAGAGCTTTAGATGAAAGTATTGCATCAGCTGGAAGTCACTATGCCTTATTTGCTATCATATTAGCAGAAATTTCAGTGGATGGATGGGACCAGCCAGCAGGCTGGGATCCCGGAAACACTTAGAGCACATGTGCCATTTTCTATGCCTAATTTGGCTTTATACAAGAAAAAATTTGGCCATTTTTTCAGAGAATCCAGAAAAGTCTATAGAGGAGTTTGTTAAGTTGACCATGTTCTTTGATTTAACTTGTCATGGATCCCCTCTGCTGCCTGGCCCAGGGTGGCTCACTCACAGGGCTTCCCTGCGTGCATGGGCCCAGGGACACCCAGGCCAGCCTCCTTTTACACCAGAGAGAGGCCCAGAGCCACTTTCATGTCCCCCCTTATTTCCTCAGGTGTCCACTTATGTAGTTTTTTTTTTTTTTTTAGAGACAGGATCCTGCTCTGTTATCCAGGCTGGAGTGCAGTGGCTCGATCATTGCTCACTGCAGCCTCCAATTCCTGGGCTCAAGCAATCCTCTCACTTTAGTCTCCCAAATAGCTGAGACTACAGGCACGTGCCACCATGCCTGGCTAATTTTGTAATTTTTGTAGAGATGAGGATCTCACCATGTAGCCCGGGCTGGCCTCGAACTTCTGGGCTCAAGCAATCCTCCCACCTTGGCCTCCCAAAGTGCTGGAATTACAGGCATGAGCCACCATAGCTGGCCCACAGAGCAGGCTCCTTTGTCCAGACACATTGTCCTCCTCTTAAAGCAGCCTGTGAACGTCCTTTTCCTGGGCTTGGCCCTGGCCTCAGCAGTGACTGACATGGTGGTGAGGCCCCCAGCACCACCTGCCCAGCCCACCTGGCTCTCTCAACAGGAAGACCACACTCACTTGGTCTCCTCCAGCTCCTCTGTCCTCTGGATGGCATCGGTCTCGTACTTGGTCCTCCAGGTGGTGACCTCAGTGTTGAGTTTGGACACGAGGCGCTGCAGCTCTGACTTGCCTCCCTGCTCCTCCTCCAGCTGCTCCTTTACTAGGTCCAGGTCGTGCTTGGTGTTGGCCAGACTCACCACGGCGGTGCTGCGAGACTGTGGGGACCAGCCTGTCAGGCGCCCGTGGGGGCTTTCCACAGCCCGCAGGGCCACCACTTAGATACACGTAACACTGGAGCAGCAGTGATGGCAGGCGAAAGGGGGAAAAGAAACATGATCCCACAATCCAAACCATCGGGGTTTTAATTTTCATCCTATGACTTCTTTTCTTTCTATTATTGTCCACAAGGATATGTAATTTCATTTAGTTATACACATCACATACTACAGTTTTGTAGTTAGCTTTTTTACTTGCTACGATATCAAATACTTTTTGTATTCCTTTGACATCTTCATAATCTGTAACTTTCTTTAGCTGGGACTATAGGTATACAACACCATACCTGGAAACTTTTTTTTTTCCTGAGACCGAGTTTCACTCTTGTCACCCAGGCTGGAGTGCAATGGTGCGATCTCGGCTCCCTGCAACCTCTGCCTCCACCTGTGTCGGCCTCCCAAGTAGCTGGGATTATAGGCACTCACCACCATGCCCAGCTAATTTTTGTATTTTTAGTAGAGACCAGGTTTTGCCATGTTGGCCAGACTGGTCTCGAACTCCTGACCTCAGGTGATCTGCCCACCTTGGCCTGTCAAAGTGCTGGGATTACAGGTGTGAGCCACCATGCCCAGCAGCTTTTTTATTTTTTATTTTGGTAGAGATGGCGTTGGGGGTGGGGGGGGTGGGGGGGGGTCTTGCTGTGTTGTTCGGGCTGGTCTCGAACTCCTGGCCTTAAGCGAACCTCCCACCTAGGCCTCCCAAAGTTCTGGGATTACAGGCATGAGCCACCAACCCCAGCTGTAACCTATAACTTTAAGGCGGCAGCTCTGTCTCCACCGCAACCCCACGTCCAAACAAACCTTTGACTCTTCATCCAGCTGCCTCTTGTAATCATCCACTTGTGACGTCAGAGATGTCTTTATCCGTAGGATTTGATTGAGCCGGCTCTGGGACTCTTCATATTCCCTGCTCAGTTCACTATTTTCAGCTGGGTGAGAAGGAAATGGAAGAAATATTGGATGAAGAACTGGTTCCCCAGCCAGATCCAAAGTTCCCCAGGGCATTGCTCCTAAAGTACCCAATAAATATGGTGGCTTGGCCAATGGAGCTGGAATGGGGAGCACAGTAGATCACCACTCTAGCCTCCAAATTAAGTGAACCCAGGAGAAAGGCAAGCGCCCAAGGGTTGCCAAGATCCAGGTAACCTGCATGGACTTAGGGGCCTCACATAATGAAACCCCTATCTCCTACATGTCAGGAGATGCAGCAGAAGAGTTTGGAGAAACAGTGGGACACAGTATTTCCTTTGTAAAATGTATTTGTCACAATTCCAGAACCTACACTCCTGTCATTTGTGGAATGATTGCTGGAGCCAGAGGCCAGGAAGAAGTTCATGAGCCTGAGAGAAAAAGCAAGGATTTCCAGTTCTACCCTGTAAGTCACTGAGCTCACTGAGCTTCATTTTTCTTATCCATCAAATGGGGATATTGATTTTTTTTTTTTTTTTGAGACCAAGTTTCATTCTTGTCACCCAGGCTGGAGTACAGTGGCGTGCTCTCGTCTCACTGCTACCTCTGGCTTCCGGGTTCGAGTGATTCTCCTACCTCAGCCTCCTGAGTAACTGGGATTACAAGTGTGTACCACCATGCCCAGCTAATTTTTTTTGTATTTTTAGTAGAGACCGGGTTTTACCACGTTGGCCAGGCTGGTCTCAAACTCCTGACCTCAAGTGATCTGCCCACCTCGGCCTCCCAAAGTGCTGGGATTACAGGCATGAGCCACTGCACACGGCTGGATATTGATTTTTTTTTTTTTTTTTTTTTTGAGACAGGGTCCTGCTCTGTTGCCCAGGCTGGAGTGCAGTGGCACAATCATAACTCATTGCAGCCTTGAACTCCTGGGCTCAAGCAATCCTCCTGCCTCAGCCTCCCAAGTAGCTGGGACCACCAGTGTGCGCCACCACACCCAGCTATTTAAAAACATTGTTTTGTAGAGATGGGGGTCTTGCTATGTTGCCCAGGCTGGTCTCAAACTCCTGGCCTCAAGTAATCCTCCCGCCTTGGCCTCCCAAAGTGCTGGAATTACAAGTGTGAGCCACTGCACCCAGCCAGGATATTGTTAAAGAATTCCAGATGTGAGAAGTAAGGCCAAAGGCTGCCTGCAAGTTCTCTTGATGTCACACCGGAGCACTAACAGGCCCACCTGTAGACTATTCAGTTCTCTAAGGAAATGTACCTTTGTTTGACTTACTGTTTACCCCTGTGTGATTAGAGCACAGCTTCTGCAAAGTTAGAAATTAACTTATACATTGATAAATTGCCAATTATTTTTGTTATAGAGATGCAAAGATGCACCTGTATGACAAAGGTGTGTTTCTTCTGGCAGGGAAAAAAAAAATCCTAAACTAAACCCAGAGGTCACAGGATTATTGTCCTATAGGATATTAACTAGTTCTGCATCTAACTTAGCAAAGTTATTTTAGCGTTTCTTTTCCCAGCTGACTGTAAATCTCTGCCTTTCAAATGCTCTTTGAAGGCAGCTTTACCATTTTTCTGGCTCCCTCATTAAGGAGTTAAATAAATCGTTGACACATGTTCGCTTTATATTAGTATGTGGGTCATGTTTAAAAATGTTTGAAAATTGTATTTCGTCAGCATGAATGCCTCTCCCACTGATCTCACTGGGAAGGTGAGAGAATGGATACGAAAATGCTTTGAATTGTGTTCCCTGTTTTGCATTGTAAAGATGTTACTTGGAACATTCAGCAGGTGGAATAAAATCTCCTCCTCTCATCACAAGGGGTTTGGACGGGAATCTTCCAAGGCCAAGAAAGCTCTGTTTCCTTGAGAATCCCAGTTCCTTTCCATGCACTGCTCCTTAGCAAGCTCAGGGCGGAGAGGGCTCACCTTGGAGGCGGGTCCTGATGGCATTGATTTCTGCTTGGTTTCGCTCTAGCTCTGCCACCTTGGCGTTGGCTTCTGATAAGCTGTCTTCCAGCTTTCTGACGTGGGCCTCGGCGTTCATCTGCTCAGGAAGGATGAACTCAGTGGGGAAGTTGCGGGTGGGGGAGGCCAAGCCCTCCCTACCTCCCCTTTGATTTTTGCCCTGTTCTTCCTGTGTGCCTCCCAGGCTACCTGCCTGGAGGTATGCCCCTGTCTCAGAAACCCCAAATGGCTCACCATTTTTTTTTTTTTTTTGAGACAGGGTATCACTCCATCACCCCGGCTGGAGTGCATAGGTGCAATCAGAGCTCACTGTAGCCTCGACATCCTGGGCTCAAGCCATCCTCTCACCACAGCCTCCTGAGTAGCTGGGACCACAGGTGCATGCCACCATCCCTGGCTAATTAGTTTTATTTTTTTGTAGAGACAGGGTTTCACTGTGTTGCCCAGGCTGGTCTTGAACTGGGCTCAAGTGATCTGCCTGCCTTGGCCTCTCAAAGTGCTGGGATTACAGGCGTTAGCCACTGTGCCTGGCTTATTGAGCACTCTTATGTGCCAGAGACTATTGCAGCCCTCACAGTAGCGCTCTAAGGTGGGGATTATGACAATCATCTTCATGTTACAGATGAAGAAATCGAAGCACAGGTTATTTTATTTTTTATTTTATTTTATTTTATTTTTGAGACAGAGTCTTGCTCTGTCGCCCAGGCTGGAGTGCAGTGGCGCAATCTCGGCTCAATGCAACCTCTGCCTCCCAGGTTCAAGCAATTTTTGTATTTTTAGTAGAGACAGGGTTTCACCATGTTGGCCAGGCTGGTCTTGAACTTGTGACCTCAGGTGATCTGCCTGCCTCAGCCTCCCAAAGTGCTGGGATTACAGGCGTAAGCCACTGTGCCCAGCAGGTTATTTTATTTTATTTTATTTTATTTTAGAGACAGGGTCTTACTCTGTTGCCCAGGCTGGAGTGCAGTGGTGCAGTCATACTCACTGCAGTCTCAACCCCCTGGGCTCAAGCGATCCTCCTGCCTCAGCCTCCTGAGTAGCTAGGACTACAGGCACATGCTACCATCCCTGGCTAATTTCATTTTTTGAGGAGACGAGGTCTGGCTATGTTGTCCAGGCTGGTCCCCAACTCCTGGCCTCTCAAAAGCAATCCTCCTGCCTCAGCCTCCCAAAGTGCTGGGATTACAGGAGTGAGCCACTGCGTCCGGCCCACAGTTAGGTTATTCACCTTGGACTTCTGTATCGTCTCCATGCTGGCATTGAGGTCATCAATCTCAGCCTTCATGACCTGTTTATCTTTCTCTAGCTTGGACTTGACCCTCTGCAGGCTCTCCACATGCTCCGTCAGCTCGGCCATGGAGTCCACGTGCTTCTTGCGCAGTGTGGAGGCCGTCGCCTCGCTCTGCAGGGCGGCCTCTTCCAGCTCCCGCCGCAGCTTCAGCAGCTCAGCCTCCCGCTTGCGGTTCTGCTCGATCTGGGGTAGAGGAGGAGCAGCTTAGCAGAACTGGCCAGTGCCAGCCTTTTCCGGGTGGACACCGCCCAGCTGCTCGGTGGTCCCCTGATATTCCTGTACCTCGCTAAAAGAAGTCCTGCTTGAAATGCCAATGTTTAGCCTTTGGGGGGTGGGGGTTGCCCACAGGATTTGTTTAGAGGTGTTGTGTGTTAAATTGTGCCCTCCAAAAAGATATACTCAAGTCCTAACCCTGGGTACCTATGAATGGGACCTGATTTGGAAATAGTGTCTTTGTAGATGGAGCCAGTTAAGATGTCATACTGGTTTAGGGTGGGCCCTAAGCTAATGACTGATGCCTTTTTTTTTTTTTTTTTTTTTTGAGAAGAAGTTTCACTCTTGTTGCCCAGGCTGCAGTGCAATGGCACATCTCGGCTCACTGCAACCTCCGCCTCCTGGGTTCAGGTGATTCTCCTGCCTCAGCCTCCCAAGTAGCTGGGATTACAGGTGCCCACCACCATGCCCAGCTAATTTTTTGTGTTTTTAGTAGAGATGGGGTTTCACCATGTTTACCAGGCTGATCTCGAACTCCTAACCTCAGGTGATCCACCCACCTCAGCCTCCCAAAGTGCTGGGAGTACAGGCGTGAGCCACCGTGCCCGGCCGGACTCTCACATTTCTACTCACTATACTACTGCCCTTATCACTCCAGGTCCAGGTACCGACAACTAGGGTCAGCCCCACAGTCCACTGAGATTGTCCAAACTGGCCATTCAGGAGCCTGTTCACCCTGCCTCACCTGTTCCTTCCCATGGGAGCCAGAGTAAAGGCCTTTGCCTACATTCTTCCCCCCAGCTGTCTGCCTCCTAACCAGCCCCAGTGCCTCTCTGGCCCTGCGTGGCCTGCTGTGCCCTTTCCTCTTGGGAACTGTGAGTAGCAAACTCTTTCTGTTTGTCTTTGAGAGACAGGGTCTTGCTCTGTCACCCAGGCTGGAGTGCAGTGGTGCCATCATGGCTCACCACAGCCTCAACCTCCCTGGGCTCAAGTGATCCTCCTTCTTTAGCCTCTTGAGTAGCTTGAACTACAGGAACATGCCACCATGCCCAGCTAATTTTTTTTTTGAGAGATGGGCTTTTGCTGTGTTGCCCAGGCTGGTCAGAAATCCCTGGGCTCAAGTGATCCTTCTGCTTTTGCCTCCCCAGGTGTTGGGATTACAGGCGTGAGCCACTGTTCCAGGCCTCATTTTTAAATTATTAGTTGGTTTCTCCTCAAGTCCATCTCAGGAACCTAGCAAGAACGAACTGGTCTTGATCCCACTGCTCACAGTCCAGCAATTTTTTCCCCTAAATGCAAGCAGAGCTGGGGGTTTCTGGGCCCCCTGGGATGGGTGCCTGAGCAGATGTGGCTCCACCCGCTTCCTCCAACCTGTCACTGAGATCTTCAAGATCCCGGGACAGGTCACTGCGTTGTTTCTCCACCTGGGATGAAAGTTTTTATTTTAAGATAGAGCCTTCCTCTGTGGCCCAGGCTGGAGTGCAGCAGCACCATCTCGACTCACTGCAACCTTCACCTGCCTGGCTCAAACAATCCTCTAACCTTAGCCTCCCAAGTATCTGCAACTACAGGCACATGCCATCATACCCAGCAAATTTTTAAATTTTTTGTAGAGATGGGTTTCACCATGTTGCCCAAGCTGGTCTCCCGGTCTCAAGTGATCCTCCTGCCTTGGTCTCCCAAGGTATTTGGATTACAAGCATGAGCCACTCTTCCCGGCCATGGGATGAGATTTAATGATACCGATGATAATCACCCAGAGCTCCTTTTTCTCCAGTAAAGAGCATGATGACTGCTTCACCTTTGAGAAGCCAGGATTCTATGCCTGGGGGGCCTTGTGCCCTGCCTGTCATCCCACAGGCTTAGTAAAGGACACTGTCTTGCCCACACTGGGCGGGCATTAGTGCCCATCCTACCTACCACCTGTCCAATTTGGCTGAATTTGGGGTTAGGTACGCTGTGATTTGTCTCCCACCAGCTTTCTGGGCTCACGTCCTGTAGGATCCCCACGCTCAAGCCTCCCTCCATGCTCTGCTCTTGCTAACACGTGCTTTCTCTGTTTACACCTTCATCCCAATGAAGGTAGGTGCTATTTTATTCCCTTTGCCCAGACCTTTCTCCTTGCTTCTGCCTGTTGAATTCTATCTTTGAGGTCAAGTGTTTCTTCCCCATCTGTCTCAGGTAGAACCAGCCTCTTCTCCTCTGGACTCAAGCCACACAGAGCATCTGCCTTTCACGTCATGATTAATGTGGATGTGCAGTTCAGTCCCTGGCACACAGTAGGTGCTCCAGAAGCAACTAGACTTTTTAGCTGGACACCTGCCTTCTCTACTGGTTTCCTTAGCGGAGGTTTCTATTCATGGTTGGATGTGTGACTGCCGTTAGGTCTTTTGACTCAAGAAGGGGAAACGTATTTCATTTACCTTGGCTCTCATGGCCCTCTCAGCTTCTAGTTCTTCTTCCAGCTCTTCAATTCGGTCCTAGCAGACAGAGGAGGGAGGGGATTCATCTCTGCCAGGCAAAGTTAGTAAGTCAGCCCCTTAGCCTTTTAGGACGGAAAATAGGGATGTGAGAATATGACAGCCACTGTCAAAAGCAGAGAGAGGCAGATCCCAGAGAGCAAGTGCAAAGGTGCCGGGGCAGGCAGGAGGGGGCCTGGCATGTGTGACACCCAGCCAGGAGCCAGCATGGCTGGATAGAGTGGAGGGAAACACTCGGTGATGAGGTCAGGCGGGGAGCAGTTGGAGGGCCTCATAACCATTGTACGGATTTCACCCCTAGTGAGGGGAACATGGGTCCATCTCCAAGGACTCTATGGCAGTCTTGCTCCTCAGGAAACCTCAGCCACCAAGTAGCTGACATGAACAAAACGTTCAGAGAAGTGCATTTCTGACAGAGAGCTCATGCTTCTCGGTCCTGGACATACCTGGTGCTCCTTCAGTTTCCGCTGCAGCGTGGAATTCAGAGACTGCTCATCCTCATATTTCGAGTTGACAGAGTTTATTTCCAAATCCCTCCTGCAAGGGAAGGGTTGGTCTCCTGAGGAAAGGCTCTGAGGGTAGACCAGCAAGCTGGCGAGGGAATGTCGCCTGGGCTGCCAGAGGAGGCCTTGAACCTGCCGAAAAGCACGTACCTCCCAGCCCCTTCTGGCCTTCTGTAGTGACAGCCCAGAAGGTCTCACCCTACAGAGCAGTTAGACCCCTGAATGAGCTCCTCAGGTGTTTCATCATCCATTCATTCATTCACACATTTACTAATGTGACACTTTTTTTTGAGACAGGGTGTTGCTCTGTCGCCCAGAATGCAGTGCAGTGGCATGATCATGGCTCACTGCAGCCTTGACCTCCTGGGCTTAAGTGATCCTCCCACCTCAGCCTCTCTAGTAGCTGGGGCCACAGGCTGGCTCCATCATGCCCAGTTAATTTTTGTATTTTTTGTAGACGGGGTCTTGCTATGTTGCCCAGGCTGGTCTTGAGCTCCTGGCCTCAAGCCATCCTCCTGCCTTCGCATCCCAAAGTGCTGGGATTACAGGTGTGAGCCACTGTACCCAACATGGTCATAGGCTTTTATGACGCCTCCCTGCCCTGCTGAGTCCTCAGTGTTCCCTGGGGTGGTGGCGCTTGTCTCCTCCCCAGTGCCCACCAGGTATTGTGTGACACTGGGCATTCCCTGCAGACAGGGCAGCCCCTACCTCTCTGCATATCCTCCATGCCTGCCAGGTGCTTGGGACATGCAGGAATGTTTGTGAGGCTCTCCATACAGTGCCTGGCTCCTGGCACCCTCCAGGCAGCTCCAGCTATTGCTACCATTGTGATGGACAAAACGAACGACGACAAGACATACTTTTTCACCACCTCCTCGAGATCCAGCTTGGAACGCTCCATCTCATTGAGGTTGTCGATGGTCATCTTCAGGTCACTCTCAGCTTTCCGACGAGCCTTTTCCACCTCCGCCCGGATTTTCTTTTCCTGCTCCCAGTTATCCTCCAGCTACAGAGACAAGAACAGCAAGAGAAGGTAGACGAGGAGAGTCTGAGGTCAGAAGGCAAGAAGGAACCAGACTGGGTCCGATCCTTTAGCTGTGGCATCAGAAGGGCCCTCACGCCCCGGGGGATGTGTTGGTCCAGTTCTCAAAACTAATCTTCGGACCCCGTGCCCCCAGAGGGATCTGGCCTTGGAGTTGTAGAGGTGGCCACAGCAATGGGTATTACCTCATGGATCTGCGTGCTCAGCTTGCTGTTATTTTTGGTCAGGTGGTTCACCTTGTCCTCCTCAGCCTGTAGGTCGTCCAGGGTTTTCTGGAAGGACAGATACACACGTGAGTGCCACGAGGCCCAGTGGGAGCAGCTGAACAGTCCTGATCCTCAGTCGTCGCTTCTGAGCTATGCAGCTCCCAGGCTTTGGGGAGTTCAGTTGACTTCAGTGAGTAGGTACTGACCACCTGCTCCTGGGCGCTGGGTAAGGCCAGAGCAGATGGACCAGAGCCACCCATCAGGGAGGTCAATTGCTTGAGCCAGGGAGGTTGAGGCTGCAGTGAGCTATGATCGTACCACTGCACCCGAGCCTGGGTGACAGAGTCAGACCCTGTCTCTACAAAAATTAGCCAGGTGTGGTGGCACACGTCTGTAGTGCCAGCCACTCAGGAGACTGAGGCAGGACGATCACGAGCCCAGGAGGTTGGGGCTGCAGTGAGCTATGATGGCACCACTGCATTTCAGCCTGAGCAACAGTGAGACCCTATCTCTGGTTCCCCAGGGGGCATATGGGAAATAGGTGGGGTGCTTCTGGTTGTCACAGTGATTGGAGGTTCCTCTGAGATTTAGTGGATGACTCCAGCAATGCCGGACATCCCATTTTGCTCTGGACAATCTGGTACCATGAAGAACTCTGTAGTCCACATTCCTGATGTCCCACCCGGGCACTTATGTGAGTAAAACAACCATTTCTACTCTTCTAAACCTAGAGCCCAGCACCCTTTTACATGTAACTCAATGTTCTTTTTCATTGAATATGCACTACATTTTTTTTTTTTTGAGATAGGATCTTCCTCTGTCACTCAGACTGGAGTACAGTGGTACGATCATAGCTAACTGCAGCCTCCACCTCTTGGGCTCAAGCAACCCTCTCGCCTCAGCCTCCCAGCTAATTTTTTTTCTAGTTTTTAGAAAACTGCACTCCAGCTCAGGTGAGAGTGCGAAGCTCCATCTCAAAAACAAACAAAAATTAGTGGGGTGCAGTGGTACATGCCTATAATCCCAGTTACTCAGGAGGCTGAGGTGGGAGGATCACCTGAGCCTGGGAAGTCAAAGCTGCAGTGAGCCATGATCATACCACTGCACTCCAGCCTTGGTGACAGAGCTAGACCCTGTCTCAAAAAAATAAAAATAAAAAAAAATAAAATGTTATGACCAGAGGCATGCAAGAGTCTAACCCTATATTTTCCCTAGGAGCAGTGGTTCATATTTGCTAATTCAATATTGAATTATTATTGGTTAATTCAGTGTTTATGGCAACTTTACAGAACATAACCACTGTGAGGCCGGGTGTGGTGGCTCACGCCTGTAATCCCAGCACTTTGGGAGGCTCAGGTGGGAGGATCACTTGAGGTCAGGAGTTCGAGGCCTGCCTGGCCAACATGGTGAAACCCTGTCTCTACTAAAAATACAAAAAAAATTAGCTGGGTGTGGTGGCAGGCACCTGTAATCCCAGCTACTTGGGAGGCTGAGGCAGGAGAATCACTTGAACCCGGGAGGCGGAGGTTGCAGTGAGCTGAGATCACGCCACTGCACTCCAGTCTGGGCGACAGAGTGAGACTCCATCTCAAAACAACAAAAATATAACCAGTGTGAATAACACACATCCACTGTGTTTGTTATGAAAGGAGGCTCTGGGTCTGATATGCTTGAAAATCACAGGGCAAGGGCGGTAGTTCCCGAGGCAGCAGGGAGAGGCACTCAGGGGACATGTGGATTCACGGTATCAGCAAACACAGGGACGAGGGGTCCACTGTCTGGCTCTTTGCCCCTGTTTCTCTGGAGGTCAGCACTGGTGGCCGGTCAGAGCCGGCTCTGCATTCTGGAACCTTAGCCGTGACAGTGGGCCTGGGAAAGTCGGTGGGTCTCCCCATGGCCTCAAGAACTCATGGCCTGTTGTTGCCACAGTGTCTTAGGCTTTGCTGGGGCTTTTGAGCTCACGGGACAGTTCCATACACCCCACTCCACCCCTACCACTCCAGTGAGCATACTTTCTCCAGTGTGCATGGGCCCAACCTAACTCATAATTGTTTTGTTGTTTGTTTGTTTTGAGACAGGGTCTCGCTGTCACCCAGGCTGGAGTGCAATGGCGCAATCTTGGCTCACTGCAACCTGCAACTCCTGGGCTCAAGTTATCCTCCTGCCTCAGCCTCCTGAATAGCTGGGACTACAGGCGCGTGCCACCAGACCTGGCTAATTTTTGTATTTTTTTTTTGTAGAGATGGGAGTTTTGCCATGTTGCCCGGGCTGGTCTCAAACTCCTAAACTGAAGGGATCCTCCTGCCTCAGCCTCCCAAAGTGCTGGGTTTAAAGATGTGAGCTGCCATGCCTAGATGATTCATAATTGTTCATAGCTCCCCCGCTTGCTCTCAAAACTGTCCTAGTTTGGAAGACAAATTATATTGTCACCCCACTTATAACAAACTTGGAAGGAAGGCAGCAAGGGGGGGCCACACCCATGTCACTCTTGAGGAAACTGAGATGTACGGAGATTCCTTAACTTCCCTAAGGCCCCAAGCTGAGGGGGCGGCAGGGCCAGGATTTGAACTCGGGGCTCCAGTCTCCAATGGAAAGCACATTGTGCCAAGCTCTAGCTGCTGGGCTGAGGGAAGATGCAAGGGAAACCTACCTGGTGCAGCTCCTCTAGGGCCCTCTTCTCCTTCTGGAGCTTGGTGATGGAGTCTTCACGGAGTGAGAGGTCCCCCGTCAGGGTACGGACCTTGTGATCCAGGGCCTAGAAACCAGGGCAGGGAGAGAGGTAGATCCTTAAAGCTGGAGGGAGTCCTCAGCTTGGGTGCACCCTTGAGTCTCCTGGGAGCTTAAGAAATGCCAGCACCCAGGGCATGTCCTAGACCAACCAAGTCAGAACCCTGGGGGTGAAGGGGAGCAGCAAGAACCTTGGCTTCTCAAAGTGTGGTCCCCGGATGTCGGCAGTGGCATCCCCTAGGAGCATGCTAGGAATACAGACCCTTGGGCTCCACCAGACTCGCCAGAGTCTGCACCTGACTGTATCCCCAGTGGTTTGTGTGTGCAGCAGAGCAGGAGAAGCGCAAGTTTAGGCAGAGCCCCTGCTTACCCTGCTCGAGAACCCAACCCACCTGCAATAGCAGGAAGGGGACCTTGGGACCAGGGGCCAGCCAGATGGCATCAGGAGCCAGGGCTTCCCCCAGGGAGCTGTTCAGAGGGGCAGCAACTGCTTGTTTGGGCAGAAATTCAACAGCTGAAGGTGGACACTTCACCATGATGGGAACAGCTCAGTCCCCTTAGCTGCCCTGTCCAGCAGAACTTTCTGCAGTGACGGACATGTTCTCTGCCTTTGCTGTCCCATGCAGTGACACTTAACGCACATGGCTGCTGAGCACCTGCAATGTGGCTTGTGCAACTGAGGAATTGCATTTTAAGTTGTAAATTAATAGATGTTACAATAGCCCCATGTGGGCTGGGTATGGTGGCCCATGCCTGTAATCCCAGCACTTTGGGAGGCCAAGACAGGCAGATCACCTGAGGTGAGGCGTTCAAGACCAGTCTGGCCAACATGGCGAAACCCCATCTCTACTAAAAATACAAAAATTAGCCGGGTGTGGTGGTGCCACACGTGTAGTCCCAGCTACCCGGGAGGCTGAGGTATGAGAATCACTTGAACCCGGGAGGGGGAGGTTGCAGTGAGCTGAGGTCGCACTACTGCCCTCCAGCCTACGTGACACAGCGAGAGCGAGACTCTGTCGCAAAACAAACAAACAAAAAAAAACCCCCAAAAAACTGCCCCATGTGGTCAGTGGTCAGGGCACTGGGTGTAGCCACCATAGGGGCTTTAGGTATGGCCCCTGAAGGTGGCCTGAGAAAAGCGTGGCAGGGCCCCGGCCTCTCCTCACCTGCTTCTCCTTCTCTGTCTTGGCCAGCGTGGTTTCCAGGCCCTCTAGGTCCCGCTTCAGGTCGCTCAGCTCCCCTTCCAACTTGCGCTTGGCGGCACTCAGTGAGGCCGCCATGCCCTCTTCCTCCTCCAGCCGCTCCCGCATGTCTGAGATCTGGCTCTCTAGATCCATCTTGGTCTTCATCATCCATGTCAGGCGCTCCTCTGCATCCATCAGGTTCTCTTGCTCCTGTTGGGAGAAAGAGCCCCGGTCGAGGACAGGGTCCAGGCAAAGACCACACCAAGACGCTGGACAAGCCTTGAGCTGAACAAATGTGTCCTGGGGGTTGGACAAGGGGCTGGGCTATCTCGAGCTCCTTTTTTTTTTTTTTTTTTTTTTTGAGTCAGGGTTTTGCTTTGTTGCCCAGGCTGGAGTGCAGTAGTGTGATCACAGCTCACTGCAGTCTAGACCTCCTGGGCTCAAGAAGTCCTCCCACCTCATCCTCCCAAGTAGCTGAGGCTACAGGTACACACTGCAATGCCCAGCTAAGTTTTTTATTTTTATTTTTGAGACAGAGTCTCACTCTGTCACCCAGGCTGGGGTGCAGTGGCACAATCATGGCTCACTGCAGCCTCGACCTTCTAGGCTTAAGCAATCCTCCCACTTCAGCCTCCTGAGTAGGTGGGACTACAGATGTGCCACCACACCCGGCTAATTTTTAAACTTTTTTGTAGAGATGGGGTTTCACTATGTGGCCCAGGCTGGTCTTGAACTCCTGGGCTCAAGCATTCCTCCTGCCTTGGCCTCCCAGAGTGTTGGGTTTATGGGCATGAGCCATTGCACCTGGCCCAGGAGGATTCTTCCATCACTTTGGTCTTGCCCAGCCTCAGCCTTCACAAACAAAATGGGGATATCAGTTCAAGCAACTTCTCAGGGGTATGAAGAGGATACAGAGAAATGATGTTGGAGGCCTTTGGGGACAGTGGAAGGAAAATGCAAGCACCACACATGCTCACGGCTACAGAGATGGCCGTGGCAGAGCAGGGAGGACTGGAGATGGAATTGGGCCCCTTCCAGGGCTGGGTTTTCTACCAATGGGCCTGGGACTTTGATCAAATCTCTAAATGTCTGCCAAACTGAGTTTTCTACCCTGTACGATGCACGTGAAAATCGAGTGTCTTACAGGGCGGCTGTGAGAGTAAAATCAGGGAAGGAATAGGAAAAGCTTTGCAAACCAGAAGGACCCCAGCAGTGAATTCACTGCAGGACATTTAGTCAGGCGCCCTACAGAAATGACATCGTTTATTCTTTCTTGCTGTGTTTCCCTGGACAGGTGAGGAAAACAAGGCTTGGAGTGGGTAAGTTGCCAAGTTTGTATGGCAGAGCCCAGCCCTGACTCCAGGGGATGCTGTTCTCACCCCATCTCGTGGCCACCATCCCTGGACTTTCCCTGCAGGTGGGTCCTGTAGCTGTGTGTGCCCAGCCTGCTGCTGTGTGCAAATAAGAATTTGATGGAGGCTGGGCACAGGGGCTTACACCTGTAATCCCAGCACTTTGGGAGGCCGAAATAGGAGGATCACTTGGGGCTGGGAGTTTGAGACAAGCCTGGGCAACATAGTAAGACCCTGTCTCTACAAAAAATTAGCCAGGCATGGTGGTGTAGTCCCAGCTACTCGGGAGGCTGAGGTGGGAGGATCACCTGTGTCCAGGAGATGGAGGCTGCTGTGAGCTGTGATCGAGCCACTTCACTCCAGCCTGGGCAACACAGCAAGACCATGTCGCTGTCTGTCTGTCTGTCTGTCTGTCTGTCTGTCTGTCTGTCTCTCTCTCTCTCTCTCTCTCACACACACACACACACACACACACACACACACACACACGAATTGGATGGAGACTTTTTGGAAGTTGGGTCGAGGGTGACTTTGTATGCTGGAGAATTTCCCGTGGTCTGGAGGGACATGGGTTTTTGGAAGAGCTCGCCCTTCCTCCCTCCCAGGGTCCAGGCTGTATGGGTTTCCCACCCTTCTCCCTGGGGACCCCACGTACAGCCTGCAGCTGGATGGTGAGGTCATTCTTCTCCTGGCTGAGCGTGGCTGTCTTCTCCTCCAGTTCCTTGACCTTGTTTACCAACTCCTGGGTTTGGGCCATGGCTTTCCTGAGCTCCTCCTCCTTGGCCTTCATCTCCTCTTCTTGCCGAGCCACATTCAGGAGTGGCTTGACCTGGGCAATGAGCAACACCAAAGAGTGTTAGGAGAATGGGGTTTGCTGGGGGGTAGACGGAGGGCTGTGGAGTCTCTGCCTCAGGCGTGACCTCACAGCACCACTGTGGTGGGAAGCAGCTCTTGCTGTAGCTCTGCGGGTGGGGTCCCTCTCCACAGATGCCACCAGGCTGAGCTCCTTGTGTAAAGCATCCCTGGCCTCAACAGAGAAGGCCCATCCTCCCCTAGGACAATTCTTAGGATGCTCTTTAATCCTGAGGGACATGGAGTTAGGTGTCCTCGGCATCTGGGTGACCCAAGGCTTACATCTGTTCTGCATGTTGTGTAGACACCAGGAGCCCCAGTGAAATGCACAGCCTTGGGGTCCCCTCCCTCCTTCCTTCCCTACTGAGTCCTCCCACCTCTGGCTCTCTGTTTCTGTCTCTGTCTGCCTCATTTTGCTGTCTCTCTCACTCGCCCACTGTTTCTCTCTCTCTCTCTGTGTCTCTCTCTCTCTCTGTGTCTCTCTCATGCCATTCCTATCTCTGCCTCTCTTCTCAGTCTCTGTTGCTCTGCTCTCTCTTTTTCTCTCTCCGTGTTTCTGTTTCTGTCTTTCTCTCTGTCTCTTTCTCTGTCTCATCTCTGTCTCTCTTATCTCTGTCTCTCTCTCTGCCTGTCTCTCTGTTGTGCTGTCTCTCTCTCTCTCATTTTCTGTGTCTTTCTCTTTGTTTTTCTCTATGTGTGTGTGTCTCTCTCCATCTCTTACTCTCCCTCTCTCTCTCTCACTCCTTTCATCTTCTGTCTAACATGAAGTCACACCTCTCGACTTGGCCTTGCAGGCCTTCCACAATGTAGCCCCTGCCCTCCTCCTGCACTGTGTCAGCTGATACTTCCCACCATGGCCAGTGCCCCTGCACCTGTGTCTATAGGGCTGGGCCTTCTTTGCCATTCAGCCGGGAGCATTTGCTCGTGCTCTGCACCCGCAGCACCCATCGGGACCTCTCTGTGCACTTGGCCCTTCTCACCTGCACTGGAGCGCCAGGCTCCGTCCGGTCCTACCACCTGTATTCTGCCCTGCATCTGCAAGCCCCTCAAAGACCTCCCTCCCATCCCTTTGGGGTTCCTAAAGCACCTAGCAGAGCTGGTGGGGCAGGTCCCCTGGGAACCACAGAAACATTATACCATAGATACAATAGATACATAGTCAATAGATACATTTCCCAGGAGGGAAAATGCCCTAGACATGGATTTGGGAGGAGGGACAGCCTGCGCCTCTTTTGAAAGATAACAGATAAACCTCGTTCATTGCCAGCCTGGCTGTTGAGAATCTGAGATGTCACAGTGGCAAAGCTGGCATGAAAAGGTTGCAGTAACCACCATACTTTGCCGCTGTGTAGCACTTTTTATTCAATGGAAACCTACTACAAGTGTTTTTTCATTGACCCAGCCTATCTGGCTTTGTTAAATAATATTAGAGCTTAGTTAGAATACTAAGAGGAGAGGATTTAGAACAACAACAACAAAAACTAAAAAGGCCGGGCGCAGTGGCTCACGCCTGTAATCCCAGCACTTTGGGAGGCCAAGGCGGGCAGATCACCTGAGGTCAGGAGTTCAAGACCAGCCTGGCCAACATGGTGAAATCCCGTCTCTACTAAAAATACAAAAAATTAGGCGTGGTGGCAGGCGCCTTAATCCCAGCTACTCGGGAGGTTGAGGCAGGAGAATCGCTTGAATCCGGGAGGCGGAGGTTGCAGTGAGCCAGATCATGCCCCTGCGCTCCAGCCTGAGCAACAGAGCAAGATTTTGTCTCAACAACAAGAAAAACTAATTAGAACAGGACCTTGTTCTGTCAGGTCTAATTAGTAACAAGCAGGGGAGTTTACAGCTGTTGCTACCATGTCTTGCTCAGAAGGAACCTTAAAGGCCATTGGCCTGGGTCTTCCCAGAGTCTAATTGTATACCAAGGGATCTGGTGAGATGCATTCAAGCATAGACACCCTTTGATTAGAGTTGTGACATAGTTACTTTAATAGGCAATTTAAAAAATGAAAACTCAAATCCACAATTTTGTGGGTAACATTTGCTTAGGATGAGATTAAAGCAGGTAAGACTACAAAGTTTCCTTTTAAAGTAAAAGTTGTGGCTGGGCACAGTGGCTCACGCCTGTAATTCCTGGAGGCTGGGGAGGATCACTTGAGATCAGGAGTTTGAGACTGGCTGGGGTAATGTAGCAAGACGCTGTCTCTACAAAAAATTTAAAAATGAGCTGGGCGGGCGCTGTGTACCTGTAATCTCAGCCATTTGGGAGGCTGAGGTGGGAGGATTGCTTGAGGCCAGGAGTTTGAGACCAGCCTGGGCAACATAGCAAGACCCTGTCTCTTCAAAAACAAAAATTAAAAATTAGCTGGGCATGGTGGCACACACCTATAGTCTGAGCTATTCGGGAGGCTGAGGTGGAAGGATCGCTTGAGCCCGGAGTTAGAGGCTGCAGTGAGCTATGATTGCATCACTGCACTCTAGCCTGGGCAACAGAGTGAGACCCTGTGTCAAAAAAAAATTTTTTTTTTCCAAAATAAAAAAGCGAGGCCAGGTGCAATGACTCACATCTATAATCCCAGCAGCACTTTGGGAGGCCAAGGCGGGTGGATCACCTGAGGTCAGGAGTTTGAGACCAGCCTGGCCAGCATGGTAAAACCCTGTCTCTACTAAAAATACAAAAATTAGCCAGGTAGGGTGGCAGATGCATGTAATCCCAGATACTCAGGAGGCTGAGGCAGGAGAATAACTTGAACCCGGGAGGCGGAGGTTGCAGTGAGCTGAGATTGTGCCCCTGCACTCCAGCCTGGGTGACAGAGTGAGACTCCGTCTCAAAAAAAAAAAAAAAAAAAAAAGTGAATTAATGTAAAGAAAGGTGAGTCATGGAACAGGCGGGGAAAGCCAGGCGGCACCGGCAACGCCTGGCCTTTGAGACATGCTCACCTAGATTCCTCTCCAATCCCAGGTCCTCCAGGGCCGGCCTGTGTGTGGATACATTTGGGGAAGCAGAACTTACTATTCCTCCCTTTCCATCTGTGGTGGGTGCTGATTGTTAGCTAGTTCTTTCCCATGGGGGAGTGTAAAGAAACTTCCTTGTGAGCTATGGAGGACTCAGGGCCACCCGAGATGACTCAGAGCCTGTCCCCACCCTCTGCGGGTCCTCCTTTCTCCTGAACATAGCTGCCTGGTGCCTGACTCCCTCTTCTGGTGCCCAGAGACATGTCCCTCTTAATGGTGGCCCCAGCACAGGCATGATTGGACCCATGTGCAGTGCCATGGCTGGTGGCCTCCTGCCTTGGTTGAGGGTGGCCTGGCTGCTTGGGACCTCTGTGGGTCCCACCACCTGGCTGACTCACATACCATACTCATTGCTGTTTCGGAAGAACAGGAAATGAGAGGTCGGACCTTATCATTTCCTGAGGTTCCCCCAGCTCTAAGCCAAGAACTCACTGGAGTTGAAGATGCCTCAACATGCCCAGGGGCAAGGAGTCAATAATCAAGCTCACTTTTTTTGGTGGGGGTGGTATGGCGCTCTCCATCTTAAGTGGATTTTATTTTGAGGGATGAGATGGAAGGCAGAAAGACACTTGCTCTCCTTTCCTTTCCTCTCTCCCTTCCTTTCCTCTCTCCCTTTCATCTCTCCCTTCCTTTCCTCTCTCCCTTCCTTTCCTCTCTGTCTTCCTTTCCTCTCTCCCTTCCTTTCCTCTCTGTCTTCCTTTCCTCTCTCCCTTCCTTTCCTCTCTCCCTTCCTTTCCTCTCTTTCTTACTTTCCTCTCTCTCTTCCTTTCTTTTCTTTTGAAATGGGGTCTCACTGTGTTGCCCAGGCTGGTCTCAAACTCCTGGCCTCAAGCAATCCTCCTGCCTCAGCCTCCCAAAGGGCTGGGATTACAGGTGTGAGCCACTGTGCCCGCCCCATGATTTTTCTTAGGGAGGAATTAGTCCCTGTCTGGACAGAGGCTAGATTTTTGTCTCTAAGGTGCCCTCATTTTCAAACTGTTCTTGCAGCCTCTCACTCCCGAGGGGCATCTCTGTCCAGGATCAAGCCCTCCCCCAGCCCATAGGCAGCAGCAGTCCCCCCTGGCCTGGCCCCTCGGCCCTCACCTTGTTGTACAGCTTCCACCAGCCCCAGAAACGGAGCTGCAGGAACTTGTGCACGTTCTGCTGAATGACTTTCAGGCCCATTCTGCGAAAAGAATCCAGGGTTGAGTGGGTTACAATGAAGGTGTTAGGACCTGGCTTCCCTGGGGAAGGGGTGGGGCCTGGGAATAGAAGCCAGCAGATCTACCTTGTTCAGACACCAAAGTGCCTTCTCGAGACCCAGCATTGCCCATGTGGTCTGCGGCAGGGAGACTCACGTTGGGGTCAGAGCTTAGCAGCACGATAAGGGAGCTGAGGTGAAACCTGATGGAACCAGGTCCCTCCCAGATGGCACAAGGCTGAGACATACCAGTCATTGACTCCTGCATTTTCCCTCCTCCACCAGAAATCACCCATTAGTCTCCAAATCCCATGGATCTGCAAAGTTGCTGGAATCTGCCCGTTTCTTGTTCCCTGCAGCTTCACTCAACTGCCATTTATTGAGGACCTCCTGTGCACCAAGGCCCTGGGCTGAATCAGGCCAAGATCCCTCACATCAGCCCCTAACTGGTATCCCTGCCTTCAGTCCAGGGCTGCAGGTGGCCTGCTGATGGGAACAGGAATTCATTACTAATTCTATGACCACAAAGAAATAGAGTGAATCACAGGTCATCTGGGATGGACCTACCTTTTTTTTTTTTGAGACAGGGTCTCACTCTGTTGCCCAGGCTAGAGTGCAATGGTGCAATTATGGCTCACTGGAACTTTGTACTCCCTGGCTCAAGCAATCCTCCTGCCTCAGCCTCCAAAGTAGCTGGGACTACAGGCATGCACCACCACCTGCGAATTTTTTGTTTCTGTTTTTTTTTGTAGAGATGGGGTCTCCCTATCTCCTGTTGCCCAGGCTGGTCTCAAACTCCTGAGCTCAAGTGATCTCCCACCTTGGCTTCTCAAAGTGCTGGGATTACAGGTATGGGCTACCACACCTGGCCAGACCCAGCCCTTTAAAAATTACCAGGTTAGGGAGATGGCTGAAAAACATGGTTCCAAGGGCAGGGATGTGGAGTGAGAATTGCTGAGTTCTAATCCTGGCTCTGCATGAACCTGCCCCAGTTCCTTAACCTCTCAGACCTCAGTTTCCACATCTGTAAAGTGGGGGTGCTGGCCCTACCATGCCCCTCTCATAGCATCATTATGTGAATCAAGTAAGAGGAAGGCTGTGACATGACTTGAAACTATAAAGAGAGGGTTTATATTAGTTGTTTCCTGTTAGGGGTTAAGCTGTGTCCTCCGAAAGGATACGTTGAAGTCCTAACACCCAATACCTAGGAAGGGAACCTTGTTTGGGAATAGGGTCTCAGCAAATGTAACTAGTTAAGATGAGGTGGTCATACTGGAGTAAGGTGGACCCTAATTCAATGACTGGTGTCCATATAAAAAGAGGGAAGATGGGCTGGGCGCAGTGGCTCACGCCTGTAATCCTAACACTTTGAGAAGTTGAGGCAGGTGGATTGCTTGAGCCCAGGAGTTTGAAATGAGCCTAGGCAACATAGGGAGACCTTGTCTCTACCAAAAAAAAAATTAGCCAGGTGTGGTACAGTGCACCTGTAGTCCTAGCTACTCAGGAGGCTGAGGTGGGAGTATCACTCAAGCCCAAGAGGTTGAGGCTGCAGTGAGCTATGATCGCACCACTGTACTCCAGCCTGGGCTACAGAGCAAGACCCCATCCCCCACTCAAAAATAAAATTTAAGGCGATGGATATCCCAGTTATCCTGATTTTATTATATGAATGTATCAAGTTATCACATAAAACCTAAAATATGCATAGCTATTAGGTATCAGTAAAAAAATTTTTAAAAATTCCTGTTGTTTGAAGCCACCCAGTGTGTGAACTTGGTTGCGGCAGCTCTGAGAGACAGGGTTCTTTTTATTTTTTTGAGACGGAGTTTTGCTTCTGTCGCCCAGGCTGGAGTGCAATGGCACGATCTCAGCTCACTGCAACCTCCGCCTCCCGGATTCAAGCGATTCTCCTGCCTCAACCTCCCCAGTAGCTGGGATTATAGGTGCCCACCACCACGCCCAGCTAATTTTTGTATTTTTTGTAGAGATGGGGTTTCACCATGTTGGCCAGGCTGGTCTTGAACTCCCGACCTCAGGCAATCCGCCCGCCTCAGCCTCCCAAAGTGCTGGGATTACAGGCATGAGCCACCGCACCTGGCCAGCCACACAGGGTTCTTTGTGCCAGCAAGACATTGGCATCCACCCCTGGCCCACCACGCAGCATGGCCAGTGGAGCTGGCCCTGAGTGCGTGTGGCTCCTCTGGGCCTTCCTGTCGGTGTTTGTGAGTGCTACCTTCGTTCCAGCATCTTCTTGAACTCCACCCTCATGAGGAAGCCCCGAAGCCGACACTGCAGCATCGTCATGATCTTGGCCAGACGCTCGTCCCTCATGTCCTCAAGCCTGGCCAGGATGCCCGCACGGAAGAACACCTGGGGAAAGACCGCACGCCTTTGAAAAAGCCCGGCTGTCACCGATGGCAGCCACTTGGGGGAGTTTTAAATCAAAGAAGGGTTTTTGTTTGTTTGTTTTGCTGGAGTGCAGTGGCGCGATTACGGATCACTGCAGCCTCAACCTCCCGAGCTTAAGCAATCCTCCCATCTCAGTCTCCCAAGTAGCTGAGACTACAGGCACATGCCACCATGCCTGGCTAAATTTATTATTATTATTGTAGAGATAGGGTCTCACTATGTTATCCAGGCTGAGCCTCCCAAAGTGCTTGGGATTACAGGCATGTGCCACCATGTCCAGCTAATTAAAAAAATTTTTTTCGGCTGGGCGCAGTGGCTCATGCCTGTAATCCCAGCACTTTGGGAGGCCGAGGTGGGTGGATCATGAGGTCAGGAGATCGAGACCATCCTGGCTAACATGGTGAAACCCCATATCTACTAAAAATACAAAAAGCCGGGCGTGGTGGCGGGCGCCTGTAGTCCTAGCTACTCAGGAGGCTGAGGCAGGAGAATGGCGTGAACCCGGGAGGCGGAGCTTGTAGTGAGCCGAGATCACGCCACTGCACTCCAGCCTGGGCAACAGAGCAAGACAGTCTCAAAAAAAAAAAAAAAAAATTTTTTTTTCTGAGATGAGGTCTGGTTATGTTGCCCATAACCAAGGCTGGCCTTGAACTACTGGACTCAAGTGATCTTCCTATCTCAGCCTCCCAAAATGCAGGAATTATAGGCATGAGCCACCATGCCCTGCCTGTTGATGTTTTAAAAATCCCCCCAGGCCAGGCACGATGGCTCACACCTGTAATCCCAGTGCCTTGGGAGGCTGAGACGGGCAGATCAGGAGTTCAAGACCAGCCTGGCCAACGTGGTGAAACCCCGTCTTTATTAAAAATACAAAAAATTAGCCAGGCATGCTGGCAGGTGCCTGTAATCCCAGTTACTCGGGAGGCTGAGGCAGGAGAATCGCTTAAACCCGGGAGGCGGAGGTTGCAGTGAGCCAAGACAGTGCCACTGCACTCCAGCCTGGGTAACAGAGTGAGACTCCGTCTCAAAAAAAAAAAAAAAAAAAAAAAAAAGTGTCCCCAGATGAGTCTAATGTATAGCCAAGGTTGAGAACTTTGTTCTAGAGAAATTCCTGCACAGGACCATGAGCAAGGATGTTCACAGCAGCACTGCAGTACAGTGTGGCAGTGACAATGTCACGTACCAATGAGGATGAAGCTTAGAAACATGGCAAAGCGATAAAAGCACGTCATGGAGGAATGTCACGGAAGGGTGTGTCAAGTATGATACTTCCATGAAGCTCAAAACCAAGCACGACCTGCAGGCATATGTGCTAAAGCTATTTTTGAAAGGTAAGGAAATAAGCCAGGTGGTGTGGCTTATGCCTGTAATCCCAACACTTTGGGAGGCCGAGGTGGGAGGATCACTTGAGCCCAGGAGTTGGAGAACAGCCTTGGCAACATATTGAGACCCCATCTCTATAAAAAATACAAAAATTAGCCAGATGTGGAGGTGTGCACCTGTAGTCCCAGCTACTCGAGAGGCTGAGGTGGGAGAACCGCTTGAGCCCAACAGTTTGAAGCCACAGTGAGCTGTGATCGTGTCACTGCACTCCAGCCTGGGCGACAGAGCAAGACCATGTCTCTTAAGAAAAAAAAAAAAAAAGAGAATGGTTCATGTCAAAATTCAAGACAGGGTTACTCCTGGGGGTAGGGAGGGGATGGGAGAGGAAAGACATGAAAGGTTGACATTCTGGGCTTTTCAGTGGGTTCACAGGGTGCTGGCTTTATTATTATGTTTCATAATGTAACACCTTTTTACAGGCTTCAAATAGGACATAATAGAAACTTTTAGAAGGATAGAAGGTGCCAGGAGACCTGCATTCTGGCCTCAGCCTTCCTTGGATGTGCTGTGTGTCTGACTGTGGTTAAGTCACTGTCCCTTTGGGGGACCTAGGCTTCCCCTCCTGTCCGGACAGAATGCTGCCTGCAGGGCCCCTGGGACCTCTGAGCTGCGGGAACCCAAAATGCCACACGGGGCCAGGGAGTACAGCACCTAACTGAGCCACTGTGGGCAAAAGATGAGGAAGAATGCTCCCTGCCCCTCAAAAGGACCCCCGAGGAGCTAGACATCGCAAGGTAGAGAAATCAGGCTTGATGTCATAAAACATTTCCTGATATTTCAAAATTAATTGGCG
Organism: Homo sapiens; assembly: GCF_000001405.40. Lineage (NCBI taxonomy): Eukaryota > Metazoa > Chordata > Mammalia > Primates > Hominidae > Homo > Homo sapiens. The sequence continues at coordinate 99,268,741 of NC_000007.14, read as the reverse complement.
TTGAGGTTTAGTCTTTGAAACAAGCATGTGGCTGGGGGTGGGGCCCACCTGAGCCAACTCCAAACATAGGAACACCATTTGCAGTCAGAACCATCCTGTTCTTTGTTCTCCTCCTGCTGCCAGTCTGCCTAGTCCTCAGGGAGCAAAACTGTCCCCAGCAGCCCTGGGCCTTCCCCTGGAACTGACGTGCCTAATGCAACCCTTGTACAACAGCAAGATGCAGTCTGTTTGGCCAGGTGGTAAACGGACAAGATTCTGAGCTGTGCCAGATTCTGAGATACCAGCTCCGGCTTTCCCGGCCACACGACCGCCACTGGTGGGCCTTATGCCGACTAGCTCTGTCCCGCTTCGTTCTGTGAAGTTGGGCATGCCACCTCCACCCCCTCTCCAGGCTTTCTTAAGTTTCCCATCTGTCAAGGGTGGGTAGGGAAAGGAGGGGCCCGTTGGTTTCTAAGATTCTTTCCAGCTCAATTATTCCATGATCCTGTCTCCAAACCTCAAGTGTCCCCCGCAAGTCAATCTAGCTATTTACAGCACATCTTAATTGTGAAGGATGCCAAAACAAACAGTTCCAGCAGGTTCTAGGGCAGTGTTACAATTCCACACACACAGAGTATTATAAAGCAAGCTCCAGGGAGTGAGGGACTCATTCTGTTCTCTTCACTGTGTGTCCCTAGAGCCTGGAACCATGCCTGGCACACAGTAGGCGCACCATAAGTGTTTGCTGAGTGACCAGATGCATTAGAGGCACAGGCATGCTGGAAGCTTCCATGCCAAGCCTGCGTCATGCGTGAGAACTTGGAGAGAGAAATGATCTGCTCCAGGCGGCACAGAGGCAGGCTTTGAGCTGACTCTCCTGACTGCAAAGCCTGTGAACCTCCTGTGTCACGGGGCGATCATGTTGGGGTGCAGTTTGTTGTGGGGGGCAGGGCGGCTATAGAAGGACACCTGGCACCACTGGCCTGGCTAGCCTTTACAACCCCACCAGGATGCTGCAGGGCCAGGAAATGGGATAGACCCAGGGCAACTCGGGCCCCATGAGTCAGGAGCAGGAGGTTGCTCTGTCTGAGTCAGTCCCATCTCAGCCGCTGGCTCAGAGCTGGGCTTACAGTGCTTCATTGTCCAGGCTCTGCCCAAGCAAACTTCCCCACGGGCCAGATCCATGACCTTGATTCTCATTGGCCCTTTTTATTCTTGGACACTCAGGGCTCAGGCCAGGTGTGGTGGCTTATGCCTGTAATCCCAGCACTTTGGGAGGCCGAGGCAGGTGGATTGCTTGAGCCCAGGAGTTTGAGACTAGCCTGGGCAACAGAGTGAGACCCCATCTCTACAAATAATTTAAAAAATTAGCTGGGTGTGATGGTGTATGCCTTAAGTCCCAGCTACTTGGGAGGCTGAGGCAGGAGGATCACTTGAGCCTGGGAGTTCCAGGTTGTAGTGAGCTGTGATTGCACCACTGCACTCCAGGAAGACCCTGTCTCAAACAAAACAAAACAAAACGTAGGGTTCTAAGAAATATTCTACCATTGATTGAGTTCCCCTCTGAGCTGAGCTGAGTTCTATGCGTGTTGCCTCTAATCTCCCCAAATTCTATGAGACTGGCATGACCAATCTTGATTTTTCAGGAAACTGAGGCTCTCAGCAGCTGGCAGACTTGCCCGAAGTAGGCCATTGGTCAGTGGTCAGGTGGAATCCACACCCCAAAGCCCACCTTCTTGGAAAAAGGCTGAGGGGGTGTGTAGGGGGAGACCGCCCACCATACCCTACCTTGGTGTGTCCAATTTTGTATTCATTCACATCTAGGTCAATGGCTGCAAGCAGCAGCTCTGAGGCCTTTTTGTTGTCCACGAACCCCTGGGGAATCACGTTGGGGTTCAGCACTTGGTACCTGGCAGGAGAGAGATGATTGACAGTCATCACTGTGCCCAAGCTGACAGCACATAAAACATGTTCATGCGGTTATCCGCTGGTCTTTGAGATGGACTTTGGACAGAGATTAGACTTGTTTGACAGATGCCCCTGGGAGGCAGAGAGATGAGATCAATAGGAGGCTTTGGAATAAGGGCTACAGCTTGGGAGTGGACATTGGTGTGGGTTGGGGGTACAGGGAGGAGCTGTTTCTAGAAATGAAGACACCAAAATCCCTTCCTGATAGAGCTTGGAGTTGAGAAAAGGGCATTGATCCAGACATCAGCAAACAGGTTTTTTATCATGACCTGGGAGCAGCCCCCTTTGTGATCTTGGACACACAAGTCCCCAACTGGGGACTTCAGAGGGGCTTGGATAAGGTGACCTCTAGTGACCTTTCCTGATCCATCAATCTGTGGCCCTATGTTCTAGGAAGTTGGAGGAGGTAGAAGATCATCTCTAAGGTGGGGGTATTAGTTACCCCAGTGTTCGTCCAGAAGCAGACCCTGAGATAAGAATTCAAGTGCAAGTAGTTTATCTGGGAGGTGGCAGAGTGGGGAATGGGAAGAAAGCCAATAAAAGGCACGTTATGGGGGCAGTTAGTGCAACAGGCAACTGGAGCTTAATGCTGCTGGGATCACTGGGAGCCACAGTGGGAGTATTTACATCATGGAAATGGGCAGACACTAGCAATCGGGGTTTTTTTTGGACCAGAAGAGCTCTTGTTTAACATTTACCAACACACTGCTGTCTGAGCGCATGTCTGGAAAATGTCTCAGATTTAGCCACCAGAAGGGTGAGGGAGCTGAGGTATTTATACACCAGCTCTCCTCAGTCACTGATTGAGGGCTCCTTCCAGGGAGGCATTAATTCCCAGGACTTTCAGCTTGCCAAGAAAGGGCAAAGCAGCATCCAGCAGCTGAGAAATGCAGGGGCTGGCAGTTGAAATTTGGGCAAGTGTCTATGGCCATACCACCCTGAACATGCCCAATCTCTTCTGAAATTTGGGCCAGTGTGTACTAAGGTAGTGACTGATGGTGAGGTGGTATTGGCAGAGCACCATAATATCTGCTGCAGTGGGATGTGACTTATCAGCTGGTCAACTCCTGGGCATCTGAGCCTTGCACCCAGGGAGACATCACTCACCTCTGTTTGAACTCCGGGTACTGCAGCCTGTTTGGGAAGCCCTTCCTGCAGATACGGATGCCTTCCAGGACACCATTGCAAGCTAGCTGGTGCATGATCAGGTGGGCGTCTATCACACCTGCCAAGGGGGAGGGTGCAGGATGGAGAGTCCCTCCTCTGGGGTGGGACAGGCCAGTCCTGGCCACTCAAGGAGGCTGAACTGAGCATCTGTGCCATCATCCCCAGTCTTCTCCTGTCACTGTCCCAGAGGCCCCAGGTCCCCCACCATTTGGCCAATGCCCAAAAGCTCCCAAGTTTGATTTCTGCCTGGCTGGGCACCATTCTGCTTTATAAAGCAGCTAGAATATGATTCTTGGATGACCCATTGTTGAGGTTTCTCTCAGAGCCTTGTTTTGCCCCCATCAGCCTTGGTGATGAAAGGTGGACTTAATTTGGAATGAACACTAACTTCACAGAACCTCAGGACTTCCAGCAGGGAGCCGTGACCCCACAACATACCCGATTGCTTAAACTCATTGGGGATAATACAGCGGACAAAATGGGGTGCGGCTATGGAGGGTGGTCATCAGCTTGTTCAGCTGCTCCTGGGGTTGGAGGACAAAGAACAAGTGAGTGAAACTTTGCATTGATGTTGCAGGACACCCACATGCAGGAGAGGTATTTGTTTAAAGTTTATTCACTTAAAACTGAATTAAAACTCAGCCACATGTGGTTAGCGGCTACCGTATTGGGCAGTGCAGAAGAGAACGTTTCATCATTGCAGAAAGTGCCATTGGGCAGCACTGCTCTCAAGGTCCAATGACTTGCTCAAGGGGCCGTGGTTTGCAAGAAGTGGGGCCCCTCCAGATTCAGAGCTGGGTCGTTGTAGAATCTCAGTACTAGGAGGAACCATAGGGTCTGTGTGGGCAAAGCCCTGTCCACTGTTAGCTTCCCTAATGGATGCTCCCTCCTCCTCTGCTTGGATATCTCCAATGAGGTGACCCACTCTGCCTTGGGACAGCCTGATTCTTGAAAAGTGTTGACATCTTCCTTTGTGCAACATCTCCTTGTAGACTGCACTTTGGAAGGTAATGCCCAAACTTCATGGAAGTTGTGGCCAGCCCAAGACCTGCCAGCCAACTCTAGGACACAAGCTCTTGGGCATTGCTATCTCGCGTGATCACGCTGCACAAATCCCTTTACTCTCCAGGTTTAAATCCAAAAATGGGTCTCTTCTGCCCAATGATCCTATGATTCTGTGGCCTCTTCAGAAGGAAACAGACCCCTCCAGGTAAAGAGGCGATCATAGACAGAAAAATGAAATCATCCTGCCCCTGGCCATGAAGCAGCAGCCAGACTACCCAACATTGAAAGGGAGGGTTGGGGGCACCCCTGCTCACCCTGTAGAAATTGGAGACTGTCATGAAGGAGGAGCCTCTCTTCTGCTTCTTGCTTCCGGCTGAGGAAGGGACAAGCACGTTTCACATCAGTACCCAGTATGGAGAAAGGCAGCCCCATTAAGCACTCTGCAGCAAAGCACACACATTCTTTGGATTTAAAAAGGCTTATCTTAGGGCTGGATAAGGGGGACCCTCATGTGAGGAAAATGAGATCTACCGGGGAGTGATCAAACGGGCTGGCTACAGCGTAATTCTCAAAAGAGTTGCTGTGCTCCTTGGGAGGGTGCAGTCTTTTGTGATTTCTGATGCAAGGTGACAAACTGCTCCCATTTTCTGGGGAGGAAGAAGCACCCATAGACCATGGGAGAAGGTGCACTTTGGTGGTGAGACCAGGGAGACTGGTGTTTCTGGCCCCACTAATTGGCAACCCTATGGGGCAGCATCCACCAGAGCATTCCTCTATGAGCCACATGACCTCTATTGGAAGAGAGGCAGGACTGAGCTTGGCATTTGCTTCTGACAAGAGAGAGGGAAACAGAAAAGAAACATAGAACATCTGGGTGTCAACTTTTCCAAAGCAGTATCCATCCACCTAGAGGCAAGATGTGCCCAGCAATCAGTTCAATCATTGGAAGCTCCCATGTTGCCTCTGCTTGCCTCTTTTGCAGTATCATCCATGGCCTATCTCAAGCCACTTTTCATTCATTCATTCATCCATCGGTTCACTCACTTACTCACTCACTTATTCCACAAGAGTTGAATCAAAGAGTTTTGGTTTCTTCTTTCCATTTTGGCCACTAAAGGGCATCAGCACAGGGATACTGGACACAACAAGGGGTCAGCCCTACCTGGAGCCTCCTCTTCTTTGAAGAGAAGGGCCAGGATTGCCACACTCGATTTCTGGAACAAGCCCACCACTGTTTCATTCAGGGGGTCTTTGTTCTTCTCCAGCCAGCCTGTGATGTTATATCCCACCTGGAGAGGGCAAACGCCAGTGGGTAACTTTGAGGTTCAGCCTCTCCCTTTCAGGTGCCACAGCTAGAGCCCCTCCTACAGCTCTCTCCTGTTCTCAGCTCCCAGGACCAACTTTCACCCCCACATCCTGGGGCTCCAGTTCTTGTCCTCATGACTCTCCTGGTGTCCTGGGATGCCCCTGAAGCCCCATCTGAGTTGGAGGCTCCATCATCTGCCTTCTTGGGCATTTGCAGTTTGCCCATCTAGGATACGCCAACTCTGAGCTTTGCACATAAACCCAGACTCCCCTGCTACTCTCTCCTGGGCTGTGTGACCTTCTCTTGCACAGCTTACTCTGCTGGCCACGCTGACCCTCCCTGACCCTTGGGTCTTCTTCTGCCCAGTGGTTTGCTGTCTGTGACTGACCGTGGCTGTAGAATCCCGAGCTACGTGAAGAAATCTCTTTGCTGGGAAGCATGCAGCCCCTCTTGAAACACTGTAGGGTCTCTCCTTGCTAGGGGAGCATGCACACTGTCTTACATCACTGTAGGGTCATTGGCTGATGGAAAGGGGGCTCCATCCATCCAGCACTGGGGGCTCCATATATCCAGGTATTTGGACATCCACTAATTTCTGCTTCCCATCTTGCCACATGGTCCCCATGGCAAGGGTAAGGAGGAAGGAGTCTTTCAGGTCCCTCCACTGAGCACAGAGAAGTGAGGTAAGTAGAGGAGATGCCAGAACTTCTGGGTTTGCCATCTCCTGTGCAGCACAAAGACATTTGTCATCTCTGCCTTATTTTAGGGCCTTCTTGGAAATGCACAGGTGCCACTTGACTTTGAATATTCCATTGCTATAAATAAGGAACTCTTCTCAGTTCAGTGTGGGAAGAGGGGATGGAGAGCTGCAATTTGGTCCCAAGCCTGCTGTTTGCTCCAAGTATCGGCCACATCCATTTTACAAGCAATTGGCATTATGGTTATGGTTGATGGTATCATAAAGCCTTGGCCCTGATGCCCAATGCCATCATGACTTTCCTGACAGCTCTGTCTTAAGGCTGCTGTTTCATGGCAGTCAAACCCACAGAGGCTCAGCAACCTCCATTGGTAACAGGAGCATTGGCACTTACAGCGATAATAAAATCCCAAGGAAACAAAATGCATTCTTATAAGCTGGCAGGATGAACGTCACCTCCCCTATTAATTATGCAAATGCAACCTGAGTCCTGGCTGCACTTAATTTCCCCACTTCCCAAGGACTAAGTTTGTCATGAGTGAAAAAGCCACTTTATATATGTCACCTTGTTGGTTTGGTGGCTATGAGCTGTCAGAGAGCCAGGTTATCAGTTGGGAGTAATTAATGGGCTCGTGGAATTTTTGTTGTTTGTTCTTTTTTGTTCTTTTCGCAAATGTTGTCATTTCTGGCCAAGACTGAAGTTCAGCTGTCAAACCAAGGGCCCAGACAGGTCTGATGGGCCTGGGCAGGGTGTGGCCTGGACAGGTCTGATGGCTGTTCCCTAATGGATATTTCCCTTGGAGAAGTGATGAGGAAGTGTGAGCGGAGCTCACTTCAATTGGCTGATTACCCTGTTATACCATGGTTGTGCACTAGTGGAAGCGGGACGTCTCTGGAGGGGTGTGTCAGCATGTACCTACAACAGCGGCAGTGATGGCAGCCAGCTGGGACCTGAAACACAGAGGGACCCTGAGGCCAGTACTCACGGTGCCTGCGTAGTGAACCAGCTCGAAGTGGACCTCGGGCCCCTTGCTCTTGCCCCCCTTGGGCTTCAGGAAGTTGCTGGACTTGCCCAGGTGGTTGTCGTACAGGGCTGCCTTGAACGTGGCATCGGTGGCTTTGGGGAAGACGCACTGTTCCTCCAAGATGGAGAAGATGCCCATGGGCTGGGAAGGAAGAGAACAGGGTGATGTTAGAGGAGGTGGCAGGACCCAAAAGAGGACAAACTGGTACTGAGCCCAGGGCCAGTGTAGAGATGCACCAGACACCCACGTGGGCATCCAGGAAGCAGGACTCTGTGCAGTGACATCTGGGAACAGTGCCTGGTGCTCCATGACCTTGTCATCAAACACCATGGCCATTAAGACTTGAAAGAGGCTGAAATCATCGAGTCCAACAGAAGGGAAGACTGAGATCTGAAGGGGCCAGATAGCTCCCCAAATGCTAATCCCACCTAAACAGTGGCCCCTGGCAAGCTTGGCCTTCTGAAAAATGGGGAAGTCAATGCCACCTGTGCTCTCTGCTTTTTTTTTTTAATTTAATTTATTTATTTTGAGACAGAGTCTCGCTCTGTCGCCCAGGCTGGAGTGCAGTGGCACAATCTCGGCTCACTGCAACCTCCGCCTTCCATGTTCAAGTGATTCTCCTCCCTCAGCCTCCTGAGTAGCTGGGATTACAGGTGCCCGCCACCACACCTGGCTAATTTTTGTATTAGAGATGAGGTTTCACCATGTTGGCCAGGCTGGTCTCAAAACTCCTGACCTCAGGTGATCCACCCACCTCAGCCTCCCAAATTGCTGGGATTACAGGTGTGAACCACCATGCCTGGCCACAACACACATTCTTGAAGGGGACCATTTGCTAAAACCTTCCATGTGGATGTGGTTATAGGTAAAACTATTATATTGCCTGGGTCAGAGCGTGACTCTGCCACTCACAGGTTGTGGGACATTGGACAAGGAAGTTCCCTTCTCTGTGCCTCAATGTTCCCATCTCTGTGCCTCAATGTTCCCATCTGTGAAATGGGTGTAATAAAAGTATCCCCTCCCCCACATGCAGTAGGTTGTGATGATCCAATGAATGGTGGCATGCAATAGCCCAACAAACAGTAGTCATTGCAGTCACTTCAGTACCCATTTTGCAGATAGGGAGCTAGAGGTCATACCAAGGAAGGTCACTGGTGGTGTCACTGACTCCCCTGAAGCCAAGTGCCACCTCCCTGCATGTGCCAGTGACATCCCTTGGCCCTGGCCTCTCTCCAATCCCTCCTTTGAGAAGCAAGTCACCTTTTCCAGCAGGTCGATGCAGGCCTGAAGGTCGAGGCCAAAGTCGATGAAGACCCACTCGATGCCTTCCCTCTTGTACTCCTCCTGCTCCAGCACGAACATGTGGTGGTTGAAGAACTGCTGCAGCTTCTCGTTGGTGAAGTTGATGCATAGCTGCTCAAAGCTGTTGAACTGTGGCGGCAGGAGGGCAGAAAGAGGGGCGTCAGCACAGGCACAGAGAGCCTCTCCCAGGATTGAATGAAGCGACCACAAGCAAAGCAAAACTTTGCAGAGGGCCCACTAGTGTCAGGCACTGCCCTAAGTGCCTAACACTGGCCATTCAGCACCCTATGAGAAGTAGCTCTCTGTTCCCTCCCCTACAGAGGCAGAGGCACAAAGTGGTTTAACACATGCCTCGGGCCACACAGTATGATGTTCAGACCCAAAGTCCAGGCAACCAGACTTCAGCCCTGTATGGTAAACAGAAATATATATATATATATATACACATACATACATATATATATAATATATACACATACATACATATATATAATATATACATACAATATACGTGTATATATGTATATATAATATGTATGTATATATGTATAATATATATATACACACACACACACATATATATATATACACACACATATATATTAAAGAGATGAGGTCTCCAGCCTGGTCATCATGGTAAAACCCCATCTCTACTAAAAATACAAAATTAGCCAAGCGTGGTGGCGCACGCCTGTAATCCCAGCTACTTGGGAGGCTGAGGCAGGAGAATCACTTGAACCCTGGAGGCGGAGGTTGCAGTGGGCTGAGATGGCACCATTGTACTCCAGCCTGGGGAAAAAGTGTGAAACTCTGTCTCAAAAAAAATAAATAAACAAAAATAAAAAAAGATGAGGTCTCACCCTGTTGCCCAGGCTAGTCTCAAACTCCTGGGCACAAGTGATCCCCCCACCTTTGCCTCCCAAAGTGCTGGGATTACAGGCATAAGCCACTGCATGCGGCCCCAGCCTGAACAGAAATCATTGAAGAAATAACCATTTTCTTTCCAGGGATGGAAATCACTCGAAATGCTCTATGGATCTGACCCCCGTATGCCTGAGGGCAGTTTGTCTCTTTCTCTGTAATTTTTCTCCTCATCTGTAAGATGAAGGAGTTTAAGGGGTGACATGGTTTGGCTGTATGTCCCCACCCAAATCTCATCTCCAATTGTAATCCCCACATTGGATCATAGGGTCAGATTTCCTTCATGCTGTTCTCATGATAGCAAGGGAGTTCACAGGAGATCTGATGGTTTAAAAGTATTTGGCACCTCCCCCCTTGCTCTCTTTCTCCTGCCACCATGTAAGATGTGCCCGCTTCCCCTTTGCCTTTCACCATGATCGTAAGTTTCCTGAGGCCTCCCCAGCCATGCAGAATTGTCAGTCAATTAAGCCTCTTTTCTTTATAAATTACCCAGTCTCAGGTAGTTTTTTATAGCAGTTTGAAAATGGACTAATACAAGGGGTTTACAAGCTTTTTTTTTTTAGTGGTGAGCTGATTGATCAGCTCTTCTTAAAACCAAACCCGATTTATAGTGTTTGCCAATGTCCATGGTGTAAATATTCAAGCCATGGCTAATTTCAAGCTATCAACATGATGTCAACTGGCTCACAAAATTCCTGAAAATTTCACAATCAGCTCTTGTTAGCCAGTACAGGCTGGCTTCAGCACACCACTCATCCCATCCTTAAAGTTCACACCATTCTTTATGACTTGGCACCATACAAATGAAGCTGGAAATTTCTGGAGTCCAAAAGTCAGAGATCCAGTGGCAAACCGAGATTGGTCTGCCCCAGGTCCAAGGTGAGAAACAAGAGAACTTTATAACTTATATAAGCAAAAAAGTAGCTTATATAAGGAGGACAGCCACCCCAAAGCAAAAACCAAATGCAAGGCCAGGCACACCTCAAAGATCTCAAAGCCAGCGATGTCCAGCACTCCAATGAAGAACTGCCTCTGCATCTTGGTGTCCAAGGTCTTGTTAATCCTGGCCACCAACCACTTGAACATCTTGTCATAGACAGCCTTGCCCAGAGCCCCAATGGAGTTTTGGCACTGTTCCATGTTCTGGCCTTTTTGCACAAACTCATTGCCAACTTTGACTCGGGGCCTGGTAATGCCTTTCTGCAGTTCACCAGAGTTGAGACCCATGAGATGGGCGACTTTGTCAGCCACTGAGTAGAGACAAAAAAGGCAGGTGAGTGCAAGGAAGATGTTGCCATGCCTGGGAGAAACCTGGCAACATCTATTGTGGTTCACGGAGCGGGTGAAAGGGAGGGTGGAGGAGATCCCATTTTGCCAATGAGAAAACAAAGATGTAGTTTCTACACTTGCTCAAGGTCAGGTGGCAGCTGGGCACAGTGGCTTATGCCTGCGATTCCAGCACTTTGGGAGGTTAAGGTAGGAGGATCACTTGAGGCCAGGAGTTTGAGACCAGCCTGGGCAACATAGCAAGACCCCGTTTCTACAAAAAATTAAAAAATTAGCCAGGCGTGGTGGCGTGCACTGTAGTCCCAGCTACTGAGAAGGTTTGAGGCAGGAGGATCATTTGAGCCTACAAGGTTGAGGCTGCAGTGAGCCATGATTGCATGACTGCACCACTGCGCTCCCACCTAGGCAACAAACCAAGACCCTGTCTCAAAAAATAAATACAAATGAAAACAACAACGACAACAAAAAGCCAAAATCATGTCTTGACTCAATTGTGCCTTTCTGAAAATATCAATGTCTGAACATGCATGGTTTGCAGCCACATAGACCTGGCATGTCCCTGAAATGGTCACAAAGCCCTGGAAAGCAGGGAACTCCCTGCACTGGCCACCTTGTCCCTGAGCAGCCCAAGCCCCAGCACCCACCCTCAGTGGTGTCCACTTCAGCTTGCTCGTCTCTGGGCTTCTGCTTGAACTTCATGTTCCCAAAGTGCATGATACCTCCCGTCAGCTTATACACGGCCATCTTCTCCTCGGCGCTGAAGCCCAGTACGTCAAAGGCTTCCTGCAAAGCAACAGAGACAAAGTCATGTGACTCCTGGCCTCTCATTCCACATAGTGGAGGCCATGGGACTGCCACACTGGGGCCATGCCGAAGGGCCACTGCGGCAGGGCATGGACGCTGGAGTTGGACACCCCCTGAACAGGGAGAGTTCTCCAAGGGGCCCAGATCAGATGTTCTGCAATATAGTCATTTCATTTATTTACAGTAACCTCTCTGGCTTCTGTTTCGTCATCTGCAAAATGATGATGATAAGGATAGATCAGAATGATGTGACAATGTTTAGTCCAGTGCTTGGCACATAGTAAGTGCTCAAGAAAGGGAGGTATTAGTATTGTTATTTTATTATTTTTTGAGATAGGGTCTTACTTTTTTGCCCAGGGTAGAGTGCAGTGGCACGATCATGGCTCACTGCAATCTAGAACTCCTGGGCTCAAGTGATCCTCCCACTTTAGCCTCCCAGGTACCTGGGATAACAGGTGCGTGCCACCACACCTGGCTAATTTTGTTTAATTAATTAATTTATTTATAGATGGAGTCCTCCCTCTGTCGCCCAGTCTGGAATGCAGTGGCACAATCTCCGCTCACTGCAACCTCCACCTCTTGGGTTCAAGTGATTCTCCTTCCTCAGCCTCCCAAGTAGCTGAGATTACAGGCATGCGCCACCATGCCTGGCTAATTTTTTGTATTTTTAGTACAGACGGGGTTTCACCATGTTGGTCAGGCTGGTCTTGAACTCCTGACCTCAAGTGATCCCCCTGCCTTGGCCTCCCAAAGTGCTGGGATTACAGCTGTGGGCTACCATGCCTGGCCAGTTATTTTATTTTATTTTTTTTGAGATAGGGTCTTACTTTGTTGCCCAGGCTAGAGTGCGGTGGCATGATCATGGCTGATTGTAGCCTAGAACTCCTGGGCTCAAGTGATCCTCCCACTTTAGCCTTCTGAGTAGCTGGTTATCATAACAGGTGCTTGCCATCACACCCAGCTAATTTTCAAATTTAAATTTTTTTTTTTTTTTTTTTTTTTTTTGCAGAGACGGGATCTTAGTATGTTGCCTAGGCTGGTCTCAAACTCCTGGACTCAAGCAATTCTCCTGCCTCAGCCTTCCAAAGCACTGGGATTACAGGTGTAAGCTACTGTGCCTGGCACTATTATTATTGTTAAGGCTTCATGCCAGGTACTAGGTGAGGGGAAGGCAAAGATAAATCAGGAATCGATTCTGTTGTCCAAGAGGAGAGAGAACCTAGTACACAAATAATCCTAACAGAAGTTGTGAGTGCTTAGTGTCATAAGAGGAGCCAGAGAGTGTGTTGGGGACTGGGAGAATGACAGAGTCACTTCTAGCTGGGCTGGGGAGGAGGAAAAGTTGCATGGGGTTGAAGGCCCCTGAAGTCCCCATGGAATTCTAGTTCGACTCTGCAAAGAGAAACTTGGCTTGCTAAAATGGGCTTGGAATAAAATGCTGATCGCAACCCCAGAAATCTCCAGGGAAGATCTGGGCAGCTGTCTGGCAGCTCTAAGTGGGCTCCTGTCCCCACTGCCACCCCAGTTCTAGTGGCCATGCATGCAGAGTCCCAAGGCTTCTTCCCGTCCTGTGCCAGCTCTGCCCGCCCACTCACATCTGTGATCTGCAGCTCCTCCTTGTCATCCATGTTGTCCACAGTGGTGACGCCTTGGCTCACCCAGTGGTATTCCTTAGGGTTGGGGACCAGCAGCAAACTCTCTGCCAAGAATAGCAAAGCAGGTTAACCCTTGGTGACATGTGGTTTTCTTCTCTGCCATCTCTAACCTCTCCTCCCTCCCTCCCTCCCTCCCTTCCTTCTTTCCTTCCTTCCTCTTTCTCTCTCTCTCTTTCTTTCAACAGGGTCTGGCTCTGTCACCCAGGCTGGAGTACGGTGGCACAATCATAGCTCACTGCAGCCTTGAACTCCTGGGCTTAAGTGATCTGCCTGCCTCAGCCTCCTGAGTAGCTGAGACCACAGGCACCACCACACCTGGCTAATTTTTGTTACTTATTTATTTTAAAAAAATTTTTTGAGACGGAGTCTTGCTCTGTCACCCAGGCTGGAGTGTGGTGGCGCAATCTCGGCCCACTGCAACCTCTGCCTCCTGGGTTCAAGCGATTCTTGCACCTCAGCCTCCTAAGTAGCTGGGATTACAGGTGCCCACCACCACACCTAGCTAATTTTTGTATTTTCAGTAGAGATGGGGTTTCGCCATGTTGGCCAGGCTGGTTTCGAACTCCTGACTTCAGATGATCTGCCTGCCTCGGCCTCCCAAAGTACTGGGATTACATGTGTGAGCCATTGCGCCCAGCCATTTTTTTAGTTTTTGTAGAGACAGGGTCTTGCTAAATTGCCCAGGCTGGTCTCAAACTCCTGGGCTCAAGCGATCCTCCTGCCTTTGCCTCCCAAAGTGCTGGGATTACAGATATGAGCCACTGCACCTGGCTGGAAATTGCATTTTTATGTGAAGTCTCCCAATTTCAAAATGTTGTTAATTTAAAAGTATACTTTGTCCAAACAAATAAAGCCCACCTGTGGGTGGGGAATGGTACTCAATGCCCTTATTTCTGGCTGGGTTAGGAGGTGTGTGTGTGTAAGACTGAGTCTTCATCCCTCCTCCCACTTTATGTCTGGGCAGGTCTGCCGTGGACAGTTGAGCATGTTGGTGCCTGCACAAGGGCATCCAGTTGAGTGGGTGAGTGTACTCCACTTTCTGAGCTGTGTGCCTGGTGTGGGCTGTGTCTACCAAGAGGAGAGCCTGCTGGGACTGCATGCAAGCACTGGCAGAGCTGATCATGGTCTTGGGCTGATCCCTGTGCTGGTGCCCGAGTATCAGACTCAGAGGCAGCAGGTGGCAGACATAAAGGGTTTAAAGCCTCACATCTCAGTTTTATATCCCAGATTTTGCAGGTACTCAAAGCTTCATCTGTGAAATGGGCCCACAGTGGTCCTCATCTGGCTACTATGAGGATGAGATGTGCAAATAGAACTTTGAGAAAGTTCCCTGTAACACATTCACATGAATTTTCTTTTCTTTTCTTTTTTTTTCTTCAGACAGAGTCTTGTTCTGTTGCCCAGGCTGCAGTGCAATGGAGTGATCTTGGCTCACTGCAACCTCCACCTCCCAGGTTCAACTGATTCTCCTGTGTCAGCCTCCCGAGTAGCTGGGATTACAGGCACCTGCCATCATGCCTGGCTAATTTTTTTGTATTTTGGAGAGACGGGGTTTCACCATGTTGGCCAGGCTGGTCCTGAACTCCTGACCTCAGGTGATCCACCTGCCTCTGCCTCCCAAAGTCCTGGGGTTACAGGCGTGAGCCACCGCACCCAGCCCGATTCACATCACTTTAAACTGAAGACATTATCACAGAACCCTAGGAGTGACATGAGACTCCTTGCACATGGGAAATCTTTGCTTATGGAAAAGAAGAAAAGCAAGGTCAGGGGCAGGTGGATAGACATAAAGGTCTTTACCAACAAGTTCAGGCTTCTTGTTTGAGAGAATCTGGTAGAAGATGTGGTAGCTTCTCTCGGCTGCTTGCTGTGAGATGACACGAGATTTCTCTAAGAGATCTGAAAAAGAAGTGAAGATCCTGGTGAGTACACAGCTGTTTCCCTGGAGTTCAGGGCTCCATACAAAGCAGGAATCTCCTCTCCATAAAGCCCAGAACAGTCACCAGTGGTGAGCCCCACGCTTCGCTCTTCCCAGACACGCAGCCTCCGGGGACCTGACTGCCACGGGGGGAGTCCTGGGAACGGGGCCAGCCTCCTGGGCACCAACAGGCTGCAATCAGAAGGACCTCCCACTTGGCTTGATGCTCCTCTGTTGCTGTTTCAAAATTCCTTTATTATTATTATTATTTTTAGAGACAGGGTCTTGCTGCGTTACCCAGGCTGGAGTGCAGTGGTGTGATTATTTATTTATTCATTTATTTTTATTTATTTATTTTTTTGAGATGGAGTCTTGCTCTGTTGCCCAGGCTGGAGTGCAATGGAGTGATCTCGGCTCACTGCAACCTCTGCCTCCCAGGTTCAAAGCAGGAATCCCCTCTCCATAAAGCCCAGAACAGTCACCAGTGGTGACTGTTCACTGCAGCCTCTAACTCCTGGGCTCAAGTGATCCTCTTGCCTTAGCCTCCTGAGTAGCTGGGACTACAGGCATGTACCACCATGCCAGGCTAATTTTTCACATTTTTTGTAGAGATGGGATCTTATTATGTTGCCCAGGCTGGTCTTGAACTCCTAGGCTCAAGCGACCCTCCCGCCTCGGCCTCCCAAAGTGCTAGAATTACAGGCATAAGCCACCTCGCCTGGCCTGAAATTCTTAATATTTTTTAAGAAGAGCCCCTCATTTTCATGTTGCACCAGGCCTCACAGATTATGTAGCTGCACAGACAAACCCTCCAAGGAGGGCCTGACTTACAGCTCTCTATGTCGGCTCCAGCCAGTTTCCCTGTGGTTCCAAAGTGGATTCGGATGAACTTGCCCTGAGCAGGGAAGAGAGGGGAGGGATCAGGAGGGAGGTCGTCCACAGCTTTAGACCAGTAAGTGGCCCAGAGTTGGCCAAGGGTTGCTGATCGGGGCCTGCGGGGATGTAACCGGGCTCTATTGGAGTATCGGATTTCCCACGAAGATAGAGAAACACACGGACAGGTCTCAGAGCTAAATCTAGGGTCTGTGGTTTGGGGCATTTGTAGGGGAGAGAAGTCCCAGCAGGAGGGCTGCTACCCTTTGGAATTCTGCATAGAGACCAGGCACCATGGGAATTTGGAGGACCTCCCATGCCTCTTTATCGGGAGCCTTCCATGTCATTCCTCTCTCTGGCTTGCATGGTACAGCCATCAATAAATTCTTCCGGAAACAGGACTCTCTATCTCTCTCTACCTCGGCTGCTCCTGGGCCTGTCTGTACTCACCTCTGCTCCTCCCCTCACCCCCCGCCAGCCCTGTTTTCCCAGGCTCTGTGCAAGCTCACTGGGCTCTGCCAATGGGAAGCCCGAGACCCGGGAGTGAGGGAGACGAGGCCAGGGCATTGCTCCTCTCAAGTTGGCGTCTCAGGTGGTGCTGGGTGCCTCTGTGACTACAGCTCCCGCCAGACAGCTGCACTGGTTTAAGAACCCACTAGGACCCTAGGACAGCACCTCTCTTATGTCCCTCCAGCCTGGAAGGAGGTTGCAGCTTCTCGCTGCTGTGAATCTGTCTCCCCAGGTGACCTCCCAGCCCCTCCACCATCACTGTTGCCAAGGTTCTGTATCAAAGCTGCTTGACTTAAATATTAATACTAAAGAGGGTTCTGTTTGCTGATTAGATGCTTTTTATCCCCCCTGAGATAGGGGGTCTTACTCTGTTGCCCAGGCTGGAGTGCAGTGGCATAATCTCAGCTCATTGCAACCTTGACTTCCTGGGCTCAGGTGATCCTCCCACCTTAGCCTCCTAAGTAGCTGGGACTACAGGCAGGCATGGCCATGCCCGGCTAATTTTTATTTTTTATAGAGATGGCGGGTGGTCTCGCTCTGTTGCCGAGGCTGGTCTCAAACTCCTGGGCTCAAGGGATCCTCCTGCCTTGGCTTCCCAAAGTGCTGGGATTACAGGAGTGTGCCACTGTGCCCAGCCTCCTTCTTTTATGCTAATGGAGATTTTCTTTTCTTTATTGAGAAATGTAACACTTGGGTACATCAAAGAAAACCAATTTCTGAGGGGGAAACAAATCAAAACAAAAAAAAGTTAACCCTGTCTGGGTCTCTGCAGAACCCAGAGAATGTTTTCGCACAATTGAAAAATTCTAGATGCTTCATAATTGATCTTTTGATACAAAATGACCTGTTAAATTTGCAATTTGTAGTTCTTGGTGTTGAGGCCAATTGGACTGGCTAGGAAGAGTCTTCAAACCTTGAGCTGAATTCCACGAGGGATTATTTGTCTTTTGAATTAGTTTTTCCTCGTTGCCAATTTGATTCTGATTGCTGTGCCTTCAACATCTCTGGGAAGGGGATGTCTTCACTTGTCCCACCCCTTTCACCTTAATTTAAACCAGCCTCCATTTCTTTACCTGGGGCGGGGTCGTGACCCCTGTCCCACCAGCCAGGGGGCCTCTCATGTGGTCCCCACACTTACGAAGCGAGAGGAGTTGTTGTTCCTGGTGGTCTTGGCGTTCCCAAAGGCCTCCAGCACAGGGTTTGCCTGGATGACTTGATCCTCCAGAGACCCCTGATGCAGAAAGAAACCCAAAGTCAGTTGACCAGTTGGCTGCTGCCTGGGAGCCCAGGGCTGAGGGACTGGGCTTGCAAATGACAGTGGCTCATGTGCTGGGAACCCAGGAGGAGAATGGCCTTGGGGTGGCCAGAAAATCAGGGCCAGAGGGGCTACATGTAGTAACCTGGGACGAGGGCCACTGCCTGAGTGTCTGTCCCTCTGTGGCTCCGTGACACTGGGAGGGGCACCTGGGGACACGGGCAGCCACTTGGACTTGATCCCTAGCTACTGTTTCCTCACTTTGCTGTTGGCAGAGAGCCCCCTGAGCAGTCTGAAACCCCTCCCTACACATCCCCCCACCCCTTTTTTGAGACAGTTTTGTTCTGTTGCCCAGGCTGGAGTGCAGTGGCACGATCTCGGCTTACTGCAGCCTCCAACTCCTGGGCTCAGGTGATCCTCCCACTTCAGCCCCCTGAGTAGCTGGGACTATAGGCACATGCCACCACTCCCAGCTAATTTTTAAAGTTTTTTGTAGAGATGGTGTCTTGCTATGTTGCCCAGGTTGGTCTTGAACTCAGGGACTCAAGCGACCCTCCCACCTCAGCCTCCCAGAGTACTGGGATTATAGGCATGAGCCACTGCGCCTGGCCGCTGTCAGCCTTTTAGAGCTGCCTTAGCTGGCTGCCCAGCTAAGGCTTTTTGTGCCCCTGGGGCAGCCAGGGCCTGCAGAGGCCACTTAACAGGCAGCAAACTTTCCTGTTTCTCCTCTGCCAAGAACAAGGGGCTCTGCTACCTGTCCTTCTGGAGGCAGACATGGCCTGGGGCAGCAGAACAAGTCCTCGGGGAGGAGACCTTGATCTATAGCCACCTTCTCCCTGTGTGACCCCACCCAAGTCACTTCTCTCTAAGCCTCAGTCTCTTCATCTGTAAAATGGCCCTAAGCTGTGAGCAGCTGTGAAGATTGAATGGGCACCACTGTGTGTGTCACAGAAGCCTGAAGACGGGAAATATGGGCCCACCCGGTCGGCTCTACCTTCTTATCTGTGGTCTGTTTGCCAGTTCCTCCAATGTTGGCAAAGTACTGGATGACCTTCTTCGTGTTCTCAGTCTTACCAGCACCAGATTCTCCGCTGCAGGTAGAAAAAAAGTGGACAGGAGAAGCAGGAAGAGGGGTGGTCAGCTGCAGAGAAAAGGAGCAAGACTAGCCTGGCCAACATGGTGAGACCCCGTTTCTACTAAAAATACAAAAATTAACCGGGCACAGTGGCTCATGCCTGTAATCCTAGCACTTTGGGAGGCCAAGGTGGGCGGATCACCTGAGGTCAGGAGTTCGAGACCAGCCTGGCCAACATGGTGAAGCCCCCGTCTCTATTAAAAATACAAAAAGTAGCCAGGCATGGTGGCATGTGCCTGTAATCCCAGCTACTCAGGAGGCTGAGGCAGCAGAATCGCTTGAACCCAGGAGGTGGAGGCTGCACTCCAGCCCGGGTGGCAGAGCAAGACTCCATCTCAAAAAAAAAAAAAAAAAAAAAAAAACAGCACTTTTCTTTTCTTTTTTTTTTTTTTTTTTGAGAGAGGGTCTTGCTCTGTCGTCCAGGCTGGAGTGCAGTGGTGTGATCATAGCTCACTGCAGCCTCAACCTCCTGGGCTCAAGCAATCTTCCTGCCTCAGCCTCCTGAGTAGCTGGGACTACAGGTGTGCACCACCATACCTGGCTAATTTTTTGTAGAGATGGGGTCTCACTATGTTGCCCAGGCTGGTCTCAAACTCCTGGGTTCCAGCGATCCTCCTGCCTCAGCCTCCCAAAGCCCTGGGATTACAGGTGTGAGCCACCACACCTGGCCTCAAAGGTACACACTTCTGTTCGCATTTTGCCCCCTAGCTAGGACAGACAGGCAGGTGGGGAGGTCCTGGGGACAGGGAGGCCACCCTGTCAGTTTAACAGGTGTAGCCTCACCCGCCCCAAAGCCCACTCACTGCCTGCAGAGTTCCAAACAAAGTCCCGCAATTAATTCTAAGAAGGCTTAATTGTATGTGTAAGACACAGGTCTAATTATATGTGTATAGACAGAGATGGAAGAGACACTTACGTGATTAGCATAGACTGATTCTCACGATCTGTAGGGAAGAAAACAAGAAACAGGAAGGTGTAATTAGGAACATTTAGAAACTAGGCATTCGACAATGCCCCAGCCAGTCAGCGCTTCCCCAAATTCCACCCGGCTTAGATCGTGGCCTTGGCTACACTTGGAGGCCAAAATTCAGGATCCTGTGGGATCTGTGGCCACGTGCCCATCCCTGCAGTGTACACCCTTGCAGAAAGGATCAGGAATTTATCAGCCACTCTTTCTACCAGCCCAGAGTGGCCATAAAGCTACCCAGTCCTAAGCAACATAAAGAGAAATGAGGACAAAAATCACAGAGGGCTGGACAGCATGACTCATGCCTGTAATCCCAGCATTTGGGGAAGCTGAGGCTGGAGCCCAGGAGTTTAAGACCTGCCTAGGCAAGATGGTGAAACCCTGTCTCCACAAAACATTAAGAAATTAGCTGGGCATAGTGACGCATTGCTATAGTCTCAGCTACTCAGGAAGCTGAAGCAGGAGGATTGCTTGGGCCTAGAAGTTCTAGACTGCGGTGAGCTAAGATTGCACCACTGCACTCCAGCCTGGGCAACAAAGAACCCATCTCTTAAAAAAAAAATCATGACTGGGCGCAGTGGCTCACGCCTGTAAAGCCAGCACTTTGGGAGGCCGAGATGGGTGGATCACCTGATGTCAGGAGTTCAGGACCAGCCTGGCCAACATGATGAAACCCCATCTCTACTAATAATACAAAAATTAGCTGGGTGTGGTGGCACATGCCTGTAATCCCAGCTACTTGGGAGGCTGAGGCAGGAGAATTGCCTGAACCTGGGAGGTGGAGGTTGCAGTGAGCTATTGCACCATTGCACTCCAGCTTGGATGACAAGAGCGAAACTCTATCTCAAAATAAAGAAAAAAATCACATAGAGGAATCACTATAACATGCAGCAAAGATCATAGAGGTAATGGTTAAGAGTACTGAGCTCTGAGCAAGTTACTTACCTACTTACCTTGGCATCCCACGGGTTTGTGAAACTTAAATGAGATAGGGTGTGAGGTAGGGCTGGTGCCTAGCAAGTGCCCAGCACACTCACTGAGCCCTGGCACCTGGTAGCAGCAGCTGCTGCTCAAAATTTAGCAAAGAACTTCAACTGGTAGTGCAGGGTCAGGGTTAGGATCGGGTATCACAAGGTCTTAATGCGTCTGGAGCCGCAATGGCAAAGGAAGGCTTGTCTCCCGCCACCCCTGCCCCAGCAGAGCCCACCCCGACGCACCCATAAGCATGTCGTGGTAGGCGTTGTCAGAGATGGAGAAGAGGTGAGGCGGCATCTCTGTGCGCTTCTTGCCCTTGTACATGTTAGCCACACGGGCCCCGTAGATGGGCAGCCACTTGTAGGGGTTGACCGTCACGCAGAACAAGCCCGAGTAGGTCTGGTGGGAGGGAGGGAAGATGGTCAGCTGATTTTTCCTCCTGGTACCCTCTTCCCCCAGCGGAGTTCCCTTCAGGCCCCAGCTTATCATAGAGCAAGCTGTGAAGAAGGCAAGCTTTCTGCCAGGTGTGGTGGTTTATGCCTGTAATCCCAACATTTTGGGAGACCGAGGCAGGTGGATCACCTGATGTCAGGAGTTGGAGACCAGCCTGACCAACATGGTGAAACCCTGTCTCTACCAAAAGGACGAAACAATTAGCTGGGCGTGGTGGTGCACGCCTATAATCCTAGCTACTTGGAAGGCTGAGGCAGGAGAATCGCTTGAACCTGGAAGGCAGAGGTTGCAGTGAGCCAAGATCGTGCCACTGTACTCCAGCCTGGGCAACAGAGTGAGACTCCGTCTCAAAAACAACAAAAACAACGAAACCCAGCCTTCTGGAGGCAAAATCTTATGACTATCTGAGTCTGTGTTCATTAAGCTAAATGAGGCTTCTCTTTAATATATATTTGTTTTTGTTTTCTTTTGGTTTAATTACAGACACTCCTCAACTTAGGATGGGGTCACATCTAGATAAACCCATCATATGTTGAAAATATCGTATTGAAAGTCGATTTATGATATTTTCAACATACGATGGGTTTGATCATAAATCGAGGAGTGCATTGAATGTGTATTGCTTTTGCCCCATCGTAAAGTTGGAAATCATTAACTTGAACCATTGTAAGTTGGGGTCCATCTGGATTTGAATAGGTAACACTGTCACTGTGGTAACATATATACTGCAGAAGGTCCCTCCACTTGCTCCATGCCCACCCCCACCCTCACCACAGGTAAATGCTGGGCTAGTTTCTTTTACTCCCTTCCATGGTTTTTTTTATTTATATATATTTTGTGGATGGAGTCTCACTCTGTCACTCAGGCTGGAGTGCAATGGTGCCATCTGGGTTCACTGCAACCTCTGCCTCCCAGATTCAAGCAATTCTCCTGCCTCAGCCTCTTGAGTAGCTGAGACTACAGGTGCACGCCACCACGCCCGGCTAATTTTTGTATTTTTAGTAGAGATGGGGTTTCGCCATATTGGCCAGGCTGGTCACAAACTCCTGACCTCAAGGGATCCACCCACCTCAGCCTCCCAAAGTGCTGGGATCACAGGTGTGAGCCACTGCGCCCAGCCTATAGTACTGTTTTATATCTTGCTTTTGCCACTTAATATATCTGGCTTTCCTTGAGAGTCTATTGAGAATTTCTGGGGTGATTCAAAAGCTGTGGAATCTTCACTGTGTGGATGCAGTTCCCTGCTTGTGGCAGCTGGGTTTGACCACCTGTTTTTTACCTGTTTTTTTCTTTCTTTCTCTTTTTTTTTTCTTTTCTTTCTTTTTTTTTTTTTAGAGACAGAGCCTTGCTCTATCACCCAGGCTGGAGTGCAGTGGTGCCATCATAGCTCACTGCAGCCTTGAACTCCTGGGCTCAAGCGATTCTTCCACCTCAACATCCCACGTAGCTGGGACTACGGGCATGTGCCCACTAAGCCTGGATAATTAAAAAATTGTTTTTGTAGAGACGGGAGTCTTGCCGTGTTGCTCAGGCTTGTCATGAACTCCTGTCCTCAAACAATCCACCCACGTTGGCCTCCCAAAGTGCTGGAATTACAGGCATGAGCCACTGCGCCCAGCCTTGACCTACTCTTAAAAAGAGACCCCAACTTTCTTTTCACTCCAAGATTGCAATTTTGTAAGAAATCACCCTGTTTTAAAAAAAAGAACAGAAAGGCCAGGCGCAGTGGCTTACACCTGTAATCCCAGCACTTTGGGAGGCTGAGGCAGGCGGATCACAGGGTCAGGAGTTCGAGACCAGCGTGACCAACATGGTGAAACCCTGTCTCTACTAAAAATACAAAAATTAGCTGGGCGTGGTAGCGCAAGTTTGTAATCCCAGCTTCTGAGGAGGCTGAGGCAGGAGAATCCCTTGAACCCGGGAAGCGGAGGTTGCAATGAGGTGAGACTGTGCCACTGCACTCCAGCCTGGGCAACAGAGCGAGACTCCATCTCAAACAAACAAACAAAAAACCCCAGAAAAACCAATTACATCATTAAATAAATTAAGAGCAGGAAGAATGAGTGAAGACAGGAAATGGCCAAATCTATGAATCTTAAATTTCTCTTCTCCTTGCTGGACAGTCACATTGACCTCTAAAGCATCCACCAAGTACTTGGTTTCAGTTCAACTTTAAACCCTTCCATTTTGAACCAAGTAAGAATAACTGCTCCCTATCCACCCCTGTCCCTGCCACCAGCTCCTCCTTAGCATAACTGGGATATGTTGAATTTTCAAAAGGAAACTTATTAAGTACAAACTGATCCACAGGAAAAAAGGCAAAGAGACGATGAAGGAAACCCAGTGGAACAGCTGAGAGTATGACACACAGTGTCTCATCCTGGGACACCAGCCATGGAGTCACTCTTCCCCTCCAGCCTGTCTCAGCCGTGGGGTGGGGGCAGACAGCATCCTGGAAGCCAGTTACCTCCCTGCTGTGGTCAGGAGGAATTGAGAGAGAAGCAGCTGGGATCATGGGAGCAGCCCTTGCCAGCTAGAGTTGTTGCATTAGTGGCTCTATTGAGGCGCTTTAATGTAGGAGGGGACTCCCTGCCCTGGTCTCTCAGGCTATACTCCACAAAGCCTGCAGTCCCTTGGCCCAAAGTCATGATGTGGTCACCCAGGAGGAACAAGGGCTTGCGGGCAGAGCAGCCCCAGGTAAGCCCTGGTCCTGAGCTTGACCTTTGAGCCTGTACCTTGACATTCTCAGCCCAGGCTCTAGGTTCAGCCGGGGGTGGGTGTGGCTCTTTCTAGACCTGGGGTTCAAGGATGCCCTGCTAACTTCCAGACCTAGCAAATATCTTCAAGAGATTTCAGAGACCTTCCAGCAACACCTGGGGCTATGGTACTACTGGGGCCTGAATCTAGAACCACAGTAGTAGTATTAAAGGAGGATGAATCTGGGGTCACAGAAGCCCTCTTGACTATAACCATAGACCCAGGGAAGGGGAACCCCCAGCAGCTCCTGACCTGGGAGTCAGGCTGCACCTCACCTATTCCTACCAGATAAGCCTCTTTCCTTTTAAATAAAGACATCTAGAGAGGCAAACACCAACACGTCCTTAGACAACCCATTTTGGGAGTTAAGCTGCAACACCTTCAGGAAATCATCTTTCTGTCTTAAGATTTCAAAGACACTCAGGGGACTGATTGTAACTCACTCTGGTCATCATGTCAGACAAAGTGAAACTGAATTTCTTCAAGGATGCAGTTGGTTGTCCTTCCTAAGTGCCTCAGGCTACAAGTCACATTTCCTCAATGTTTGTTGGATGGATGGGTGGATGAGTGTTTTGATTAATGAATGAATGGATGGATATTTGGATGTTTGGATGGGTGGATGAGTGGATGGATGGATGGATGTTTGGTTGATGGATGGATGGATGTTTGGATAGGTGGACGAATGTTTGGATGTTTGGACTGATGGATAGATGTTTGGACGTATATATGTATGGATCGATGTTTGGATAGGTGGATGAATAGATTGACGGATAGATGTTTGGATGGATGGATGGATGGATGGATGAATGTTTGGATGTTTGGGTTGATGGATAGATGTTTGGATGGATGGATAGATACTTGGATGGATGGATGGATGTTTGGATGGATAAATGTTTGGATGGATGAATGTTTGGATGGATGGATGTTTGGATGGATGGATGGATGAACGAATGGATAGATGGATGAATGGATGGATGGATGGATGGATGAATGAATGGATAGATGGATGAATGGATAGATGGATGGATGGACTTCTAATAATGGCACATGAAGTCACTAGGGGAAAAATGATGTTTTGATTTGAGAGTTTGAGGAAGAGGGGAGGAACATGAGGAGGAAGATTTTCGGGTGACAGCCTCAGCAAAAGCTGCTCACGGAGATGGTGCCATTACTGAGATGCCGAAGGCTTTGGGTGGAAATTCTAACATGTCAGAAACGTGGTCCCTGTGCCTTTGTCTAAGTCATAATGTGTACTGGGAGCTGGGGAGGGTGGAGTAGCCAACCCCCTCCTCAACAAAAGAAAAGCAGAAGATCTACAGCCACTCCTTCCTCCCCCCACTCACCCCATCCCTGGCACTCACATAGATCCTCATGTTGGTGTAGCGTTGGCGCAGATTGTCTAGGACACTGGCCTCATTCAGGAAGGTCATGTCTGCCATGTCACTGGCCTGGTAGAATTTGGGTGGGTTCATCTGCTGGATATCATCCTTCTTCACAGTGAGTGTCTGGGGGGGTCAAGACACAGCAGCACAGGCATCAGGCATGGGGCATGGGGCATCTGGCCCAGGTCACCACATACCCTCTGGAGTCCCAGGAGATGGAGTGGAGCATCCAGTGGACCCAAGTCCTGGTCCAGCCACATCCCCCTGTGTGTCCTGGGATGGGGAGGCACTTCTGAGGCCAATGCAGCTTCAACTGCCTCCTCTCTGAAGTTGAGATGACAGTAGCCTCCTTGGCAGGTTGCTGGGAGAATTATATGAACTTAAGTGGAATCATGTAAAAATACCTTAAAAACTATGACGTTCCCTCCCTATGTTACAGAGACCTCTGGGCTCTGCTTCTCTTCCAGCCAAATCCATCCTGATAGATGATCAGAGCTTATTCTTTGATCCCATGGACACTTTGCAGAGATGTGACTCTTGGCTCTCTGCCTTGAGAGTTAGCGGTGATTTCGAAATAGCGATGAGCTTTTCCATTTCTCTCTCTCTTTTTTAAAGACTAAGTGCAGTAATGAGAAGGGTGGGGGGAAGAGTGGAACAAGGATTTTGATCTGTAACTGACCATGCACAATCAATTGAGATAACTCACTACCTTCAGACCAGCCAAACTTTTCCTTTTTAAATTTTTAATTTAATTTTATTTTTTGAGACATAATCTTGCTCTGTTGCCCAGGCTGGAGTTCAGTGGTACAGTCATAGCTCACTGCAGCTTCAATCTCTTGGGCTCAAGCCATCCTCCTGCCTCAGCCTCCCGAGTAGCTGGGACTACAGGTGCACACCACCATGCCTGGCTAATTTTTAATTTTTTTTTCTAGAGACAAGGTCTTGCTATGTTGCCTATGCTGGTCTTGAACTCTTGGCCTTCAATGATCCTCCCATCTTGGCCCCCAAAAGTGTTACAGGTGTGAGCCACCACATGTAGCCACTGTTCCACTTGAAAAAAAGACATTCCCCTGCTCCCTCCAAGCCACCTTCAAGGATAAAATTGAAAGCAAGCAAGAAAAGAAGAAAAAAAAGAAACCAGCAATGAGCATTCATCAGTAGGTGTGTTCGCGCCCGTGCCATGTGGGCAGATCTCTTCCCCATGCTGCACCCCAATTTCTTCATCTATAAATGAAAACTAGGCCGGGTGCAGTGGCTCATGCCTGTAATCCCAGAACTTTGGGAGGCCGAGGTGGGTGGATCACCTGAGGTCAGGAGTTCGAGACCAGCCTGGCCAAAATGGCGAAACCCTGTCTCTACTAAAAATACAAAAATTAGCTGGGCGTGGTAGCGCACACTTGTAACCCCAGCTACTTGGGAGGCTGAGGCAGGAGAATCACTTGAACCCAGGGGGCGGGGGTTGCAGTGAGCGGAGATCATGCCGCTGCACTCCAGCCTGGGTGATAGTGCAAGACAAAACAAAACTAAACAAAAAAAAAAAACTAGTGCCAGCTCTTAAGAAGCTCCAGCATCTGGGATCAAAGCTGAAGACATACGATCTAGAAAACAAATACCTTTTGGCTGCCTGCAACCTTAGATGTGAGGCCTGAATCCATACTGGGATTTCTGGGACTTTTAATAACTTATTAGTACAATAGGCAGATAATTTGAAATCTTGACAGTTCTGGAAAATCCACCCCCACTCCCCGTAATGGTTACCACGCCCTTAGTAAACCAAGCTGTTTTTTGTTTGTTTGTTTTTGTTTTGTTGTTTTTTCTGAGACAGAGTCTCACTCTGTCACTCATGCTGGAGTGCAGTGGCGTGATCTCAACTCACTGCAACCTCCGCCTCCTGGGTTCAGGCAATTCTCCTGCCTCAGCCTCCCAAGTAACTGGGATTACAGGCGCAGGCCACCATGCCCGACTAAGTTTTATATTTTTGGTAGAGATGGGGTTTCACCATGTTGGCCAGGCTGGTCTCAAACTCCTGACCTCAGGTGATCCACCCTCCTTGGCCTCCCAAAGTGGTGGGATTACAGGCGTGACCCACCATGCCTGGCCTCAAGCTGGGTTTTATTCTGAATTCATTTCCAGGGGTTTCCAGATCTCTGGTCCTCGTCCACGTGCAGACACTTCGCTTTCAGCAGAGGAATGGAGAACTTGGCCTTTATTTTAGGAGCCAGGGAAGCCAGCGCCACAGGCTCCATCTTTTCTGTCCCAAACCCGGCTGGCCGGCACTGTCTGCTGCAGATACTCAAGGAAATTGTGTTGTCCTTAAATGTGGATCCAAACTTAGATGCACCCTGGGGCTCCACTATCATCACCCATCACTTCTCACGACACTGCAGCACTCTCCTCTCTGAAAACTGTTTCTCCTGGGAATTAAGCTTGACTTTCGTTCAAATCCATTTCCACCCAACTATATCTTTTTACCACTGCTCCTCTCGAAGACAGGCGCAGAGAAAAATACAGCTGTTGCCAGTTCTGATCACTGAGGTCTCTGGCTTCCTTTTTTTTTTTTTGAGACAAGGTTTCTGTCTGTCACCCAGGCTGGAGTGCAGCAGTGCAATCCTAGCTCACTGCAGCCTCAGCTTCCTGGGCTCAAGCGATTCTCCTGGCTCAGCCTCCTAAGTAACTGGGAGTACAGGGATGCACCACACCTGGCTAATTTTTTGTAGAAACGGGGCCTCGTTATGTTGCCCAGGCTGGTCTCAAACACCTAGCCTCAAGCGATCTGCCTGTATCGGCCTCCCAAAGTGCTGGGATTACAGGCTTGAGCTGCCGCGTCTGGCCTCTGACTTCTTTTAATCAAGAAATTAACCAGGAATGGACCTCGCAGGTGCTAATATATTTATTGCTGAACACACATTGCTCTGTTTTTTGTTTTTGTTTTGTTTTGTTTTGTTTTCTTTGCTTGCTTGCTCTCAATTTTATCCTTGAAGGCGGTTTGGAGGGAGCAGAGTAATGTCTTTTTTCTTAAATGGAAAAGTGGCCGGGTGCAATGGCTCATGCCTCCCTCTTGGCAGCCCACCATGAAGGGATGGAATGGTGACATAGAAGGGGCATGGGCATATGAGCCAGATACAGTGGGTTTGAATCCAAATTCATCATTTGCTATTTTTGCAACGTACACAGGTCACCTAAAGTGCCCTTGATCCTCAGTTTTCCTTCTCTGCAAAATAGGGTCAATAAATCCTACCACATAAGATTGCCAAAAGGATTAAACAAAGTGTCAAGTGCCTCACCAGGGGTCTGCCAAGAATACAAGAGACCCTGCCCTTACCCATTTAAAATAAACCAAATTAAAAAAATTCTAATAAAAATTGTTATTATTTTCTAAAAATAAAGATAGGGTCTCACCAAGTTGCCCAGGACAGTCTCAAACTCCTGAGCCCAAGTAATCCTCCTGTCTTGGTCTCCCAAAGTGCTGGGATTACAGGTGTGAGCCACCACGCCTAGCCTAATAAGCCAAATTTTCTATCCATTCTCTCAAGTCATATCTCATAGTCAGACGTAGTGTGGGCCAGCAGAGAGAAGGGTGGGTTGGTAAACCAGCTGTCTGGGGGGAAGTGTCCCTGATTTACAGCATATTCCCATTTCCATGGTATAAATACTTCCATCACGGCTGATAGCAAGCTACCCAAGGTTTAACAACTGGCTGTAAAATCCCTCATTGTTTAGTGTTGGGGTCTTTGCAAACCATCACAAGCCAGGTTGGATCCCTGCAATCCACGATAAGCCAGGTTGAGTCCCTGCAAGCCATCATTAGCCAGGTTGGGTCCTTGCAACACGTTAAAAGCCATCGGAAGCCATCACATCCAGCACACCACCCCCATGCTCCAAGAGACCTGGGAACCACCATCTGTTCTTCATGCAGCTGAAGAGCTCACCCAGTGAGCCAGGGTGTTCTGTGCCCTCTCTCATGGCCCTCATGCCACCAGGGGCCATGGCACACAGTGACACTGCTCATAAGTGACATGCTCACTCTCATGCTTAGAAAATAGCTTCCACTTGAGAGCTGTTTGAGACATCAAAGATAAGTAACTCTCACGATCATCCCTTACGCACGGTACTGTCTTAGAGTCTATGAAGTGCTTTCATGTGATCTGTCTCGGAATCTCTATTGTGATATAGCTCAGAGAGGGAATGCGTCTTGCCCAGGGCCACACAGCTTGAGTGTAGGCGAGTCTGGATTTGACCCCAGCACATGGGACTCGGAGGCACCTGCTCTTTCTGCCACCCTGCCTTCTGGGCGGGAGCATGCCTAGAAAAGGCCTGGGTGCCTGCCACTTGGTTTCATCCTGGAGATCGTGCCCCACTCACCTGGTTGGTGATCGTCTTCACGGTGACTTGGTCACCCTGTTCAGACTGGATCTCCCCAGCGACGAAGCCTTCCTTCTCATCTTTGACCCAGCAGGACCTCTTAATGTCATAGGGCTTGTTCATGGCTTCAATCCTCTCCTTTTCAGGAGGTGCCAGGAAAGGCATAGGGTCCACATCGTCCCCACACTCCCCTTTGTACCCACCAGGCATGGTGGCTTGGTTGAGGATGGAGCAGGAAGGAGCTGAGGGCAGGAACCAGGACTTCCCTGGGTGCTGTAGGGGGAAGCAGAGACAAGCTGCTGAGGCTCACAGGCTGAAGTCAATGTCCCGAGAAAGACAGAGGCTTGCTTCTCTCATGTCACCTTGTCTGTCTTGGTGCTATTAGGCTTTCATAACCAAGAATAAGAAAGAAGCTAATTGTTCAGCCACTG
This sequence comes from Homo sapiens, assembly GCF_000001405.40. Classification (NCBI taxonomy): domain Eukaryota; kingdom Metazoa; phylum Chordata; class Mammalia; order Primates; family Hominidae; genus Homo; species Homo sapiens. Next base: position 99,238,607 of record NC_000007.14, on the reverse strand, counting down.
TAGAAAGCAATTTGGAGATTTCTCAAAGAACTTAGAACTGTTATTCAACCCAGCCATCCTATTCCTGGGTATCTAAAAAAAGGGAAAAATAAGTTTTCCTACCAAAAAGACACATGCACCTGTATGTTCACTGCAGTGTTATTCACAATGCAAAAACATGGAATCAACCTAGGTGGCCATCAGTGGTGGATTAGATAAAGAAAATGTGGTACAGGCCAGGTACAGTGGCTCACACCTATAATCCCAGCACTATGGGAAGCCAAGGTGGAAGGACAGCTTGAGCCCAGGAGTTTGAGACCAGCCTGGGCAATATATCAAGGCCCCATGTCTACAAAAACATTAAAAAATTAGCTGGGCATGGTGATGTGTGCCTGTAGTCCTAGCTATCCTCAGGGCTAAGGCGGGAGGATTGCTTGAGCTGGGGAGGTCAAGGCTGCAGGAAGCCATGATTGTACTACTGCACTCCAGCTTAGGTGACAGAGCAAGACCCTGTCTTAAAAAAAAAAAGCCAAAAACAGAAAGAAAATGTGGTACATATACACCATGGAATACTATGCAGCCATAAAAAAGAATGAAATCATGTCCTTTGCAGCAACATAGATGCAGCTGGAGGCCATTATTCTAAGTGAATTAACATAGAAACAGAAAACCAAATACCACATGTTTTCACTTATAAGTGGGAGCTAAATATTGGGTACAGACAGATAGAAACAATAGACCCTGGGGACTACTAGATGGGGGAGAGCAGGAGGGAGGCAAGGATTGAAGAATGGCCTATTGGATGCTATGCTCACCACCTGTGTGATGGGATCATTTGGATCCCAAATCCCAGTGTCACTCAATATACCCATATAACAAACCTGCATGTATACCCCTTGAATCTAAAAGTTGAAGTTATATTTAAAAATGAAATAAGCTAATAAATCTTCACAGTTAAGTACCCCCTCACCCCCAACAACACAAATGCTTCTGCCTCTTTCATCTCATATGTTCCTCATACTAAGGCTGTGAGGTAGGGATCAGGAAGCCTATTTTATGGAGGAGAACACTGGGGCATGGAGAGGTTAAAGGTAGGGTTTCTACCCAGGGTCTGTGAAATGGGACAGGAAAACAATTGCCACTTGGTTTTCACTTTCTATCTGATATGAACAGAGGCCACAGACCTCCGTAGCACCACAGCCTCTATTTGCTCCCAGCAAAAATCAAAGCTCTTCACTTCTCGTTAGGGTGGCTGCAGATGTCTCAAAATACTGTTTATCTTCATCTCAACTTTAAAATTATGGTCTCTTTAAGCCCTTGGTTTGATACTGTTCTTTAAATTTTTTAATAAAGAAGGACATTTATTATTGCCTTACTGCCATGTCACAAATTAGTTTTTAATATATTTTTTCTTTTCTTTTTTTTTTTTTTCAGAGGCAGGGTCTTACTCCATCACCCATGCTGGAGTGCAGTGGTGCAATCATAGCTCACTGCAGCCTCCAACTTCTGGGCTCAAGCAATCTTCCCACCTCAGCCTCCCAAAATGCTGGGATTACAGGCATAAGCCACTATGCTCGACTAATTTTAAAATGTTTTATAGAGATGAGGTCTCACCATGTTGCCAAGGCTGATCTCAAACTCTTGGCCTCAAGTGATTCTCCCACCTTGGCCTCCCAAAGTGCTGGGATTACTGGTTTTTGAGCCAGCGCACGCACCCAGCCAGTATTACAATACCATTCGTTTCCTTTGCAGCTCTGTGTATTTTATTTTACCTTTTTTTTTTTTTTTTTTTTTTTTGAGACGGAGTTTTCTTCTGTTGCCCAGGCTGGAGTGCAGTGCTGCAATCTTGGCTCACTACAACCTCTGTCTCCTGGGTTCAAGCAATTCTCCTGCCTTAGCCTCCTGAGTAGCTGGGAGGTGCCCGCTACCACGCCTGGCAAATTTTTTTTTTTTTTTTTTTTTTTTGTATTTTTAGTAGAGACAGGGTTTTACCATGTTGGCCAGGCTGGTTTTGAACTCCTGACCTCAAGTGATCCACCTGCCTCAGCTTCCCAAAGTGCTAGGATTACAGGCATGAGTCACCATGCCCGGCCTATTTTATTCATTTAAAAACACTAATCTGAGCGGAGTCCACAGGCTTCACCAGACATCCAGCGGTCCCTAGTACAAAATGACTGCCTGGGTCAATTATTATCTCTCCTAAAACGAGGACAGTCTGGGTCTCTCAATTCCCAAACCCCAAACAGTTTCACTGAATCCCCAGGAAGGAGGGGAACTGGAGGCTCAAGGGAACAAAGACAGAAATCAGGGGCCTCCCCAGTTCGTCTTGGGGTTGAAGAACCTTCTCGAAGTTTCAGGGAGGGTGTGGTTCTGAGCCTCTTTGCCAGCAATGCATTTCTCAAGGCCAAGGGTACAGCCTCAGCCTTTAGATGAGGGACTCCTAATTGTGCGCTGGGCCCTCGCTGTACTGCGCCTACAGTCTCTCCTGCCAACACCCCCAGTTTTTCCAAAAGAAGCTGAGTCACAACAGGCAAGCCACTGAGGCATAGCCAGGCGCTTTCTCCTCCTCTTGTCTTCCTATGGGGCCTGGCGTAGAGAGTTCTGGCTGGAACTTTTTTTCTGCGTCACCCGCCCCCGCCATCCTAGCCCGGAAAGCTCGGCTGTTGCACAGAAACAAGAAAGGAGAGGAGGTGGGCAGGGGTCTTGTGCCCTCATGGGCCAGGGACCTCTTTGGTTGTCTGGCGATACCTGTGGTCCTATTGGACAAAATGTTTCAAATTCAAGCAATAAAATATGTAGGATTACCAAGGAAATACATGACATTAAAATATAATTAATAAAATATTAAAAATGCATGATCTAGTAATAGATGTGCCTCTTTATAAATGCATCAAATAACATAATCTAGCAGCAGGTCTCACAAGTACTATAGTTTTGGAGCAGCAGTAAGAATTAATTATATTTTGAGATGTCTGCAACTACTGTAATTTGATATGAAAATACCGGTGATTGGCTGGGTGGAGGTGGCTCACGGCTGTAATTCCAGCACTTTAGGAGGCTGAGGCAGGAGGATTGCTCGAGGCCAGGAGTTCAAGACCAGCCTGAGCAACGTACCGAGACCCTGTCTCTATAAAAATTAGAAGGTTAGGCAGGCTGCTGTGGCTCACGCCTGTAATCTCAGCATTTTGGGAGGCCGAGATGGGTGGCTCACTTGAGGCCAGGAGTTCGAGACCAGCCTGGTCAACATGGCAAAAGCCCATCTTTACTAAAAATTCAAAAAAATTAGCCGAGCCTGGTGGTATGTGCCTGTAGTCCCAGCTACTCGGGAGGCTGAGGCATGAGAATCACTTCAACCTTGGAAGCAGAGGTTGCAGTGAGCCGAGATTGTGCCACTGCACTCCAGCCTGGGGGTCAGAGTGAGACTCTGTCTCAAAATAAAATAAAATAAAATTAAAATAAAATAAAATAAAATAAAATAAAATAAAATAAAATAAAATGAAATGAAATGAAATGAAATGAAATGAAATAAAATAAAAATTAGAAAGTTAGCCAGGTGTGGTGGTGTGTGCCTGTGGTTCCAGCTACTTGGGAAACTGAGGCAGGAGGATTGCTTGAACTGGGAAGGTCAAGGCTGTAATGAGCTCTGATTGTGCCTCTGCACTCTAGCCTGGGCAATGGAGCGAGACGCTGTCTCAAGAAAAGAAAAGAAAATTTAAAAATACCAGTGCCTGGCCGGGCGCGGTGGCTCACACCTGTAATCCCAGCACATTGGGAGGCCGAGATGGGTGGATCACGAGGTCAGGAGATCGAGACCATCCTGGCTAATACAGGGAAACCCCATCTCTACTAAAAATACAAAAAATTAGCCGGGCGCGATGGCACGCGCCTGTAGTCCCAGCTACTCCGGAGGCTGAGGCAGGAGAATGGCGAGAACCCGGGAGGCGGAGCTTGCAGTGAGCTGAGATTGCACCACTGTGCTCCAGCCTGGGTGATAGAACAAGACCCTGTCTAACAAGAAAAAAGAAAAGAAAAGAAAAAGAGAAATGCACGTGCCAGCAGTCAGGCGAAGACACATTCGACTTGCCACTAAAACAAAACATCGCCCACATTTGAGAACTGGGTTTCTCAATTGCTCTAATGGGGGTAGGGGAGGCAAGAAAGTTGCCTTTGTTTATACCAATTAGGCTGCTTGACTTTATTTATTTATTTATTTAGAACAGGGTCTCATTCTGTCACCCAGGCTGGAGTGCAGTGATGCAATCATAGCTCCGTGAAGCCTTGAACTCCTGGCCTCAAGCAATCCTACCACCTCGCCCTCCCAAAGTGCTGAATTTGCACGTATAAGCCGCTGTGCCAGGCCCTTGTATTTTTTGTTTGTTTGTTTGTTTGTTTTTTCAGAAGGAGTTTTGCTCTTGTCACCCAGTCTGGAGTACAGTGGCGTGATCTCAGCTCATTGCAACCTCTGCCCCTCCTGGGCTCAAGCAATTCTCCTGCTTCAGTCTCCTGAGTAGCTGGGATTACAGGCGCCCACCACCACACCCAGCTAATTTTTGTATTTTTAGTAGAGACAGGGTTTCACCATGTTGGCCAGGCTGGTCTTGATCTCCTGACCTCAAGTGATCCACCTGCCTTGGCCTCCCAAAGTGCTGGGTTTGCAGGTATAAGCCACTGTGCCAGGCCTTTGTATTGTTTTTTTAATGATGGTTCTGCCGTGAACAGCAAGCTAAGGTATCACTGCTGTTGCGTGGGCCTGGTGGTTTAGGGCACAGGCCCCTCCAGCCAGGAGCTGCCCTGAGGGACGTGCAGGTCTCTGACACCAGGTTCCATCCCTTTTAGTGGCTGCCAGCCTCCTGCTTGCTAATGACTCCCCACTTCCAGGCCTCCCTGAATGCAAAACCCCCCTGTCCCTCCAGGCAATGGCTCTTCTCGGGTATCTTTGATAACCAAGACCGACCTAAATAAATCATGAACCACAAAACATATAGACAATGTAGCTCGTGGAATGCAAAAGCTGAGACTCTTCAGAGGGAAAGATGATGGTTTGCAGACCAAGGGAAGGACAGAGTAGGGATAGAACCCATGAATCCAGCATCACGCACCAAGGAAGGCAGGTGGTGCAGGGGAAGGAGGCTGATCTGGGTTTGAATCCTGGTTTCCCCTGTCTCACTTGTGGATACATGGGAGTCCTAGCAGCTCTCCAGACTAGTCCCCTCAACTGTACATCCAGCGGGCATGCAACACAGATCACTTGGGGGAGGTTTTTGTTTTGTTTTGTTTTGTTTTTGAGACAGGGTCTGACTCTGTGGCCCAGGCTGGAGTAGAGTGGTGCGATCATAGCTCACTGCAGCCTCCAACTCCTGGGCACAAGTGATCCTCCCACCTCAGTCTCCCAAGGAGCTGAGACTACAGGTGCATGCCACCATGCCCTGCTAATTTTTAACGTTTTTGTAGGGACAGTGTCTTGCTATGTTGCCCAGGCTGGTCTTGAACTCCTGGTCTCAAGAGATCCTCCTGCCTCAGCCTCCCAAAATGCTAGGATTACAGGCATGAACCACCACACTGGGCAACTTGGAGGATTAAATGAGATGCTGTCTCTACAGCCCCTGGGGCAGGCAGGTGCTCGCAAAATGCTCATCCCCTCCCCCGCCCAGCTCAGCTCTTATCATCACCTCTACTCTCCTCCCACCAGTTCTCCTCCACTGCAAGCCCTCCCCGTTCCCATCTTCCCCAGCATCCCCTAGGTTCCTACCTGAGACCACACTGGAAGAGACTGGGTGACTGGCCGAGCCTGGCCATCCCCTTTTATACCTGCCTAACAGGTCTGGGTCAGCAAAACCTTAAAAAAGAAGAGAAGCCCTCAGGGGTCCAGGAGCTTAGCTGGCCTCTCCTTCCAGGGCCTGACTGGGCACTCCTGGGTCCCTCAGGGGGCATCTAAGACATTCGCCTTCCTCCCATTACCCTTGTGGGGAAACTGATGACCTCAACCCAGCGGTGAAGGCTGTGGGCAGAAATAGAACAGCTGGGTAATGAGTTTTCCTTTTAAAGCTACAACTGCCTTCATGGAGGGGCCGACGGTCAAGGAAGACCTGGGTTGACTCATACAGAGCCTTTGGCTTGGATGAACTGGGATAACCAATGGGTTGATGACACTGTCCCTTCCACATGTTCAGGCTGGAAGGCCCATGTTAACTTGGACTTTACTATTCTGATCACAGCCATGGGCCCCCTGCAGCCCCCATGGCCATGTAGTGTCATGGCTCAGTGCCAGCCTCAAGCCCTGAAGCCCTCGCTGTAACTCCTCTGTGGCTTCCCATGCGACATGTAGCCTTGGGCAAGTCCCCGCCCTCTCTGGCCTTGACTTTCCCATCTGTAAAGTGGGTGGCTGGGTGGGTGAACCCTAGGAGTCCTTTGTGCTGTCCTTGAGTTCAGAGATGGCCTCTGCATCTAGAGGGAGAAACTGCCTGGAGGACGTGCTTCCTGGCATCCATCATCCCCCTGTCTCCACCCTCTACATCCTCAATTCACTTTTTAAGAATTGACGTGAAATTTACATTTTTATTCACTTGATACCAAGATCATACGTTGTATAAACCTTTTATTTTTATTTTTATTTTTATTTTTTTGAGTCAGAGTCTCACTCTGTCACCCAGGCTGGAATGCAGTGGCACGATCTCAGCTCACTGCAACCTCCACCTCCCGGGTTCAAGCAATTCTCCTGCCTCAGCCTCCCAAGTAGCTGGGATTACAGGTGTGCGCCACCACACCTGGCTAATCTTTTGTATTTTTAGTAGAGACAGGGTTTCATCACGTTGGCCAGGTTGCTCTCGAACTCCTGACCTCGGGTGATCCGCCTGCCTCAGCCTCCCAAAGTGCTGGGATTACAGGTGTGAGCCACCTTGGCTGGCCTGTATAAGCCGTAAAGCTCAACTGTATGTAGTCCTATGACGAAAATGGACTAAACTCCTTCATCAATGATGCATATTTAAATGTCATTGACTTTTTTGAAAGTTATTAAATCTTAACTACGTGTAAATAAATTGAGGTGAAATTTACATAACATAAAATTAACTGCTTTAAGCCAACAATCCAGTGGCATTTAGTGCACTCAGAATGTTGTGCAACTATAGTCTCTATCTAGTTTCAGAACGTCTTCATCAGCCCAAAAGGAAGCCTACTACCCAATAAACAATTTCTCCCCTGGCTCCTGGTTACCACCAATCAGACTTCTGCCTCTGTGGCTTTACCTATTCTAAATATTTCATATGAATGGAATCACACAATGTGTAACCTTTTGCATCTGGCTTCTTTTACTTAACATAACATTTTCAAAGTTCATCCATGCTGTATCTTGTACCAACACTTCATTCCTTCTTAAGGCTGAATAATAATCTGGCCAGGTGCGGTGGCTCATGCCTGTAATCCCAGGCCGAGGCGGGCGGATCACTTGAGGTCAAGAGTTCAAAACCAGCCTGGCCAACACGGTGAAACCCCATGTCTACTAAAAATACAAAAAATTAGCCAGGCGTGGAGGTGGGCGCCTGTAATCTCAGCTACTCAGGAGGCTGAGGCAGGAGAATCGCCTGAACCTGGGAGGCCGAGGCTGCAGTGAGCCGAGGTTGTACCACTGCATTCCAACCTGGGCGACAGGGTGAGACTTTGTCTCAAAAAAAATAAATAGAATGATAATCCATTGTATGGATATACCACAATTTCTTTGTCCATTCATTCATTGATGGACATTTGGTTTGTTTCCACTGTTTGGCTATTGTGAATAATGCTGCTGTGAACATATGTGCACATATATTTTGTGAGTGCCTGTTTTGAATTCTTTTGCATATTTATCTAAGAGTGGACTTTCTAGGTCGTATGATAATTCTACATTTAGCTGTTTGAGGAACTGCCACAAGGGGTCTAATTTCTCCACATTCTCACTGACACGTATTATTTCCATTTGTAAAAATTGTAGTCATCCATGTAATCAACCTAAATGCCCATCAGTGGTAGACTGGACAAAGAAAACGTGGTACATATATACCATGGAATAGACAGGCCGGATGCAGTGACTCACGCCTGTAATCCCAGCACTTTGGGAGGCCGAGGCGGGCGGATCACGAGGTCAGAATATCGGGACCATCCTGGCTAACACGGTGAAACCCCGTCTCTACTAAAAAATACAAAAAAATTAGCCAGGCGTGGTGGCAGGCTCCTGTAGTCCCAGCTACTTGGGAGGCTGAGGCAGGAGAATGGCATGAACCAGGGAGGCAGAGCTAGCAGTGAGCCAAGATCACGCCACTGCACTCCAGCCTGGGCGACAGAGGGAGACTCCGTCTCAAAAAAAAAAAAAAAGTGAGCAAGATCATGTCCTTTGCAGTAACATGGGTGGAGCTGGAGGCCATTATCCTAAGCAAACTAACGCAGGAACAGAAAAACAAATACTGCATATTTTCATTTATAGGTGGGAGCTAAACACTGAGTCCACATAGACACAAAGAAGGAAACAATAGATACCGAGGCCTACCTGAGGGTGGAGGGCGGGAGGAGGGTGCGGTCCAAAAAATAGTACCTATGGTGCCAGGTGCGGTGACTTATTCTTGTAATCCCAGCACTTTGGGAGGCCGAGGCGGGTGGATCACTTGAGGTCAGGAGTTCGAGTCCAGCCTGACCAACATGGTGAAACCCCGTCTCTACTAAAAAAATTACAAAATTAGCCATGCATGGTGGCGCATCCCGGTAATCCCAGCTACTTGGGAGGCTGAGGCAGGAGAATCGCTTGAACCCGGGAGGCGGGGGTTGCAGTGACCTGATATGGTGCCATTGTACTTCAGCCTGGGCGACAGAGGGAGATGCCATCTCAAAAAAAAAAAAAAAAAAGTACCTATGGGGTACTATCCTTATTGCCTGGGTGACAAAATACTCTGTACACCAAACCCCCGTGACACGCAATTTACCTACGTAAGAGACTTGCACATAAACCTCTGAACCTAAAATGAAAGTTATAAATAAAAAAAAGAAATGGGATATGGTACTCCTAAATATTTAGTACGTAGTTGCTTAATAAACATGTTGATTGGACTAAAAAAAAGTCATAGTCATACTAGTGGATGTGAAGTGGCATCTCACTGTGATTTTGATTTGCATTTTCCTAATGACTGATGATGCTGAGGACTTTGCCATGTGCTTGTTGGTACTTGTTTATCTTCCTTGGAGAAATGTCTGTTTAAGTCTTTTGCCATTTATTTATTTATTTATTTTTGAGACATGATCTCACTCGGTTGCCCAGGCTGGAATGCAGTGGCACAATCATGGCTCACGGCAGCCCCTCAACCTTCCAGGCTCAAGCGATCCTCCCATCTCAGACTCCCAAGTAGCTGAGACTACTGTCAGGCACCACAGCACCTCCTTAATTTTTGTATTTTTTGTAGAGATGGGGACTTGCCGTGTTGCCCAGGCTGGTCTCGAACTCCTGGGCTCAGGCAATCCTCCTGCCTCTGCTTCCCAAAGTGCTGGGACTACAGGCACAAGCTTGGCACTGTGCTTGTCTAATTTTTGTATTTTTAGTAGAGACGGGGTTTCGCCATGTTGGACAGGCTGATCTCGAACTCCTGACCTCAGGTGATCTGCCCGCCTCAGCTTCCCAAAGTACTGGGATTACAGACGTGAGCCACCGTGTCTGGCCTTGATAATGTTCTTTGATGCACAAGAGTTAATTTTGCTGAATCCAATCTATCTATTTTTTTCTCTTGTTGTTTGTGCTTCTGGTGTCATCTTTAAAAAAACCATCGCCGTGCTGGTGCGCTGCACCCACTAACTCGTCATCTAGCATTAGGTATATCTCCCAATGCTATCCCTCCCCCCTCCCCCCACCCCACCACAGTCCCCAGAGTGTGATATTCCCCTTCCTGTGTCCATGTGATCTCATTGTTCAGTTCCCACCTATGAGTGAGAATATGCGATGTTTGGTTTTTTGTTCTTGTGATAGTTTACTGAGAATGATGATTTCCAATTTCATCCATGTCCCTGCAAAGGACCAGCACGGCACATGTATACATATGTAACTAACCTGCACAATGTGCACATGTACCCTAAAACTTAAAGTATAATAAAAAAACAAAAACAAAAACAAAAAAACCATCGCCACATTCGAGGTCTTGAAAATTTGCCCCTGTGTTTTCCTCTAAGCGTTGTCCGGTTTTAGCTTTTATATTCGGGTTGTTGATCCCCCAATTCATTCTTAAGAGAGAAAGGAACCTACCTGAGCACAAAGCTGATTTCCTTTTTTAAATCTCTCTAGGTTTGAAAAGCAGCTATTTTGAACCCAGAGAACCTTTTATTAAGTTCATATAGATGTTTTCAAATGCTTCCTATTATCATCTGACCCTGACAACAATCCATTTACAAATGTATTATTGTGTTTTCACAACTGGAATCCAGCAATGAAGAATCGTATTAATAAGCAACCATGAGTTGGATGTGGTGGCTCACGCCTGTAATCCCAGCACTTTGGGAGGCCAAGGCAGGTGGATCACCTGAGGTCAGGAGTTCGAGACCAGCTTGGCCAACATGGTGAAACCCCATCTCTACTAAAAATACAAAAATTAGCTGGTCATGGTGGTGCGCGCCTGTAATCTCAGCTACTCGGGAAGCTGAGGCAGGAGAATTGCTTGAACCGGGGAGGGAGAGGTTGCAGTGAGTCAAGATCGCACCATTGCACTCCAGCCTGAGCAACAGAGCGAGACTTTGTCTCAAAAAAAAAAAAAAAGTAGCAACCATAACATCAACCAACACTGGCTCTGTCAGAATACTTCACAATAGAGGATGAACCTCACTTCTCCCACGCTGGGCCTCAGATTCCCTAAAATTGAAATAAGATTTTGGCTTGGAGGTCTTCCAAACATGGATGCTGCCAGTCTGTGGGCATGGGAAGCCCAGAGCTTTGCCTTCGGATATGTCATTCCCCCAAATCTGACCACCTGACATGTTTGTTTTTATTTTTTTATTATTTTAAAATTAAACTAAATTCAATTTTTGAGACAGAGTCTTGCTCTGTTGCCCAGGCTGGAGGGCAGTGGTGCAATCGTGGCTCACTGCAGCCTTGAACTCCCAGGCTCAAGCAATTCTCCCACCTCAGCCTCCCAAGTAGCTGGGACTACAGGCATGCATGCCACCACACCCAACTAACTTTTTAATTTTTTTTTTTGTAGAGATGTGGGGGGCGGTCACTATGTTGCCCACACTGATCTTGAACTCCTGGCCTCAAGAGATCCTCCTGTCTCAGCCTCCCAAAGTGGTGGGATTACAGGTGTGAACCTCCATGCCTGGCCAGGTCTGTTTTTAATATCTTTAGCAGCAAAGCTTTTAACGGGCAGATTCTTGTGCAGAGTTCTGGTTTGTAAAGAGAAAAAGTGGAGCTCCTCTGGGCAAAGCTGGCGAGGTTAAAATTGAGGTGAAATTTACATTTTTCTCCACCTGATATTAGGATTATGTGTTGTATAAGTCTTTAAGCTCAATTGTTTGCAATCGTACGATGATCCCCATCCCATCCCCTCCTGGGCACTTTCAGGGCAGTGTCCAGAGATTGGGGAGAGGCTGCTGGTGGGAGCCGTCACCTGGCAGCCAGGGCCTGGATCCCATCTATGGGCCACCCTCCCAAGCCTGGGTCCCGAGGTGCTTCTTGCTTATTCCCATGTGATCAGCACGCTCTGGCTGATGGGGGCAGAGGCTGGTGAGAAGAAACGGGCCCCCTGCCCCACAGTGATTTTGGGAAGGTCTGTTCTCTGGCAGGAGGTTATCTTTCTGTCCTAGTCCAGGTCCCAGCAGGAAAGAGCACACTCCAGTGGGGCCACTGCAGAGCGTTTGTTTATTTGTCTGTTTATGAGAGACAGGGTCTTGCTCTGTCACCCAGGCTGGAATGTAGTGGTGCCATCATAGCTCAATGCAGCCTCAATCGCTTGAGCTCAAGTGATCCTCCCGCCTCACACAGCCCCACAAGTAGCTGGGACTACAGGCAGGCACCACCATGCCAGGCTGATTATTTTTTTATTTTTGAGACGGAGTCTTGTCTTGCTCTGTCACCCAGGCTGGAGTGCAGCGGCGTGATCTCAGCTCATTGCAAACTCCGCCTCCTGGGTTCAAGCGATTCTCCTGCCTCAGCCTCCTGAGTAGCTGAGATGACAATCGCCTGCCACCACACCCAGCTAATTTTTGTATTTTTAGTAGAGACGGGGTTTCACTGTGTTGGCCAGGCTGGTGTTGAACTCCTGACCTCATGATCCACATCCACTTGCCTCGGCCTCCCAAAGTGCTGGGATTACGAGCGTGAACCACTGCGCCTGGCCCAGGCTGATTATTTTTATTTTTATTTCTTTAGAGATGGAGGTCAATCTTGCTATGTTGCCCAGGCTGGTCTCGAACTCCTGGGCTTAAGCAATCCGCCCGCCTTGGCCTCCCAAAGTGCTGGGATTACAGGCGTGAGCCGTGGTGCCTGGCCTCACTGCATAGGGTTTAATGAAGAGACAATTTACTGAGGTGGGGCAGAGTTCAAGAAAGACAATAGGTACAGTAAAGCACCGCCTGCTCAGGCCATAGGGGAAGCCCCTGCACCCTGGATGTGGCTGTGGGAGAAGCGTTGGCCCCCAGGGGCACGGAGCAACTCCAGGGGGACAGTGCAACTGCCGCCCGACCAGACCCAGCAGGGCCGGGGGTGCATTCACCTCTCCCCTCCTGCGCACCCATCTCCTCTCAGCATCTCCTGTGGCCAAACCCAACCAGAGCCAGAAAGTAGGAACCCAGGCAGGTACCTGGGGGGTCAGCCTCCTGGACCCAGGATGGGGTGGAAAAGGATGGCAGGTGGATCTGGAGCAAAGGAAGCCATCAGCTCCTGGCCCCGTGCAGCAAGAGCTGCCCCTTGGTCTCTTGTGGTTTGAGCTTCTCATGAGGGTGGGGAGGTTTAATGGTTAATATTCCAGAAAGTTCCATCTCAGATAATGTTGCTTCTCCAGCCTGGGCAATATAACAAGACTCTGTCTCTACAAAAATAAAAAAATAATAAGCTGGGCGTGGTGGCGGGCACCTGTAATCCCAGCTACTCGGGAGGCTGAGGCAGGGGAGCTTGAGGCTACAGTGAGCCGTCTTCACACTACTGCACTTCCAGCCTGGGTGACAGAGTGAGACTCTGTCTCTACAATAAAATAGTCCAGGCGCTGTGGCTCATGCCTGTAATCCCAGCACTTTGGAAGGCCAAGGCGGGTGGATCACCTGAAGTCAGGAGCTCAAGACCAGCCTGGCCAACATGGTGAAACCCCATCTCTACTACAAATACAAAAATTAGCCGGGTGTGGTGGCGGGTGCTGTAATCCCAGCTACTCAGGAGGCTGAGGCAGGAGAATCGCTTGAACCCAGGAGGTGGATCTTGCAGTGAGCTGAGATGCCAGCACTGCACTCCAGCCTGGGTGGCAGAGCCAGACTCCATCTCAAAACAAAATAAACAGATGAAAGAAAGAAAGAAAAAGAGCGAGAGGGAAGGAAGGAAGGAAGGAGGGAAGGAAGGAGAAAGAAAGGAAAGAAAGAGGAAGGAAGGAAGGAAGGAAAAAGAGAAAGAAAGAAAAGAAAGAAAGAAGAAAGAAAGAAAAGAAAGAAAGAGAAAGAAAGAAAGAAGGAAGAGGGAGTTTGCTTTGGGGAAGGCCTCAGGTTAATTTTCAGGTGGCTAGCACTGCCCAAGAGTGAGTGGGCACACAGAGTGCCCTGCCTTTAAAAATGCAGCAAGAAGCGCATTGGATGGAATCATTGGCTCATGGTATCTGGAGAAAGTTTAATGGGTTTTTCTATAGAAATCAAGCGGGCTTAAATCCTCTGGCTGAAAAAAATTCCCCAGAGTCATGGGTTGGCATTGGCACAACAATAAAAACAGACGTCCCCGGAGTCCAAAATCTAATTTTGATCCTTCCAATAGCCTGGGCAGGCGGGTGGGGCAGATGAGTAATGGTCTCTTTTCAGCAGGTGAGCAAATGGGCTCGGAGGGGTGAAGCAGTTTGCCCAAAGATAACACAATGAGTCAGCATCTGAGACATGGCTCCGTTTCTCTCTTTTTTTTTTTTTTTGAGATGCAGTTTCACTCTTGTCACCCAGGTTGGAGTGCAATGGCGCAATCTCGGCTCACTGCAACCTCCTCCTCCTGGGTTCAAGCGATTCTCCTGCCTCAGCCTCCTGAGTAGCTGGAACACCAGGCACATGCCACCATGGCTGGCTAATTTTTTGTGTTTTTAGTAGAGACAGGGTTTCACAGTGTTAGCCAGGCTGGTGTCGAACTCCTGACCTCGTGATCTGCCTGCCTCGGCCTCCCAAGGCGCTTGGATTACAGGCATGAGTCGCTGCGCCTGGCCCTAAATCCCGTTGTTAGAAGAATTAAATGAGTTCATATATGTGAAGTGCCTAGCACCTATTAGATGATGAAGACATATTTATTGAATGAATGATAGCCAGATCTCTGGGATGGGAACGATGACTCCCAAGCACCGTGCTCCATTTGGGGAGTGGTGGAGATGGAGACGTTCTTGGCATGCACATCCAGAAACCCCCGGACTTGACACATGCAGAGGGCTTGGTCCCTGCCCCCCAGACAGCCAGATTTAGGAAATAGGCCCCTAAGTTCCAATCTCTCCCCTCCCTTTTCCTCTTTCATTCTTTTCTTGGTTTCTTGTCGAGTTCTGTGACGGTAGGTGAGCATCACAAAATGCCCCATGAGCTGCATGGCTGTGGGTAAGTAGTCACTTTGCCTCCACATTTCCATCCTTCCTCCCTCCCCCGCTCCCTCCCTCCCCTCCCTCCCTCGCTCCCTCCCTCCCTTCCTTCCTTCCTCCTTTCTTTCCTGCTTGCTTTCTTGCTTGCTTTCCTTCCTTCCTTTTTTTCCCCTTCCTCCCTCTTTCTCTTTCTTTCTTTTTTTTTTTTTTTTTGAGATGGGGTCTCGCTCTGTCATCCAGGCTGGAGAGCAGTGGTGCGATCTTGGCTCACTGCGAGCTCCTCCTGCCGGGTTCGTGACATTCTCCTGTTTCAGCCTCCCAAGTAGCTGGGACTACAGGCGCCTGCCACCATGCCTGGCTAATTTTTTTGTATTTTTAGTAGAAACGGGGTGTCACTATGTTAGCCAGGCTGGTCTCCATCTGACCTCGTGATCTGCCTGCCTTGGCCTCCCAAAGTGCTGGGATTACAGGCGTGAGCCACCGTGCCCGCCCTTCCTTCCTTCCTTCCTTCCTTCCTTCCTTCCTTCCTTCCTTCCTTCCTTCCTTCCTCCCTCCCTCCCTCCCTCCCTTCCTTCCTCTTTCCCTCCCTCTCCCTCTCCTCTTTCTTTTCTTCTCTCTCTCTCTTCTTTTTTTTTGAGACAGGGTCTTACTCTGTCACCCAGGCTGGAGTGCAGTGGTACGATCAAAGCTCACTGCAGCCTCAACCTCCTGGGCTCAAGCCATCCTGCCACCTCAGCCTCCCAAGTAGCTGGGACTACAGGCACGTGCCACCATACCCAGCTAATTTTTTTTTTTTGTAGTGACGTGGTCTCAAACCCCTGGGCTCAAGTGATCCCCCTGCCTTGGCCTCCCAAAGTGCTAGGATTACAGGTGTGAGCCACCATGCCCAGCCCATACAATGGAATATTTAAAAAACTGAGGATGTAAATGTATATATATTTTTAAGGTTCTAGAACAGCTTAACCCCTTTTTTGCAAAATAGGTGCTTCTCTGATCACCAAGATAAGATCAGATCAGATCACGGTGAGTTTATCTGGGTGGTGGGATTTCAGGTGATTTTTTTTTTTTTTTTTGAGACGGAGTCTCACTCTGTCCCCCAGGCTGGAGTGCGGTGGCGCTATCTCGGCTCACTGCAAGCTCCGCCTCCCGGGTTCACGCCATTCTCCTGCCTCAGCCTCCCGAGTAGCTGGGACTACAGGCACCCGCCACCTCGCCCGGCTAATTTTTTGTATTTTTAGTAGAGACGGAGTTTCACCGTGTTAGCCAGGATGGTCTCAATTTCCTGACCTCGTGATCCACCCGCCTCGGCCTCCCAAAGTGCTGGGATTACAGGCATGAGCCACCGCGCCCGGCCCAGGTGATTTTTTTAAACCTTCTTTACATTTATAAGTGTTGCCTGAAGTTTTTTTTTTAGTGAATGAGAATGACTGTTTTTAATCTGAAATCATAATTAGTATTATTTTTGAGACAAGGTCTCCCTTTGTCTCCCAGGCTGGAGTGCAGTGGCATGGTCACAACTCACTGTAGCCTTTACCTCCCAGGCTCAAGCGATCCTCCCGTTTCAGCCTCCTGAGTAGCTGGGACTGCAGGTGTGCACCACCATGCCTGGCTAATTAAAAAAAAATTTTTTTTTGTACAGACGGGGTCTCACTATGTTGCCTAGGCTTGAAATTATTCTTGATGAAAAGGAGGAAATAAATCCCAATCAATGTCAAGAGGCTCCCTTTGGGCCCTCGCCTTGGGGTAGTGAGGGGTGAGGGGAGTCCTTTCCAGCCAGCTTTGGAAGCCGCATTCCCAGCTGTTGTTTGTTGAGGCCTTGGAGGAGGAAGGAGATCTGTGCCCTCCCAAGAGGGTGACGGGATGAAGCCTTGGCAGGTTCACCACGTGCTCCTTGAAGACCAAACATGGACACGGAGCCTGGGCCCAGAAATAGCCCCTTTTGCTCCAGAGACCCTTGGAATTCTGTGGGGTCATCGCAGGGAGGGGAGAGCCTGAGCAGGCTGTTGCCGAAACCTTCCTTGCAGACTCCGAAATGGAAGATGGGACCTGGGACAGGCTCCTCTGAGCACGACACTCCCGAAGTGGGGCAGAGATGAAACTGCGACCTGGACAAAGAGTTCCCTAGAGTCAGCCCAGGCCAGATGCTGTGGCTCATGCTTATAATCCCACCATTTTGGGAGGTGAGGCAGGCAGATTGCTTGAGGCCAGGAGTTTGAGACCACCCTGGCCAACATGGCAAAACCCCATCTCTACAAAAAAAAAAAAAAATTGCAATTAGCTGGATGTGGTGGTGTGTGCCTATAGTACCAGCTACTCAGGAGGCTGAGGAGGGAGGATGGTTTGAGCCCGGGAGGCAGAGGTTGCAGTGAGCTGAGATTGTGCCACTGCACTCCAGCCTGGGTGACAGCATGAGACTCAGACTCTTAAAAAAAAAAAAGTCAGCCCAGCTTGAAGAACTTCTATTTCCAAGCCAACTGGAGATTTCCTAATAAATGTGAATTCTTTTTTGTTTGTTTATGTGAGACAGAGTCTCGCTCTGTCACTCAGGGTGGAGTGCAGTGGCGAGATCTCGGCTCAGTGCAACATCTGCCTCCTGGGTTCAAGCGATTCTCCTGTCTCAGCCTCTAGAGTAGCTGGTATTACAGGCCCCCGCCACCACGCCTGGCTACTTTTTGTATTTTTAATAGAGACTGGGTTTCGCCATGTTGGCCAGGCTGGTCTCGAACTCCTGACCTCAGGTGATCCACCCACCTCAGCCTCCCAAAGTGCTGGGATTACAGGCATGAGCCACTGCACCCAGCACCTAATAAATGTGAATTCTGTGGGATCCCAGAAATATGATATATGGCAGTCCAGGCTGCTGAAGACAGGTTTCTCCAGGGGTCCAGCTGTATTTCTTTCTTTTTTTATACTGTGTTTGGATTTATATCTCAATTTGATTTTATTTGGCGCTAAAGTGACATTTTTATTTTATTATCTTGAAAATATTTCAAAAATCTTTCTGATTGTTCATCCCCCTTCTTCCCTCTCCTTTCCCCCCCTTCATCCATCATTTCTCTTTGTCAAGAAGTATTTAGGCCAGGCTCAGTGGCTCAGGCCTGTATTCCCAGCACTTTGGAAGGCAAAGGTGGGAGGATCACTTGAGCCCAGGAGTTCAAGACCAGCCCGGGAAAGAAAGCAAAACCCAATCTCTACAAAAAATACAAAAATTAAGTGGGTGTGGTGGCATGTGCCAGTGGTCCCAGCTACTCAGGAGGCTGAAGTGGGAGGATCACTTGAGCCCAGGATGTGGAGGCTGCAGTGAGCTGTGATTGCACCACTGCACTCCAGCCTGGGCAACAGAGCAAGACCCTGTCTGAAAACAAGATTTAAAAAAACAGAGAAAACCCATTCTCCTGGGACATGGTAAGTGCTGGCGCTCACTGAGGCCATGTGACACCTGGCCATGCTTCTGCCCATGTCCCTCTCCTCCTTCCCTGCCCCTCTAGGGCAGGCCGCAGCCCCAGGGCTGGGGAGCAGGAGCCCTGGATTGTTCATCTTATTCAAGGCTGAAAAGCTTCAGGAGAACAGCAGGATTGTAAATGACCCGTCTTTTTATTATGATGCTCTGTGAAGTCAGTTTGGGCAAGAAAATCAATTCTGCCTCATCCACCTTCTCAGTCTCATTTATTCTCCACAGATGACAGGACAGAGTGGAATGGCCTGGAGTGATAGAAGCCAGGCCCCGTCACTGTCATCGCAACCCGGGAAGCCTGGTTTACAAGTGCTCCAATTTTCCTTTCTTTCTTTCCTTTATTTCGTCTCGCTCTGTCACCCAGGCTGGAGTGCAGTGGAGCGATCTCTGCTCATTGCAACCTCCGCCTCCTTGGTTCAAGTGAATCTCCTGCCTCAGCCTCCTGAGTAGCTGGGACTACAGGCGTTCACCACCGCTCCCGGCTAATTTTGTATTTTTAGTAGAGATGGAGTTTCACTATGTTGGCCAGTCTGATCTCAAACTTTTGTATTTTTAGTAGAGATGGGGTTTTGCCACGTTGTCCAGGCTGGTTTTGAACTCCTGGCCTCAAGTGATCATCCCGCCTCAGCCTCCCAAAGTGCTGGGATTACAGGTGTGAGCCACTGTGCCCGGCCCTCTCAGCTAATTAATTTTTTTTTTTTTTTGTAGAGACGGGGTCTCACTACATTGCCCAGGCTGGTCTCAAACTCCTGGGCTCAAGCAATCCTCCTGCCTTGGTTTCCCAAAGTGTTGGGATTACAGGCGTGAGCCACTGCACCAGACTACAATTGCCGTCTGGTTTCCACTTTGCTGGGAGGGCAGGGACCAGGTCATTCATTCACTGCTGCTTTGTCAGGGCGTGGCACATGAAGATTAGAGTAGGCAGTCTAAATATTTGCAGAATCAATACCTGAAATGTTCTTATTTTCATTCCAGTATGAAGCAGATCTATTCTCACCTCCATCAAATCTTATTGCCTGCCTTGGGAGTAAACGCTAATTAATTCAACAGCAGCTTTTAAGCCTTCTGTGCAAGTTTAGGAAGAGGCCACTCAACCTAGCTAGATCCTAGGAGCCTTAAACGTCCAGAATGCAAACCCTTCCCTAGAAGGAATTCCCCTCAACCCTCACCCCACTTCACCTTTTGATGGTTTACTCAAGGGCCTCAAAATGCTACAGCTGCAGAGGCTGAAGGTTCTGAACATGAGACTCACCTGGGAGACCCGGGCCTCGCCCCTCAGCCTCCCTGACCAACTCAATCAGCCTCTTGCCCGGGGCGGGCTCAAAACTCCCCAAGTGATTCCAATCTGCGTTCACGCATAAGAACCATCGGCGTGGGGGTAGAATCAGCCCTGTGAGGTGGGGCCAAGGGCTGCGAAACACCTGCCATCAGCTGAGGGCATTTAAGGCTGACCAAGGGGCTGGAGGCTGCGGCTCCTGGCCAGGTGAGTGGTTGGTGGCTTGTCCCTGTGTGAGAAAGTGCGAATGTGTGCACGAGCCCCGGCTCCAGACGTGGCTGAGTCCTTCTGTCTGGGTATTGGCTGATCAGATATCTTGCTCTTGTACGGGTAATGAGCCAGGCAGCTGTTTGGGGGCCCTGAGGAGGCTGCTGTGTCCTTGCTCTCCACCACGGAGGTGCCTCTGGGGGCCCTTTCTGAAGCAGATCTGCCTGCCCATGGGGGCAGCTTGGAGAAGGCCTAGGCTGTTGTCTCTGTTGAAATCAGCCAGTGTCTTTAGAGACACTGTGCTAGGTCGTCTTTGGCTTGTTTTTGAGGGTGGATAAGGAGGAAGTGGTAGGTGCAGGGGTCTGTTTACTCTGCAGAGCCCAGACGCGGGCTTGCGGGGTGTCTGGAGTGAGTCTAACCACATAGTGGGCTGTGACTCCCATGTCCTCGGCCTTGCCATGTGCCCCTCCTTCCTGAAGTACTCCCCGGGATGTTGTCACCTGTGGGACTTGTTCCCGATTCAGCCCCCTCTCAGGAAGCTTGCTTTTATATCTTTCACAGGTAGAGGGCCTGGTCTCTTGCCTCCTTCTTGTGAACAGGAGTTTGAGACCAGCCTGGGCAACAAAGACCCTGTTTCTACAAAAAAAAGAAAAAAAAATTTGAAAAAATCAGCCAGGTATGGCAGTGTGCACCTGTAGTCCTAGCTACTCAGGAGGCTGAAGGGAGAGGATCACTTGAGACCAGAGTAGGCAACATAGCGAGGCCCAGTCTCTACCAAAAAATAAAAAAATTAGCCAGGTGTGATGGTGCATGCCTGTGG
This sequence comes from Homo sapiens, assembly GCF_000001405.40. Taxonomy (NCBI): domain Eukaryota; kingdom Metazoa; phylum Chordata; class Mammalia; order Primates; family Hominidae; genus Homo; species Homo sapiens. The sequence continues at coordinate 99,218,136 of NC_000007.14, read as the reverse complement.
TCCTGGCTACTCGGGAGGCTGAGGCAGGAGGATTGCCTGAGCCAGGGAGTTTGAGGCTGCAGTGAGCCGAGATCACTTCAACCTGGGCATGGCCTGCAGCCCCTCTGGCCCCTCTTTCTCAGCATTGAAACTGAAGTCTGGAATCCCCAGGTGCGTCTCATTCATGTTGGTAAAGCCCCTCAGAAAGCTAAAGAGTGGCGAGGTGGGGCCGGGCATGGAGGCTCACGCCTGTAATCCCAGCACTTTGGGAGGCCGAGGTGCGTGGGTTGCTTGAGGCCAGGAGTTCCAGACCAGTCTGGCCAACATGATGAAACTCTGTCTCTAGTAAAAATACAAAAATTAGCTGGGTGTGGTGGTGTGTGACTGTAATCCCAGCTATTTGGGAGGCTGAGGGAGGAGAATTGCTTCAACCCAGGAGGCGGAGGCTGCAGTGAGCCGAGATAGCACCACTACACTCCAGCCTGGGTGACAGAGCAAGACTCTGTCTCAAAAAAAAAAAAAAAAAAAAAAAAAAAAAGGCAAGGTGGAGTCCCCGTTCCTGGGCCTTTTCTCCTCCCTGGCTGTCCTCTCCTGTCCCTGGACACTTTACCTTCCCTCTCCACCCCCAACCCCAGCTAGCCTCAGCTTGTGGACCAATGCATCTTGGGGCATTGAGGCAGAGGCTGCTGGGATCCCTGAACCCCTCCTTCCTGGCAGATAAGTCTCATTGACTCGCTAGCTCGAATCCAACATGTGTTTTTAGCTTAAACAAACCCTACTTTGAAGAACTGGCTGGTAGTGATGCAGATCTGAACATACAGATATCAAATGATGTCCAAGGTACAGATGAAAGAAACACATGTCACAAAATGGCATGTTCAAGATCCCCTCCTCGAATTACCATGTCAGTGCCTGTGCAGCTGCAGCCGGGCTGGGCACACAGAGGGTGGTGAGTTTTTAAAGGTTAACTTGGTGGAGGAGTGGGGTTATTGGAAGCTAACGTTCAATATATTTCTGAAGTATTTATATCCTTTAAGCCCTCACTATGTGTTACTTTGAAATCCAAAAAATGCTATTTTGTAGAAGCCAACTCTTGGATGATGACATGTCTTAATTTAAAATGGTTCTCAGTTCATGAAAGTTGCTCACAGGAAAAACTCAGCTAGATCTAGAAAAGTATAGAAAGCTCAAAAATGGCCTGAAATGCCCCAACCAGAGGAAGCGACTCAATACCGTTAATAAGACCTGGAAGTCCATAATGGTCCCTTACTCAGAAGGATTGAAAGGGTAAGAGGTGGCTGGGCATGGTGGCTCATGCCTGTAATCCCAGCACTTTGGGAGGCCAAGGCGGGCGGATCACCTGAGGTCAGGAGTTCGAGACCAGCCTGGCCAACATGGTGAAACCCTGTCTTCACTAAAAATACAAAAATTAGCTAGGCATGGTGGCGCATGCCCGTAATCCCAGCTACTCAGGGGGCTGAGGCAGGAGAATTGCTTGAATCTGGAAGGTGGAGGTTGCAGTGAGCTGAGATCACGCCACTGCATTCTAGCCTGGGCGACAGAGCCAGACTCCATCTCACAAAAAAAAAGAGGGTGTTGGTAAGAAGCTTGGGAGCCTAGGGGACCTTGGGCATGGTAGGGTTCCTTGGCAGGGCCTCTGGTACCTGTCACACAGGGCAGGGGTCTTACAGTGTATAGGGAGCAGCTGAGCTGGCCTGAGACCCCAGGGATAAATAAAACCCCTAGGTGGATGACATTTGTCTTAATCACTAGTTCGGCTTTCTTGGGATCTCAAACTTGAAGAACCAATGAACAAAGGTACTGACTTGGGCCAGGTGCAGTGGCTCATATCTGTAATCCAAGCACTTTGGGAGGCTGAAGTGGGAGGATCACTTGAGCCCAGGACTTCGAGACAAGCCTGGGCAATGTAGCAAGACACCTGTCTTTCTAAAATGCAAAAAACTTAGCTGGGTGTGGTGGTGTGTGCCTGTAGCCCCAGCTCCTTTGGGAGGCTGAGGTGAGAGGTCATCTGAGCCCAGAAAGTCGAGGCTGTAGTGAGCTGTGATTGTGCCACTGCACTCCAGCCTGGATGGTGGGAGTAAGACCTATCTCAAAACAAAAAGGGGCAGGGTACTGACTTGGACTGTGTATAACTCAGTGCTTTTCTTTTTTTTTTTTTTTTAATTAGAGAAGGGATCTCTTGCCTAGGCTGGAGCGTAGTGGTGCAATCATAACTCGCTGCTGCAGCCTCAACCTACTGGGCTCAAGTGATCCTCCTGCCTTAGCCTCCTGAGTAGCTGGGACTGCAGTTGTACAGCAACCACCTGGCTATATATTTTTTTCATTTATTTGTAGAGATGGGGTCTCACTGTGTTGCCCCAAGTCTTGAACTCCTGGTCTCAAATAATCCTCCCAAACTGCTGGGATTACGGGCATGAGCCTCTGCCTGGCTGTCAACACTTTCTTAAGTAAAGAACGACAGGGCACCCAGCTCTCCTGGTCGCTGCCAACAGCCATGTGAAGGGAAAGAAGCGGAATCCGAGCTGTGACCAGAGAAGCCTGGAGAAGCAACAGGGATCTGCTCTGCCGCTGGGTTTGCAGAATGTCCCTACACGAAGTGATCTGCTAGCTCTATAACCTTCAACCCTCTCCCTAAAGATACCTCAAGGAGTGGGGAGGACCCTGTCTCATCTGCAGCTGAGCTTTCTCGGCTTCAAGCCATTTCCTGTGATATTTGGTTTGAAGGAAGGTGGCAAATGCCTTTTTTTTTTTTTTTTTTTTTTTTTTTGAGACAGTCTCGCTCTGTTGCCCAGGCTGGAGTGCAGTGGCACCATCTCAGCTCACTGCAACCTCTGCCTCCCGGGTTCAAGCGATTCCAGTGCCTCAGCCTCCCGAGTAGCTGAGATTACAGGCGCCCACCACCACGCCCAGCTAATTTTTGTATTTTTAGTAGAGACGGGGTTTCACCATGTTGACCAAGCTGGTCTCGAACTCCTGACCTTGTGATCCACCCACCTCAGCCTCCCAAAGTGCTGGAATTACAGGCATGAGCCACCGCGCCGAGTTTCTAATAGCCATGGCTTCCAGGTTGTGGCAGAAGGATGAGCAGTTCCCTTGGCAATGGTCTTAGAGCTGAGTGCTGTCTTGGGTTTTCCCAGAGGCAGGATTGCAGCCCCTTGTACCAAACTGGCCTCTTCCTCATGCATGCTCAGTCTCATTAACTGAGATAATTGTGCCATTGGCAACATGTGAAGCGTAGCAACAAGGTGGCAGCTAGAGCAGGTATTTCAGAAGTGGCCTCTATTGTTTCTGTTGCATGAAATGGGCTTTCCTCCTTTCTAACATCTCACCCCATGTGTTAAGTGCCACCCATAGTGGTGGCCTGCCTTCCCTCCCTCCCCTCCCCTCCCCTACCTCCCCTCCCCTCCCCTACCTCCCCTCCCCTCCCCTACCTCCCCTCCCCTCCCCTACCTCCCCTCCCCTCCCCTACCTCCCCTCCCCTTCCCTACCTCCCCTCCCCTCTTTCCTTTGAAACAGGGTCTCTCTTTGTTATCCAGGCTGGATTGCAGTGGCGTGATCTCTGCTCACTGCAGCCTCCACCTCCTGGGCTCAAGCGATTCTCCCTCCTCAGCCTCCCAAGTAGCTGGGACTACAGGTGCACACCACCACAACTGGCTAGTTTTTTTGTTTTTGTTTTTGTTTTTTGTTTTTTTTTGAGATAGGGTCTTGCTCTGTCACCCAGACTGGAGTGCAGTGGTGCGATCTCAGCTCACTGTAACCTCTGCCTCCCAGTTTCAAGTGATTCTCCTGCCTCAGCCTCCCAAGTAGCTTGGACTACAGGCACATGCCACCATCCCTGGCTAATTTTTTTTTTTTTTTGTATATTTTTAGTAGAGACGGGGTTTTGCCACATTGGCCAAGGATGATCTCAAACTCCTGACCTCAGAGGATCTGCCCACCTTGGCCTCCCAAGGTGCTGGGATTACAGGTGTGAGCCACTGCACTGGCCATGGTGGTGATCTCATGCTTTCCTAATTAGACCTTGTTACAGATTATTGGCTGCAAAGCTTGGACGCAGGAGTCAAATCTGATGTCCTGGTTCTGATACTTCACAGTTATGGGAACTTTGGGAAATGATGTCTGAGATGGCTCCTTCACCTGCAAAATGGGGATATTTTTACCTTAGTATTAGATGAAACTTCATTTAATCCTAAATGTCTAAAATTCTGGGCACATAATAAATGTTTTGGGCCAGGTGCAGTGGCTCATGTGCATAATTCCAGTGATTTGAGAGGTGGAGGCAGGAGGATCACTTGAGGTCAGGAGTTCAAGAACAGCGTGGGCAACACAGCAAGACCGCATCTCTGAAAAATGAAAACATTAGCTGAGTATGGTGGTGCATATCTGTAGTCCCAGCTACTTGGGGGGCTGAGGTGAGAGGATTGCTTGAGCCCAGTAGTTTGAGGCTGCAGTGAGCTATGATTGTATCACTGCACCCCAACCTGGGTGACAGAGTAAGACCCCATCTCTACAAAAAATTTAAAAAATTAGTGAAGTGTGGTAGCTTGTTCCTGTGGTCCCAGCTACTCAGGAAGCTGAGGTGGGAGGATCATTTGAGCCCAGGAGGTCAAGGCTGCAGTGAGTTATGATTGCTCCGCTGCACTTCAGCCTGGGCAACAATGAGACTCTGTCTCTCTCTCTTTTTTTTTTTTTTTTTTTTTTTTTTTAAAAGGCCAGGTGCAGTGGCTCACACATGTAATCCTAGCACTTTGGGAGGCCAAGACGGTGGATCATGAGGTCAAGAGTTTGAGACCATCCTGGCCAACATGGCAAAACCCCGTCTCTACTAAAAATACAAAAGTTAGCTGGGGGGTGTGGTGGTGTGAGCCTTTAGTTCCAGCTACTTGGGAGGCTGAGACAGGAGAATCACTTGAACCCGGGAGGCGGAGGTTGCAGTGAGCTGGGATCGACCCACTGCACTCCAGCCTGGCAACAGAGTGAGACTCTGTCTCAAAAAAAAAAAAAAATCCCTTTTGGCCATTGCTCCTTAAATAGGCCCATAATTCTTGTCTACTCCAGACTTATAAATGCCCTATGTCTCAACTCTTGGAGACCTAGAAATAGAATCTCATTTAAACCCAAATTTTGGTTCAACTGATGATCCTCTTGACATTGGTTATTCTGGTGACTAGGAATCTAGTTTTCAAGATGTTAAAAGGATACTGTGATCAATAGCAATGATTTTTTCTTTTCTTTTTTTCTTTTCTTTTTGAGACAGGGTCTCTGTCACCCATGCTGGAGTGCAGTGGCACAATCATGGCTCACTGCAGCCTTGATTTCTGGGGCTCAGGCGATCCTCCCACCGAGTATCTGGGACTATAGGTGCCCATCACGATGCCGGATTAATTTTTAATTTTTTTAATCTTTTTTGGTAGAGATAGGGTCTCACCATTTTGCTGAGGCTGGTCTCAAACTCCTGCCTCAAGCTTCTGCCTTGGCCTCCCAAAGCGTTGAGACTATAGGTGTGAGCCACTGTGCCTGGCCAATTTAGTCTTAAAAAGCAACGCTTCCTTATGGGGCAGAATTTGAGATTACTTAAAAGTAAGCCATGCATGGTGGCTCACTCCTGTAATCCCAGCACTTTGGGGGACCGAGGCGGGTGGGCCACCTGAGGTCAGGAGTTTGAGACCAGCTCAGCAATATGATGAAACCCCATCTCTACCAAAAAAAGAAAAAAAATACAAAAATTAGCTGGGCGTGGTGGCAGGTGCCTGTAATCCCAGCTACGTGGGAGGCTGAGGCAGGAGAATTGCTTGAACCGAGAGGTGGAGGTTGCAGTGAGCTGAGATCGCACCACTGCACTCCAGCCTGGGCTACAAGAATGAAACTCTGTCTCAAAAAAAAAAAAAAAAAAAAAAAAAAAAGGACACATGTGGATCGGACACCAGTGTTTCCTAGCCTGATCTCCCAGTGCTGAGGCTGTCTTGCAATGTTGTTCTCTTCCCTTCCCAGGTATACTGAGTTCTGATGTGTTGCTAGGAGTAAAGCTACCTCGAGCTTGAAGTTGTATTGAAGAAATCTAAAGCCTGAGATAGTCTTAAGCCAACTTGTGTGAGGGCTCCCTGGGCAGCAACCAAAGGACTCTGGATTCACTGAGGTCCCTTTGTCCACATTGGTTGGGGAGGAGGTCAACATGACTCACAATGATTGAGAGCTTCGTGAATGTTTAAACCAGGTGTCACCCTCCACCTCTCTGGCTTTGAGATCGGAGAGTGGGAGAGATTGGTCAATTCCAGGAACTAATTTGCATTTCCCAGGATCAGATTTGCAGACAAGGTATATAGGCTATTCTTTCCCAGGCTGTGGAGGAAACTAATGCTTTAAAGCAGGCAGAGCCACCAGGATCTGAAACCCAGAGGGATGGTGTGGGCTGTTGGTTTCCTCTGCTCTGAGGCTCAGCTGACATGCTCTCCTGTAGCTCCTGTCTTGCTGTGGGTGGCTGGAGCTTGATTTTAGGGACTTGTCCCTGGCGCAGTGACTACTGTTGCCAGCAGTGCCTCTGATACTAACTCTGTTGTTCTATCTCCAACTCCCTCCTTTGTCCTGGTTCTTTGCTAATTCTTCATTCTCTCAGGCCCTAATGTGAGCATCCTCAAGACTCGATCCTTGTTCTGATCTTGCATAGAGCTTGTCTCTCTTCTTACAACATCAGTCTTGGCCCTAAATTACTTTTTTTGAGACAGAGTCTCACTCTGTTGCCCAGGCTGGAGTGTAGTGGCTTGATCTAGGCTCACTGCAACCTCTGCCTCCCAGATTCAAGCGATTCTCCTGCCTCGGCCTCTCAAGTAGTTGGGATTACAGGCACATGTGCCACCACACCTGGCTAATCTTTGTATTTTTAGTAGAGACAGGGTTTTGCCATGTTGGCCAGGTTGGTCTCGAACTCCTGACCTCAGGTGATCCACCCGTCTTGGCCTCCCAAAGTGATGGGATTATAGGCATGAGCCACTGTGCCCAGCCAGCTCTAAATTCTCTGATGCAAATCTCCAAGTTGTCTGCACTGCCCCTTTCAAATTGATATGTCTGAATTAGTCTTTTCTACCAAAACTATTCTTGGCTGCTATTCACTGAAGACAAGAGTCAGTTGACTTTCTTTATCCAATTTTCTCTTTTCTATAATGTAGTCTGGACCATCTCGTATGGTCAGAAACAGATGAATATTACATACCTGTAAGAAATATTCCCTGCTGCCTTGTGAACATTCAAAGTTGGGGCCAGGTGCAGTGGCTCATGCCTCTAATCCCAATGCTTTGGGAGGCTGAGGGGGAGGATTGCTTTAGCCCAGGGGTTTGAAACCAGCCTGGGCAACATAGTGAGATCCCATCTCTACAAAAAATACAAATTAGCCAGCCTTGGTGACTTGTGCCTGTAGTCCTAGCTGCTCAGGAGGCTGAGGCAGGAGGATCACTTGAGCTCAAGAGGTTGAGGCTGCAGTAAGCCATGATTACACTATTTATTGCACTCCAGCCTGGGCAACGGAGCAAGACTGTCTCAAAAGCAAAACAAAAACACAAAAGCAAACTCCCTCCAATTTAAAAAAAGTTCAAACTTGGCCTGATTTGAATAACCACCTCTAACTGAGGGCCAACTCCCTGTCTCGTATCACACAGTACCCTCCCTTGACAAATATTTGAGTACCTACTTTGTCATGTGTTGTGAAAGAGGTAAGAAATCCCTGCCTAAGACACAGTACTGTTACCATGGGGAGTAGGAGGAGAGGAAGTTGGACAAACAAGAAAATATCAGGCAGTGGTTAAAGCTGAGAAGAAAATAAGACTGGGAAGACAGTTAAAAGGGCTTTCAGAGATGTTTAAGCAGAGACTGAATGAAGAGGAGCCAAGTGTGCAGAGATCCTGGGCAGAGCAGCTACTTCAAAGGCCCGAGTACAATGAACCTGGAACACTTGATAATGAAGCCCAGGGGTCTAGAACACAATGATCAAGGAAAGAGTTGTTGGAGGTGAAGTGGGCTGGGGCCAGTGCAGAAAGTGAATTTTCTTCTAAACTCATTGGGTAGCCAGGAGAGTTTTTTTAAGCAGGAGAGTTAGATCAGATTCTCCTTGATTTTTTCTTTTTTTTGTTTGTTTGTTTTGGAGACAGGGTCTGGCTCTGCTGTCCAGGCTGGAGTGCAGTGGTGCAATCGTGGCTCACTGCAGCCTTGACTTCCTGGGCTCCAGAAATCCTCCCACCTCAGCCTCAAGTAGCTGGGACTACAGGTATGTGCCACCATGCCCAGCTTATTTTTATATTTTTTGTAGAGACGGGGGTCTTGCTTTGTTGCCCAAGCTGGTCTTGAACACCTGGCCTTAAGCAAGTCTCCACCTTAACCTCTCAAGTTGTTGAGATTACAGGCATGAGCCACTGTGCCTGACTAATCAGATTTTTTTCTTTTTTTTTTTTTTTTTTTTTTTTTTTTGAGTTGGAGTCTCGCTCTGTTGCCCAGGCTGGAGTGTAGTGGTGCGATCTTGGCTCACGGCAACCTCCGCCCCCTGGGTTCAAGCGATTCTCCTGTCTCAGCCTCCTGAGTAGCTGGGACTACAGGTGCCTGCCACTACGCCTGGCTAATTTTGTACTTTTAGTAGAGACAGGGTTTCGCCATGTTGGTCTGGCTGGTCTCGAACTCCTGACCTCAGGTGATCCACAATCACATGTACTCTGTGCAAAGAACAGATTGGAATAAGGCAATGGGAGAAGCAGGGAGACCAGCTGGAAGGCAACTGCAGTAGTGTGGGTAAGAGGTGATAGTGGTCTGGACTGGGGTGGAGGCAGTCTACTGAAGGATTCTCAGTGACTTGTGCTTGAGACTGTCCTGACCCCATGTGCTGGTGCATTGGGTGTGGGGTTTTCCTGTTGCAGCCTTGGCGGGTCTCCTCACCACCCTGTACATATGCCTGATTTATAACTCCTCAGACACACCGTGTGAAAGCCTTCTTTTCTTTTTCTTTTTGAGACGGAATCTTACTCTGTTGCCCAGGCTCGAGTACAGTGGCGCAATCTCAGCTCACTGCAACCTCCGCCTCCCGGATTCAAGTGATCCTCCTGCTTCAGCCTCCCAAATAGCTGGAATTATAGGTGTCCGCCACCATGCCTGACTAATTTTTGTATTTCTAGTAGAGATGGGGTTTCCCCATGTTGCCCAGGCTGATCTCGAACTCCTGGCCTCAAGTGATCCATCTGCCTCAGCCTTCCAAAGTGCTGGGATTATAGGTGTGAGCCACTGCACCTGGCATGAAAGGCTTCTATATATGACAACCAGCCCATCTGCCTCATTTGAGGACCCAGTTGAAGCCAAAGCACTTTTAAAAGCTTTCCTTTACTGCTATGCCCAGCATTGGTGGTCTTGGTGCTCCCACAGTGTTCACAGCCTACTGAGCTGGTGTGGTGATGCTTATAGAAGCTGACTTCAGGTTCATGCCTGTAATCCCAGCACTTTGGGAGGCTGAGGTGGGTGGATCACAAGGTCAGGAGTTCAAGACCAGCCTGGCCAACGTGGTGAAAAGCCGACTCTACAAAAACAAACAAAACCAAAAATAAGCCAGGTGTGGCCGGGCACGGTGGCTCACGCCTGTAATCCCAGCACTTTGGGAGGCCGAGGTGGGTGGATCACGAGGTCAGGAGATAGAGACCATCCTGGCTAACACGGTGAAACCCCGTCTCTACTAAAAATACAAAAAAATTTGCTGAGCGTGGTGGCAGGTGCCTGTAGTCCCAGCTACTCGGGAGGCTGAGGTAGGAGAATGGCGTGAACCCGGGAGGCGGAGCTTGCAGTGAGCCAAGATTGCGCCACCGCACTCCAGCCTGGGTGACAGAGTGAGACTCTGTCTCAAAAAATAAATAAATAAAATAAATAAAAAGTGAGTCATGTGTGGTGGCTCATGCCTGTAGTCCCAGCTACTCAAGAGGCTGAGGTGGGTGAATCACTTGAGTCCAGGAGGTCAAGGTTGCAGTGAGCCGTGATTGTGCCAATGCACTCCAGCCCGGGTGACAGAGTGAGACTCTGATGCCAACAAGCAGGTCTTGCAGAAATAGGACATGGAGCTGAGAAGTCCAGACTGTTGTTCTTGCTGCCAGGTTGAGCCCAAGGGTTGGGGACGGGGAGTCTGTGCTGTGTATATGGGTTCTAACTCTCACTCAGCTTCTCTGGTCCCAAAAAATAAAAAATGCTGGCTGGGAGCGGTGGCTCATGCCTGTAATCCCAGCACTTTGGGAGGCCGAGGTGGGCGGATCACAAGGTCAGGAGTTCAAGACCAGCCTGGCCAACGTGGTGAAACCCCGTCTCTACTAAAAAGACAAAAATTAGCCGGGCGTGGTGGCAGGCGCCTATAGTCCCAGCTACCTGGGAGGCTGAGGCAGGAGAACCACTTGAACCCGGGAGGCGGAGGTTGCAGTGAACTGATATCCCCCCACTGCACTCAAGTCTGGGCAACAGAGCGAGACTCTGTCTCAAAAAAAAAAAAAAAAAAAAAAAAAAAAAAAAAAAAAAAAGCTAGCTTCCTGGGTCTGCCCTTTGCTCCACTGTGAGCCCTTTAAGGGTTAGAGCCTTATGATACTGACATAATAACCCACACAATGGGCACTGAAAATTTCTTTGTTGCTGTCCAACCTGCAGGTAACTTACTACTTCCAGTCAATATGCCGACCTTAGATGCTCCAGAAGAGAGGCGGAGAAAATTTAAGTACCGAGGCAAAGATGTGTCTGTGAGTATGAAGCACCCACCTGCTTCTATTGGGGACCAGTGCAATCTGCATAAAAAGCGGGGTGAAGAGACCAGGCGCGGTGGCTCATGCCTGTAATCCCAACACTTTGAGAGGCTGAGACGGGCAGATCACAAGGTCAGGAGGTTAAGACGATCCTGGCCAACATGGTGTAACCCCGTCTCTACTAAAAATACAAAAATGACCTGGGTGTGGTGGCTTGTACTTGTAATCCCAGCTACTTGGGAGGCTGAGGCAGGAGAATTGCTTGAACCTGGGAGGCAGAGGTTGCAGTGAGCTGAGATCAGGCCACTGCACTCCAGCCTGGGCGACAAGAGAGAAACTCCATCTCAAAAAAAAAATAGCGGGGGGCAGGGAGGTGGTGGAGAGATGGGTTGAAAAGGCAAATATAGCAAAAGATTCTTTAGATAGATGACTAGGTGTTTCCCTGAATTATCCTTCCAACTTTTCTGTATGTTTGCTATTTTCATCATAAAATATTAAAGGTGGAGAAGACAAAAGCATGTGGACTTAGGAGCCAGACAACTGTGGAATCAAATCAAAGTTTCCGTGGAATCTTGCAATTATTTAATTTCAGAACCCCAGTTTCTTCATCCATAAAACAGGGCTGCTTAGCTGGGCATGGTAGCTCATGCCTGTGTTCCCAGTACTTTGGGGGAGGCCAAGGTGGGAGGATCGCTTGAAGATAGGAGTTCTAGACCAGCCTGGGTAACATACCAAGACCTCCAACTCTACAAAAACAAAAAATCGGCCAGGTGTGGTGGTGTGTGCCTGTAGTCTCAGATACTCTGGTGGCTGAGGCAGGAGGATTGCTTGAGCCCAGGAGTTCAAGGCTGCAGTGAACTGTGATTGTGCCACTGCACTCCAATCTGGGTGACAGAGCCAGACCCTGTCTCTAAAACAAAACCAAATAAAAAACCAGGCTGGGCTGGGCATGATGGCTCACACCTGTAATTCCAGCACTTTGGGAGGCCAAAGTGATCACTTGAGGTCAGGAGTTCGAGACCAGCCTGGCCAACATGGTGAAACCCTGTCTGTACTAAGAATACAAAAAATTAGATGTGCATGGTGGCGGGGGCCTGTAATCCCAGCTACTTGGGAGGCTGAAGCAGGAGAACTGCTTGAACCTGGGAGGTGGAGGTTGCAGTGAGTCGAGATTGTGCCACTGCACTCCATCCAGGCGACAGTGTGAGACTTCGTCTGAAAAAAATAAAAAACCAGGCTGCTATTTATCTCCGAGGAGCTGGATTGCTTCCTCAAGGGCCAGTATACAGGTGTTTACAGCTGCTCACGTCAATGAGGCTTACCAAGGAGCTAAAACGTTAGCATATAGGTATGGCCAACAGGCATGCCTTGTAGAAATAGGACTTGGAACTGAGAAGTCCAGGCTGTTCTTGCTTCCAGGTTGAGCCCAAGGGCTGGGGACGGGGGGTGTGTGCTGTGTATATGGATTCTAACATTCACTCGGCTTCTTTGGTCACATAGTTTTGTGTTGCAAGCTCTGTCCTCCATCTCTGTATCTTTTTATTTTTGAGATGAAGACTTGCTTCATAGTCCAGGCTGGAGTGCAGCAGTGTGATCTTGGCTCACTGCAACCTCTGCCTCCCAGGTTCAAGCGATTCTCCTGCCTCAGCCTCCCAAGTAGCTGGGATTACAGGTGTGCACAATTACGCCTGGCTAATTTTTTGTATTTTTAGTGGAGACAGGGTTTTGCCATGTTGGCCAGGCTGGTCTCAAACTCCTGGCCTCAAGTGATCTGCCTGTCTTGGCCTCCCAAAGTGCTGGGATTACTGGCATGAGCCACTGCTCCCAGCCCCCCATCTCTGTATCTTGACTGGCATCGTATAAGTTTAGCTCCACCTTGGGAATCCAGAAGCCTGATTAGGAGAACGAGGGAAGCACAGGGTCACAGCAGCCTGGTTAGGCCACCATCAGGAACAAAATCACTTTTTTTTTTTTTTTTTTTTTTTTTGAGATGGAGTCTTGCTCTGTCACCAGGCTGGAGTGCAATGGCGTGATCTTGGCTCACTGCAACCTCTGCCTCCTGGGTTCAAGCAATTCTCCTGCCTCAGCCTACCATGGTGTGTACCACCATGCCCGGCTAATTTTTTTTTTTGCATTTTGGTAGAGATGGGGTTTCAACATGTTGGCCAGGATGGTCTCGATCTTCTGACCTCATGATCCCCCTGCCTCGGCCTCCCAAAGTGCTGGGATTACAGGCATGAGCCACCGTGCCTGGCCCAGGAACCAAATCACTCTTACAGTAACCTATTCCAACAATGAAGCTGTCCGGCTTCTAGGACCACTGAAAATTAAAGGAAATCAGTGAGAACGAAGGAATTGAGTCTTCACAGCAACAGGAAGGGCCTGCCAAAGAGAAGAGAGAAAGGTACAAAAGTTTTTACAGGCAGGAACTGCCTAGCGATGGGGCAACAGTATGATGGGCTCAATGATTCCCAAATGTGTTCCTACCTTGCCATATAATGCCACCATGACCCTTTTAAATTTTTTCCTTTTATTATTATTTGATACACGGTCTTGCTCTGTCATCCAGGCTGGAGTGCAGTGGCACGATCATAGTTCACTGCAGCCTCTGCCTCCCAGGCTCAAGTGATCCTCCCACCTCAGCCTCCCAAGTAGCACCATGCCTGGCTAATTTTTTATTTCTTTGTAGAGACAGGGTCTCACTATGTTGGCCGGGCTGGTCTTGAACTCCTGAGCTCAAGCAATCCTCCTGCCTTGGTGTCCCAAAGTGCTGAGATTGCAGGTGGGAGCCACGGTGCCCGGCTGATGACCCATTTTCAAGCAAGAATTAAGTAGCTTAAAGAACCAAAAGTATCTAATACATGGTGACTTCTTTATAATTGTTCCTGAAATGTCTTCAGCCCAAACTCAGCTATTTAGAAAGGTTAGGTCATTTCCTCAGGATTCTTAATACTATAAAGTTTGAGTCATTAACTGACATAAGATCGGGGAGGGGAGAGAGAGATTGAGAGAGAGAGAGATTTGTAGAGGCAGGGTCTTGCTCTATTGCCCAGGCTGGAGTGCAGTGGTACAATCGTAGCTCACTGCAGCCTAGACCTCCCTGGCTCAAGGGATCCTCCCACCTCAGACTCCCAAGTAGCTGGGACTACAGGAGCATGCTACCATGCCCAGCTAATTTTTTGGTAGAAACAGGGTCTTGCTATGTTGTCCAGGCTGGTCTAGAATTCCTGGCCTCAATGATCCTCCCACCTTGACCTCCCAAAGTGCTGGGATTATAGGCACGAGATACCATGCCCAGCCTTGTTTTAATTTTGATTTCCCTCAGTATGTAGACTTGGGGATGAAGGCTTTAATGGCTTATAGACAGGTTTCATTAATAGTGGAAATGGGCCATGCACAGTTGCTCAGCCTGTATTCTCAGCACTTTGGGAGACTGAGGCAGGTAGATCACTTGAGCCTAGGAATTCAAGAGCAGCCTGGCCAACATGGAGAAACCCCATCTCTACTAAAAATATAAAACATAGCCGAGTGTGGTGACACATGCCTGTAATCCCAGCTACTTGGGAGGCTGAGGCACAAGAATGGCTTGAACCCCAGAGGCAGAGGTTGTAGTGGGCTGAGATCATGCCACTGCCCTCCAGCCTGGGTGACAGAGTGAGACTCCATCTCAAAAAGAAAACAAATATATAAATATATATATAAATATAGTGGAAATGATCAGGGCATCTAGGACATGGGCAGTCCCCTAATCGTCCCCAACACCATCTATCCTAGCCACCACCGAAAAGGCCTGGGTACATTCAGGAAGCAGCCATATTCTTCAGGAAATCATCAGCATCAATGAAGATGTGTTCAGACTTAGGGCAATGGGATGCTTTGCTGGGGTGTTTTTATAGCTGAGAATCCTGACCTGTCAAGGTTGTGCATGGTCTTGCTTTATTTTGGAGGGAAGATCAAATTATTTTCTAGAAGTGGTATAGCAGAAAACAGAAGAGGAGGTAAACAGAGCTGAGATGATTTACTAACTGTGTGATCTGAACTTTTCCAGCCTATTGTATCTGTAAAAATGAAATTGGATGCTTTGAAACATGTTTGACAGACTAAATGTGACATCCCCACTCCTGGTTCTAAATGCTCCAATTTCTTTTCCTCACTAGCTGAGGCGACAGCAGAGGATGGCGGTCAGTCTGGAGCTCCGAAAGGCCAAGAAAGATGAACAGACCTTAAAGAGAAGGAATATCACGAGCTTCTGCCCTGACACACCTTCTGAAAAAACAGCCAAAGGGGTGGCGGTCAGTATGTAGTGTTTAGAGTAGTCTTGGGCAAAATATGTTCTTAGCAAGTGTCTCTGGCTGGATAATATTTAATAGATTCAGAACTTGCAAACTCTCGTTTTGGGCTTTTAAAGAAAGGAGTGAAGAGATTATGGTTTGAGCTAAACTGCCTTTGTCAAAAGGCTAATGGCCATTACTCCTATGGCTCTGAGTCTGTGGAATCTAGATTCTAGTGGGGGATGGAGAGGATTTTTATTATACTTTTTATTTTTATTTTTTGAGACAGGTCTCACTCTGTCACCCAGGATAGAGTGCTGTGGCACAATCAGAGCTCATTGCAGCCCTAATCTCCCTGGGTTCAAGCGAACCTCCTGCCTCAGCTTCCAGAGTATGTGGGACTACAGGCACTCACCATCATGCCTGGTGAATTTTTTATTTTTTTATAGAGACAGGATTTTGCCATGTTTACCAGGAGGGTCTCGAACCCCTGGACTCAGGTGACCTGCCTGTCTCAGACTCCCAAAGTGCTGGGATTACAGGTGTGAGCCCCTGTACCTGGCCAAAAAGGTGATATTTCTAATTGAAAATTTACTTGCTATCCCTAAGCCTGAAAACCGAGGAAATGAGGGTTGGTGAAGGTTATTTCTCAGTAGAGGCATCTAGTCCCTGGATGGGTGAGGTCTTTCCTAACACTTTGACTTCTGTCCTGTCTTCCCTTCTCCATCTACCCCAACCTTATTAAATGCAGATCCTGGGTTGACTTCAAGGTTAGTCCGGTTTCTGTGAATACCGAATGCCTTGACCAGGAAGTTTTCCTTCTTAGCACCTCAATAATGGTGTCTCTATATTCTTTTGGGGTACACCACTGTCTGTCCTACCTTAACTACCCACATGCACCCTTTTTACCCTGCTTGGTTTAGGTCTCATAGAGGGCAGAGACTGGTTCCATTTTTGTCAAATTGGGTCCAATGATGTGTTCCCATTCATCAATGAAATGTGTACAGTCATTCTGAGTTGCCATAGGAGTCCAAACTATATCTCTAGTTAGCTTCATTTGTTTGGAGCAGTCCCTAGAATCCCCCCATCCAAGGATGGTATAAAACAAAAGGGAAAAAAGGCCAAGCACAGTGGTTCACACCTGTAGTCCTAGCACTTTGGGAGGCCGAGGTGGGTGGATCACCTGAGGTCAGGAGTTCGAGACCAGCCTGGCCAACATGGTGAAACCCCATCTCTACTAAGAATACAAAAATTAGCCGGGTGTGGTAGTGGGTGCCTGTAATCCCAGCTACTCAGGAGGCTGAGCAGGAGAGTTGCTTGAACCTGGGAGGCAGAGGTGGCACTAAGTCAAGATCGTGCCACTGCACTTCAACCCATGGGTGACAGAGTGAGACTCCATCTCACTCCAACAAACAACCCCAAAAAGTTGTTTTTCTTTTGGTCCCATATTAGCTTTTTTTTTTTGAGACAGAGTCTCACTCTGTCGCCCAGGCTGGAGTGCAGTGGCACGATCTTGGCTCACCGCAACTTCCGCCTCCTGGGTTCAAGCAATTCTTCTGCCTCAGCCTCCCGAGTAGCTAGGACTACAGGTGCCCACCACCACACCCAACTAATTTTTTGTATTTTTAGTAGAGACGGTTTTTTACCATGTTAGCCCGAATGGTCTCAACCTCCTGACCTTGTGATCTGTCTGCCTCAGCCTCCCGAAGTGCTGGGTTTACAGGCATGAGCCACTGTGCTTGGCATATTAGCATATTTTTTAAAGAAATGAAGGTATAATTCACATCAAAATTCACTCTTTAAGTGCCTAATCAGTGGTTTCTAGCATAGTCACAAAGTTGTGCAACCATTGCCACTAGCTAATTCCAGAACCTATTCATCACCTCAAATAGAAACTCCAGTCATTCAGGAGTCACTCCCCATTCCTCATCCCCCACCGTCTCTGCAAACACTAGTCTACTTTCTGCCTCTCTGGAATGACCTGTTCTAGACATTCCCTAGAAATGCAATCATATAAACATGTGAGCTTTTGTGTTGAGCTTTTATGTTTTCAAAGTTCATCCATGTTGTAGCATATATCAATACTTCATTCCTTTTGGGCAGAATGATAATCTGTTATATGGAGAGACCACATTTTGTTTATCCATTTATTTGTTTATAAGATGGAGTCTCACTCTGTCACCCAGGCTGGAATGCAATGGCACAATCTCGGCTCACTGCAACTTTTGTCTCCCGGGATCAAGCCATTCTCCTGCCTCAGCCTCCCGAGTAGCTAGGATTACAGGCATGCATCACCTGCTAATTTTATATTTTAGTAGAGATGGGGTTTCACCATGTTGTTCAGGCTGGTCTCGAACTCCTGACCTCAAGCAATTTGCCTGCCTTGGCCTCCTAAAGTGCTGGGATTACAGGTGTGAGCCACCGTGTCTGGCCTTGTTTATTTATTAATTGGGGGACTTTGGGTTGTTTCCACTTTTTGGTTGTTATGATGAATGCTGTTATTAACATCTGTGTACAAGTTTTTGTGTGGAAGGGTGTCTTCAGTTCCACTGAGAATAACTGGGTTATGAACTAAGCCTGTTTCACTCTTTGTGGTAGGCTGTATCGTGGCACCCCAAGTGTCTGCATCTTCTAGTCCCCAAACCTGTGAATATTACTCTATGAGGAAAGGGATGTAGCATATGTGATTAAATTAAGGATTTTGAGATAGAGAGGTGATACTGGATTATCTGGGTGGGCCTGGCATTCGATGATTCTTATAAGAAGAGCAATGTGATGACAAAAGCAGATGCCGGGCATGGTGGCTCATGCCTGTAATCCCAACACATTGGGAGGCTGAGGCAGGAGGATCACTTGAGCTGAGGAGTTCGAGACCAGCCTGGCCAACATGGTGAAACCGCGTCTCTACGAAAAATACGAAAATTAGCCAGGCCTGATGGCTCATGCCTATAATCCCAGCATATTAGGAGGCTGAGGCGGATGGATCACTTGAGGTCAGGAGTTCAAGACCATCCTGGCCAACATGGTGAAACCCTGTCTCTACTAAAAACATAAAAATTAGCTGGGTGTGGTGGCATGCACCTGTAGTCCCAGCTATTAGGAAGGCTGAAGCAGGAGAATAGCTTGAGCAGTGAGCTGAGATTGTGCCACTGCACTCCAGCCTGAGTAAGAGAGCGAGACTGTGTCCCCCCACCAAAAAAAAAATTCCAGCCCTTTGTCCATTTTTAAGTCAAATAAATTATTTTTTATTGAGTTGTAAGAATTCTTTATATATTCTAGATATTAAACCTTAGCAGATATGACTTGCAAATATATTCTGTTCTGTGGGTTGTCTTTTCACTTTCTTGATAGTATCCTTGGAAGCATAAAATTTTTTAATTTTGAAGAAGTCTAGTTTATTTTCTTGGTTGTTTGTGTTTTAGGTATCATATCTAAAAATTCATTGCCTAATCTAAGGTCACAAAGATTTGTGCCTATATTTCTTTCTAAGAGTTCATAATTTTAGCTCTTACTTTTAGGCCTTTGAGCCGTTTGGAGTTAATTTTTGTAAATGGTGAGAATGGGAGTCCAACTTTGTGCTTTTGCATGTGATACATAGTTGTACCAGCACAGTTATTTGAGACTATTTTCTACCCATTGAATTGTCTTGGTACCTTTGTCAAAAAAATCAATTGACCGTGAATGTGAGGGTTCATTTGTGGACTCTCAGTTCTCTTCCATTGATCTATACGTTTATCTTTGTCATCAAACAAAGGTTTGATTACTGTAGCTTTGTGGTAAGTTTCGAAATTGGGAAGTGAGTCTTCCAGCTTTGTTCTTTTTTTCAATATAATTTTGGCTATTCTGGACCCTTTGTATTTCCATATGAATTTTAAAATCAGATTGTCAATTTCTACAATAAGGGCAGCTCCGATTTTCATGGAGATTGCATTGAACCTATAGAATGGAGTCATTGAATTTATAAGGTTGGAGTATTGCCATCTTAACAATGTTAAGTCTTCCAGTCCATGAACATGGGATACCTTTTCATTTCAGTCCTTTTTTTTTTTTTTTTTTTTTTTCAGTTTGCAGCATATAACTCTTGGATTTCTTTCAATAAATTTATTACTAAGCATTTTATTCTTTTTATGTTGTAAATTAAATTGCTTTATTTTGATTTTTGATCACTGCTAGCATGTAAAGATACAATTAATTTTTGTATATCAATTCTGCAACCTAGCTGAATTTTATTAGCTCTAGGCTTTTGGTGTAAATTCCTTAGGATTTTCTACATATAAGATTAAGTCACTTGCAAATAGTTTTATTTCTTCCTTTCCAATCTGGGTGCACTTTATTTGTTGCCTAATTAATGCATCTAGAACTTCCAATGCCATGTTGGATAAAAGTGAAAAGAGCAATATCCTTGTCTTATTCCTGATCTTGGGGGAAATCTTTTAGACTTTCACCATTAAGTATGAGGCTACCTCTGAGTTTTTTGTAGATGCCTTTATCAGAATGAAGAAGTTTCCTTTTATTCCAGTTTGTTGAGTGTTTTTTTTTATTATGGAAGTATGTTGAATTTCATTAAATGTTTTTTCTGCATTGAGATGATCATGTGGGTTCCCCCCCCTTTATTAATACGGGGTACTATGTTGATTTTTTTTCACATGTTAAACCACTCCTGAATTCCTGAGTTAAATCCTAATTCATCATGATGACCAATATGTTGACCATATGTTTCATACGTTTAGGCATTTGGTTTCCTCCTATTTTGTTGAATTTTTGCATCAGTAGTTATAAGGGATATTAGCTTATACTTTTCTTGTAATATCCTTGGTTTGGTATCAGAGTAATACTAGCCTCTAAGAATGAGTGAGAATTTTTTTTTGTAAAGTTGGTAAAGTTTTTTTGTTGTTGTTTTTTTTGAGATGGAGTTTTACTCTTATCACCCAGGCTGGAGTGCAATGCTGCAATCTTGGCTCACTGCACCTCAGCTTTTTGGCCTTGATGCTTTCTGATAAGAAATCAGCTGTTAATCTTATTGAGGCTTTGTACATGAATTGCTTCTCTTTTGCTGGTTTCAATGTTTTTGATTCTGTAGTTTTGGCTTTCAACAGTTAGATTATAATATGTCTGGATCTTGGGATTTATTCCGTTTGGAGCTCATTGAACTTTTCAGATGTGTAGACTAATTATTCTATTGGATTTGGGAATTTCTTTGGCCATTATCTCTTTAAATATACTTTCTGCCTCTTTCCCTCTTCTCCTTCCTATTCTGCATTTGTTGGTATCCTTGATGATGTCCCACAGATCTCTAAAGATCTGTCAATTTTCATCTTCAGTCTCTCTTGTGTGTGTTATCTTCCTCAGACTGGATAATTCCAATTAACCTATCTTCAGCTTCACTGCTGCTTTATTATGTCTGCTTAAATCTGCTGTTAAGCCCCTTTAGTGAATTTTTGTTTCAGTTATTGTATTCTCCAATTCCAGAATTTGTATCTGGCTCCTTCCAATAACTGATATCTGTTCACTGATATTCTCTATTTAGTGTGACAGCATTGTTGCACTTTAGTTCTTTAGTCATGGTTTAGTTCTTTGACTATATTTAAAATCTTTGTCTAGTTCAACATCTGGTCTCCTCAGGGACTATTGCTATTGATTGCTTTTTTCACATATATATGTATATGTGTGTGTCACACTTTCTTTGCTTGTCTCACAATCTTTGTTGAAAACTAGTCATTTAAAATAGTGTGACAACTCTAGAAATCAGATTTTCCATTGCCCCAGGGTTTGCTGTTGTTGCTGGGTGTGCTCGTTTAGTAGTTTGAGCTAATTATCTAAAATCTGTATTTTTTTGTGATGTGTGGCTGCTGCAGTGTCTGCTTGGTTTGCTCAGTGGTCAACTAATAATTAGAGACTTATTTTAACACTTCGAACCACGAAGAAAAGAACACTCAATTTTTGCCAAGAAGCTCTGTGTTGGGGGCATGCGTTCACCACTCAGCCAGGCAGTTGACAATTCTGACGTAAGCCTTCACTTCCTGTTTGCACAGAGCTTCAAAGTCAGTGAGAGGGAAGAGCTGAGGGTCTTAGTTTTGTTGTTGTTGTTGTTGTTGTTGTTGTTGTTTTTAAGCATATGCATAGCCCTATACATGACATTCCCTTTCAAGTTTTTTTGTTAGCCTGTTGTTTATCCCAACTCTTATTCAACCTCTCAGGTAGCTGTGAAGTTAAACAACTTCCTCTGTTTTCAATGAACATTCTTAGGGAAAAGCCTTTTCATACTGACTAAGCTCTGAGTCAAAATAGTCTGTAAGTGGGATCTTTCAGGGAATGACCAGACAGATCAAATAATAATTTTCTGGGAATGAGGCTCCAAAGGAGGACCTACCTATTTTGCCTCTTCTGGTGGTTGGGAGGCTGTTGGTTTTTCACAATGAT
This sequence comes from Homo sapiens, assembly GCF_000001405.40. NCBI lineage: Eukaryota > Metazoa > Chordata > Mammalia > Primates > Hominidae > Homo > Homo sapiens. Next base: position 99,196,706 of record NC_000007.14, on the reverse strand, counting down.
TGTGGACTGTTGGTTTTCAGGGTTACCATGGAGCTGAGGGTGGGTGGGAATAGGGCAAGTCAAAATGCCACAAAGCTCTCATGCTACTTACTGAGATTCAGCTGTCTTTCTTGGATAAACACTTCCTGGCTTGAATAAAACAATTGGCCGCAAGCCTTTGGTCAATTTCTACAGTGCTGAAAAAGTTGATTCTATTTTTGTCAGTTTTCTCTTTGCCTATGTGGAGGAGAGAATTTTTTGGATGTCCTTAGTCTGCCATTTTGTTTTGTATCCACTAGCACATTCTTACTGCACGGGATAAAAATGTTCTTGGGATCCAACTAATGATAGGAATTACTTCTCCCCTAAGCATGGGAAGGAACACACAGATCTGTGAGATCTGTGGACTATATTCTCCCCTCCCCAAATATAGAACAGCATGCAAGATGGGACATCCTGTTCAAGCCAGGCTGTTTTAATCAGATGGATGATGGCTAGAGTAGGTGATGTTTACAGCTCATTTTGGCAGACAGTCTGACCTGAATGTGTCTCTTCTTGCAGGTCAGCCTCACTCTGGGTGAAATAATCAAAGGTGTGAATAGCTCAGATCCAGTCCTATGTTTCCAGGCCACCCAGACAGCCAGGTATCTCCAAACAGACTTCTGCTGTTGCAGGTTCATAGTTAGCAATGAGCGTCAGTGATGGCTGGAGCGCCGGTGGCCTATTTGGTTTCTTGGCATTGGCAACATGCCCGTAAAACACAGGAAAAGGCTAGCCCATCTAAAAGACGAAATTGCTATTCTACACTGTCCTTGAGGGCAATTTAAAAGCTTCGATGTGTTGTCAGAGATGAATTGCTTAATTTACATTGGCCTCTACAGAAATTTCATCTTGTAGATAACACCTTAAAGGGGAAAATGTTGATTTAATACCGAAAAATGCTATCGGTTGAACACTAGGATCTTAAGTAGCTCCGGCCCAGCTATGTGGCTTATGTATAAAAGGAGGTTCTTTTTTTCTCTTTTGAGATGGAGTCTCACTCTGTCACCCAGGCTGGAGTGCAATGGTATGATCTTAGCTCACTGCAACCTCCGCCTACTGGGTTCAAGTGATTCTCCTGCCTCAAGCCTCCAGAGAAGCTGAGATTACAGGTGTGCACCACCACACCCAGCTAATTTTTATATTCTTAGTAGAGATGGGACGGGGTTTCACCATGTTGGCCAGGCTGGTCTCGAACTCCTGACCTTGCGACCTCAAGTGATCTGCCCGCCTTGGTCTCCCAAAGTGCTGAGATTACAGGTGTGAGCCACCGCACCTGGCCTAAAAGGAGGTCCTTAATACCTCTCTCACTTGACCTCCCCCTCCCCTGCCCTCTCTTTCATTGCATAGGAAAATGCTATCCCAGGAAAAGAACCCCCCTCTGAAACTGGTCATTGAAGCGGGCCTCATTCCCAGGATGGTGGAGTTCCTGAAGTCATCACTTTACCCCTGCTTGCAGTTTGAGGCTGCCTGGGCCCTGACCAACATCGCTTCAGGGACTTCGGAGCAGACTCGTGCCGTGGTAGAAGGGGGAGCCATCCAGCCCTTGATTGAGCTCCTGTCTTCCTCCAACGTGGCTGTGTGTGAACAGGCAGTGTGGGCTCTTGGTAATATAGCCGGTGAGACTCTCCCCTTAGTGGGCTAAGAAAACGGGGCCAGGTGTGTGGGATACTATAAGGTTTCTTTGGGTGGTGGGGTATACTCGATGTCCCAGAACACTTTGCCATGTAAATACCTAGAAGTGCTGGCAAGGGTACAATGAGCTGTTTCCAAACTCAAAGCCAGGCCAGGCACGGTGGCTCACGTCTGTAATCCCAGCATGTTGGGAGGCCAAGGCGGACGGATCACTTGAGGTCAGGAGTTCAAGACCAGCCTGGCCAACATGGTGAAACCCCGTCTCTACTAAATATACAAAAATTAGCCAGGCATGGTGGTGCATGCCCTGTAGTCCCAGCTACTCGGGAGGCTGAGGCAGGAGAATCGCTTGAACCTGGGAGGAGGAAGTTGCAGTGAACCAAGATAACGCCACTGTACTCCAGTGTGGGCAACAGAGGGAGATTCTGTCTCAAAACACCAAAAGCCCTCAAATCCAAGTTTAGAGGCCAAATATTGAAGCTGAAACAGGATGATACAGTGTATACTGAAGCCACAGGCTAACTAGAGACATCTGCCAACACTAAGGTCCTACAGCCTCAGGGCTTCGTGGCTTCAAGAACAAGTCTTTGGCTTATGCAGTGTGGGAGTTTATGATAGACCCTTACATAACTCGGGACCCCAGAAGGACTCTGCCTTCAGTGGAAGTTGCTAAGGGAACGTGCCAAAAACAAAAACAAAACAACAACAACAAAAAAAAACTCCTTGGTTTGGGCTAACAAGCCTTCCCTGAAAGTGGAATCCTCAGACTACCTTTCTGAATGTGGCAATCGATGCTCTTTCCTGCATGGTCTAGTGAATTAGTGCTGTAGGGTCGGAAGCCCCCAGATTCTTGGCTGACATCAATCCAGTGACTTTCTAGGGAAAACTCAATTAGGTCCCTCAGGATTTTGACAAATTAAGATCAGCCGACTATTAGCATTTTCAAGTTCAGAGAAGCAATAACTCCCGTGACTGAGTCAGCAGAAACAGTATGATTAGACCTCCAAGGACTCCACATATTGGAATTAGCAAACAGAATATAAAATAACTGCTAAAAGAAAACAAAAGCTTGCAGAGGCTTGGCGTAGTGACTCATGCCTTTAATCTCAGCACTTTAGGAGGCAGAGGTGGGAGGATGGCTTGAGCCCAGGAGTTTGAGACCAGCCTGGGCAATGTAGTGAGAACTTATCTCTACAAAAAATAAAAATATTCACCAGGCATAGTGGTGTATGCCTATAGTCCCAGCTACTCAGGAGGCTACGGTGGGACAATTGCTTGAGTTCTGGAGGTCGAGGCTGCAGTGAGCTATGATTGCACCACTGCACTCCAGCCAGGGCAATAGAGTGAGATCCTGTATCCCCCTCCCCCGCCAAAAAAAAAAAATAAAAGGCTGCAGGAGGAAAAAGTGCCTATTAGAGAAGTTGTCTCTCATTTTGCTTGGTGCAGTAAAGTAGGCAAGACTGGATGGTACAATGTGATGACTTGCCTTTGATGGTTGACAAATACAAATAGACTTCTAGGGTCTAAAATTGTTATCCTAGCTAAGGTAGCTGATGGCTGGTCACCAGCACCTGCAGATCCCCAGACTTTGTTCTGAGTTGCATTGGAAGTTACTGCCCTGTGCCAAGGTCTTCTGGGAAGACAACTTGGTCTGGACCAGCCTTCGTCTTCCTGAGAACCATGCTGTGAGATGCCAACAGCCCACCTTGGCTGAGTTGGCTGGCTCTGCTTCTAGCAGTTGCTGCTGTGTGATGCCTGCCTGTTACATCAGGACTGTCCACCCACCAGCCATGCCAGACTTCCAGAATTTAGTACGTGGCTCTACTACCTACTTGCTAAACCCGGGAATGAGTTTTTGTCTCTTGCCCTTTGCACACTCTTAAAAAATTAGTCACCCACTTCAGGATTGTCTTTGTTCTCTCTCTAAATGTCACATTCTGCTCTATTTGTAGGTGATGGCCCAGAGTTCAGAGATAACGTCATCACAAGCAATGCCATCCCACATCTCCTAGCCTTGATTTCACCCACCCTGCCGGTAAGTGTCTTTTTCTTTCTCTTTTTTTTTTTTTAAATTAAAATTTTAAAATAATCTTAATAGAGATGGAGCCTCACCATTCTGCCCAGGCTGGTCTTGAACTCCTGGCTTCAAGCAATCCTCCTACCTCTCAAAGTTCTGGGATTATGGACGTGAGCCACAGTACCAGGCCAAGTGGATGTCTTTAAATGAGAGAGAACCTCGTTAGGTAACAAATTCTAATGTTGGGAAATTGGGACATACTTCCAAATCCAATGCTAGATCATGTGGCTGCTGCCTGGCCTCTTAGAACCTCATAAACAAGGCTCAAGACTGGGCATGGTGGCTCATGTCTGTGATTCCAGTGCTTGCTAGGCCAAGACAGAAGGATCACTTGACACCAAGAGTTCAAAACCAGCCTGGGCAACATAGTGAGACCATGCTTCTAAAAATAAAAAAATTAGCTGAGCATGGTAGCGTACACCTGTAGTCTCAGCTACTCAGGAGGCTGAGGTGGAAGGATTGCTTGAGCCCAGGAGAGGGAGGCTGCAGAGAGCCAAGATCACACCACTGCACTCCAGCCTGGGTGACAGGTTGAGACTCTGTCTCTAAATAAACTAATAATAGCAAGGCTTAGGACTGAGTATCATTTTAGGTAAAGATTGACTCAGCTCTGTCTTTAGGGGCCAGTAGCACTGATCCTTCTCTTTGCGGCATTGGAAGAGGCCTACAAGCTTGCCATCTTGCAAAATAGATGACTGAAATCTCCATTCTAGGGTCACAGTTTAGCATATATGCCTGGTGTTCCATTATTGGAACACTAAGCCTGTGGGAGTTATTTATATCCTACTGCTCATGGTCATTACCAAGGTCTGATTTTTCACACAAAAAAATTTGCAACCTCTGGCATAAATGGGTTAATGTCTCACCAGTTCTGTTCATGGGGAACAGGCTCTTCTTTTGAGGCTTAGAGTCAAGGTTGGTTGATTTGTGGTTATTGATTGAAGAGGACTTCTGGTTTAGGAACTGGGTTCTCGATTTGCCTCAAACAAAAATGAAGAGCAGCCAGAGGACTATGTTCAAAACCTTCATCTGGGAACCGTGGCTCACACCTGTAATCCCAACAATTTGGGAAGCTGAGGCGGGTGGATCACCTGAGGTCAGGAGTTTGAGACCAGCCTGACTAATATGGCGAAATCCTATCTCTACTAAAAATACAGAAACTAGCCAGGCATGGTGGCACGTTCCTGTAGTCCCAGCTACTTGGGAGGCTGAGGCAGGAGAATTGATTGAACCTGGGAGGCGAAGGTTGCAGTGAGCCAAGGTTGCGCCACTGTGCCCCAGCCTGGGCAACAGAGCAAGACTCTGTCTCAAAACTCTTCAAGATGGGAGAAAAATCTGACATGGTTGAACCAATAAAAGACTAGCCATGACCGAGAGAGTTTAAGTAGAGAACACTTAAGATGGCAAGCAGGAAAAGGGCTTAGACATCTTCCTGCTAGCAGCAGGGAGGCTTTGGAGGATTTTGAGGCAAGGGAGTAGAGTGGTCTGATCTTTCAGAAAGGCCCTTCTGGTTGCCTGCCGTAGAATTATATAGCAGAGAGAGGCCGGATGCGGTAGCACTTTGGGAGGCCGAGGTGGGCAGATCACGAGGTCAAGAGATCAAGACCATCCTGGCCAACACGGTGAAACCCCGTCTCCTAAAATTACAAAAATTAGCTGGGTGTGGTGGCACGCACCTGTACTCCCAGCTACTCAGGAGGCTGAGGCAGGAGAATCTCTTGAACCTGGGAGGTGGAGGTTGCAGTGAGCCGAGATTGTGCCACTGTACTCCAGCCTGGTGACAGAGCAAGACTCCATCTCAAAAAAAAAAAAAAAATTGTATAGCAGAGGGAGATGGTGAAGCAGGTGGGTCTGGGACATAGCCATTCTAGACGTGAAAGGGAGACAGCAAGAAGCCAGGATGCCCCTAGGTTTCAGGTTAGATTGTTCAGATGATTGTCTTCCTAGAGAAAGGGGAAAAGTGCAGGAAAAAAAGAAATTGGAGCTTGTGTTGCAGGCATGAAGTTGAGGCGAGTTGGAGACACCATTGCAGCAGAGTCGGATTGACAGATGTACCTTGCTAGGTGACATATGTGTATATGTCACCCAGCCAGGCAAGGTCAGCTGGGGCCAGGGGTCACAAACATGACCTGGCTGGCCGCTTGCTTTGTAAATAGTTTTATCAAGCTGGGCATGGTGGCACGTGTCTGTAGTCCCAGCTACTTGGGAAGGCAAGGCGAGAGGATCGCTTGAGTTTGAGGCTGCAGTGAGCTGTGATTGCACCACTGCACTCCAGCCTGGGTGATGGAGTGAGACCCTGTCTCCCCCCAAAAAAAAAAAAAAAGTTTTACTGGCATGCAGCCACACTCATTTACATACTGTCTGGTCTACAAGGACAGTTGTTGTTGCCACAGAAGCCACAGGCTAAAAATGTTTAAGATCTGGCCCTTTACCGAAAAAGTTTTCAACCCCTGACCTAGAGTGTGAGGAGAGCCTGAGACCCAGTCCTGTGGGCTCTAAGGTTCTAAATTCAGGCAGAGCCTGCCAAAAAGACTAAGTAGAAACAGCTAATTTGGCCATAGAAAACCAGGTTTGGTGTCACAGTTGCCAAGAAGAGCTCTTTCTTTTTTTTCTGCTTTTTTTTCTGCTTTTTTTTTTTTTTGAGACAGAGTCTTGCTCTGTCACCAGGCTGGAGTGCAGTGGTGCAATCTCAGCTCACTGCAACCTCCGCCTCCTGGGTTCAAGCGATTCTTCTGCTTCAGCCTCCCGAGTAGCTGGGATTACAGGCACATGCCACCCCGCCTGGCTAATTTTTGTGTTTTTAGTAGAGACGGGGTTTCACCATCTTGGCCAGGCTGGTCTTGAACCCCTGACCTCATGATCCACCTGCCTCGGCCTCCCAAAGTGTTGGGGTTACAGGTGTGAGCCACCACGCCCAGCCGAGAGCTCCTTCAAAAAGAAAGGGCTGACTACTAACCACAGCTGAGAGGGACAGTAACTTTAGGACCAAGAAGCAGCTGCTGTGTTTGGTGACTTGGAAGGAGCTGATTCCCATCCCTAACCCCAAAGAAGGGTTAGAAACATGACTAGAATGGCCTGAAGAACAACTGGAGGCCAGGCGCTTATGTCTGTAATCCCAGCATTTTGGGAGGCCGAGGCAGGAGGATCCCTTGAGCCCAGGAGTTTGAGACCAGCCTGGGCAACATAGCAAGACTTTCCTCTACAAAAAGCATGTCTAGCCACAGCTACTCAGGAGGCAGAAGTAGGAGGATCACTTGGGCCTGGGAGGTTGAGGCTGTAGTGAGCTATGATCACGGCACTGCACTGCAGCCTGGGCAACAGAGTGAGACCCTGTCTCAACAAACAAACAAAAAACCCCAACAATTGGGAATCTGGGAGGTAGACAGTGAATATAGATGCCTCTCTGAGGGTAGACTCTGAAAGACAGAAGTGTGATGATGGCTGAAAGGGGCAGAAGGGGAGGGGCTGACAGTCCCAGGGTATGTTTCCTTACTGGTGGGAGTGATTTGGGGGCAGGGATGATTCTGGGCGGAATCTTTAAAGGCAAAAAGTAAGGGCCAGGTGTGGTGACTCAGGCCTGTCATCACTTTGGGAGGTGGAGGTAGGCAGATCACTTGAGCCCAGGAGTTGAAGTCCAGACTGGGCAACATAGCAAGACCCCTGTCTCTACTAAAACTAAAACTAATAATAAAAGGCCAAAAGGGATGGGATCCAGAGGCAGAGTAGGAAGACTGATTCTCAATTAGAAGATTAGAAATCTGGGGATGACATGCCAGTAGTGTTTTAGACCAGTGGGAAGACCAAGTAACTCCTGCTTGATCTTGTTGTCAGTGAAAAATGAAATTAGGTCATCAATCAAATGGGAAAGGACATTTTGAAAGACAAAGGAAACCTCCATCTAACATTGGAATGTGAAATACGAACCTCGTTCTGTGTCCCTAATACACATCACTGCCTAGAACACATTTCTATTTGAAGTTCAAAAGCTCTCGTTCAGTCGGGCACAATGGCTCACCCCTGTAATCCCAGCACGTTGGGAGGCTGAGGCCGGCAGATCACTTGAGGCCAGGAGTTCAAGACCAGTCTGGGCAACATGGTGAAACCCCATCTCTACTAAAAATACAAAAATTAGCTGGGCGTGTGTGGTGGCGGGCACCTGTAATCCCAGCTACTCAGGAGGCTGAGGGAGGAGAATCACTTGAATCCAGGAGGCAGAGGTTGCAGTGAGCCAAGATTGCATCACTGCACTCCAGCCTGGGTGACAGAGCAAGGCTGTCTGAAAATAATAAATAAAATTTTAAAAAGCTCTGGTTCATGCTGATCTATGGTATTGATTGGAAATGGTAAGAACACACTGCTGTTTGCATTTTCTCTCCTTTGCACCCAATGCTGGAGGCAGTCTCCTTGTTACAGATCACATTTCTGCGGAACATCACGTGGACCTTGTCGAATCTGTGCCGAAACAAGAACCCATACCCTTGCGACACTGCGGTGAAGCAGATACTGCCGGCCCTCCTTCACCTCCTGCAGCACCAGGACAGTGAGGTTCTCTCGGATGCCTGCTGGGCACTGTCCTACCTCACCGACGGCTCCAACAAGCGCATCGGCCAAGTGGTTAACACGGGGGTCCTGCCCAGGCTGGTAGTGCTCATGACCAGCTCAGAACTCAATGTCTTGGTAAATGCAATCCTGGGCCCTGTGGATTCGAGTCCTCGGGTCATAGTCACTTTAGCAGGTTCTGGGGCAAGGTTTGTCATCTGCATTTCCCTGGTCTTTGCTTTTTTTTTTTTTTTTTTTTTTTTGAGACAGAGTCTTGCTCTGTCACCCAGGCTGGAATGCAGTGGCACAATCTCAGCTCATTGCAACCTCTGCCTCCCAGGTTCAAGCGATTCTCCTATCTCAGCCTCCTGGGTAGCTGGGATTATAGATGCCAACGACCACGCCCGGCTCATTTTGTATTTTTAGTAGGGACAGGGTTTTACCATGTTGGCCAGGCTAGTCTCGAACTCCTGACCTCAGGTGATCCTCCTGCCTCGGCCTCCCAAACGACTGGGATTAGAGGTGTGAGCCACTGTGCCTGCCCATCTTTGCTACTCTGTGGCCAAAAGCTTGAATCTATTTTGATGTCAAATCCTAGTGGGTTTTTTTTTTTTTTTTTTTTTTTTTTTTTTTTTTTTAAAAAAAAAGGCCGGGCACGGTGGCTCACAGCTGTAAAAATACAAAAATACAAAAATTTATTTGTAAAACACCAAAGAATTAACTGAGTGTGATGGCGCACAGCTGTAATTCCAGCTACTCGGGAGGCTGAGGCAGGAGAATTCCTTGAACCCAGGAGGTGGAGGTTGCAGTGAGCTGAGATCGTGCCACTGCTCTCCAGCCTGGGTGACAGTGACATTCCATCTCAAAAAAAAAAAAAAAAAATTAGCTGGGTGTGGTGGTGCATACCTGTAGTCTCAGCTACTGGGGAGGCAGAGTTGGGAGAATTTATTGAGCCCAGAAGTTTGAGGATGCAGTGAGCTGTGATGGCACACTGTACTCCAGCCAGAGTGACAGTGAGACTGGGGATTAAAAAAAAAAACAACCCATTATCCTCTCCCCAGTTTGTTCTCTTAGACTAGCTCAGATATAGGCAGAAAGCAAGTAAAACCATTACTAATTGCTTTTCTAGGTTATTATTTTTTTTGTGTGTGAGACGGAGTCTCTCTGTCATCCAGGCTGGAGTGCAGTGGTACAATCTTGGCTCACTGCAACCTCCACCTCCCGACTTCAAGCAATTCTCTTGCCTCAGCCTCCTGAGTAGCTGGGATCACAGGCACCCACTACCATCACGCCCAGCTAATTTTTGTATTTTTAGTAGAGACAGGGTTTCACCAGGTTGGCCAGGCTGGTCCTGAACTCTTGACCTCAGGTGATCTGCCCACCTCAGCCTCCCAAAGTGCTGGGGTTACAGGCATGAGCCACTATGCCCTGCCGCTTTGCTATGTTATTAAACATGTCACCTACATCATATACTGCTTTGAAATGTGGGTGCATTATATTGAAGATGTCTCTATGCTGCCTGCTCTTTATTTTCTTAATATTTTACCTAATATTGCATATTCTGCAGCCTTAGTGATCATCTATTTTGAGATTAGCATAGGACTTCTCAGATGTTGAGTTGGTTTCGGGATAGTGCTAGGGGCATGGAGAGTATGAGATAAGACAAGCCATTTTTGTTGTTGTTGTTGTTGTTTTTTGACAAAGTCTCACTCTGTTGCCAAGGCCGGAGTGTGGTGATACAATCTTGGCTCCCTGCAACCTCTGTCTCCTGGGTTCAAGAAATTTTCCTGCCTCAGCCTCCCAAGTAGCTGGGACTACAGGTGTGCACCACCACACCCAGCTAATTTTTGTATTTTTAGTAGAGACGGTGTTTCCCCATGTTGGCCAGGCTGGTCTCAAACTCCTGGACTCAAGTGATCCATCCGCCTCGGCCTCCCAAAGTGGAGAAGTAAATTCTCTAAGAAGTTGCTTACCCCCGGGTTCTGGGGCCTATTTGGAGCTGCCCTGGTAAGGCCATGACTGGCCTGAAGTACACTTCTACCTCTCACTTTGGTATCAGGTAAGTAGCCTAATAGGCTAGGAAAATTCTAGAACTGTTGCTGGGCTTTACTGGGGCTGCCACTACAGTACAGAGAAATCTGAATAAAGCCATAGTCAGCTATTGTAGGAGAGTTGTTGTTTTGAGCCCAATCGTAGACCTGTCCTGGGGATCTTCTGAGCCATTATGAAGGGCTTCCCAATCACACCAGGAAATGGCATTGAGATCTCATTATCTCCAATTAAATATGCAACACGCTTGACACTGATAAATACTAATTCAGTCATTATACGATAAAGAGTATAGTCACTGGGCGCAGTAGCTCATGCCTATAATCCCAGCACTTTGGGAGGCCGAGGTAGGCAGATCACTTGAGGTCAGGAGTTCAAGACAAGCCTGGGCAACATGGTGAAACCTTGTCTCTACAAAAGATACAAAAATTAGCCAGGCATGGTGGTGCACACCTGTAATCCCAGCTTCTCAGGAGGCTGAGGCAGGAGAATTGCTTGAACCCAGGAGGCAGAGGTTGCAGTGACAACCAAAATCGTACCACTATACTCCAGTCTGGGTGACAGCAAGACCTTGTCTCAAAAAACAAACAAACAAACAAAACACTATCGTCAATTTAGCATTTGATGATGAAACTGAAAGCATATGAAAAGTCCAACAGCATTTCTCGATAAAGGTATTTCTTGGGTATTTCTGTCCCACTTGAGCCAAACAAGTGGGAAGCCAGAAAGTTCCTTTAAGTCACCTTTAAACATCCATGGGCCAGGCACAGTGGCTCATGATTGTAATCCCAGCACTTTGGAAAGCCAAGGCAGGATCACTTGAGACCAGCCTGGACAACATAGCAAGACCCCCGTCTCTACAAAAAACTTAAAAATTAGCCGGGCATGGTGGCACATCCGTATAGTCCCAGATACTTGGGAGGCTGGGGGAGGAGGATCACTTGAGCCCAAGAGTTGAAGGCTGCAGTGAGCTATGATCATGCCACTGCATTCCAGCCTGGGTAACAGTAAAGACCCTGTCTCTTTATAAATAAATAAATAAAAAATAAATTAAAAGGCCATGGATGAATTGAATAATGATCACAGATACAATTCCTGTTCACAGGCTGTCAGACAACCATCGGCTATAGCATGACAATGTTTGGGAGAGAACAGAACTTGGTGTGATTGTTGCCTTCTCCTGGGATAGACTTGAAATACTTAGACTTCTAGCCTTGCTCTTCCAGACTCCTTCTCTCCGCACCGTGGGGAACATTGTCACGGGCACAGATGAGCAGACGCAGATGGCCATTGATGCGGGTATGCTGAACGTGCTCCCCCAGCTCCTGCAACACAACAAGCCCTCCATCCAGAAGGAGGCAGCCTGGGCCCTGAGCAACGTAGCAGCGGGGCCTTGTCACCACATCCAGCAGCTGCTTGCCTACGACGTCTTGCCTCCCTTGGTGGCTCTGCTAAAAAACGTAAGTGGCGCACACAGCAACCATGGCAAAGGACTACTTTCCAATAGCCCTGGGTTGAACTCCTTCAGGAATCCAGACACAGGTGCAGAAGCAAATTGAGATCACAGCAGAGCTCTGAAACCTCAGAGTCCTAGCTTTGCCTGAAAAAAAGGAAGGGGGCGTTCCATTCTGAAGAACCCATTAAAGATTTGGAAGACGGAACAAGCATTATTCAATGACAAGGTGACCCCATGGCTCAAACATCCAGAAAGCTCTTGAGCTAGTAAATATTGGCTTATGTCTAAGCGGTGGTGAAAGAATGTGCCATCTATTCTCTCCCTACCAAAAGAGGGTGGAGCTTTTATTTTTAGGAGGAAAAACATATCATGCTATGGTGATATCATACACTGAAGGAAAGCAAAGTTAAATTGATTAAAGTGGTAATGTCAACAAAATTCAAATCTAAACATAGAAAAACAACAAAGCAGGCTGAGTGCAGTGGCTCACGACTGTAATTCCGACGTTTTGGGAGGCCCAGTCAGGTGGATAGATTGAGTTCAGGCGTTTGAGACCAGCCTGGGCAATGTGGCGAAACTCTTTCTCTACAAAAAATATACGTATACAAAAATTAGCCAGGCTTGGTGGCATATGCCTGTAGTCCCAGCATCTTGGGAGGCTAAGGTAGGAGGATCAATTGAGCCCGGGAGGTCAAGGCTGCTGTGAGCTAAGATCACACCACTGCACTGTAGCCTCTGTGACACAGTGAGACCCTGTCTCAAAAAAAAAAAAAAAAAAGGTTGTGGGCAGGCACAGTGGCTTATGTCCGTAATCCCAGCACTTTGGGAGGCCAAGGCAAGTGGATCACCTGAGATCAGGGGTTCGATACCAGCCTGGCCAACATGGTGAAACCCCATCTCTACTAAAAACACAAAAAATTAGCCAGGTGTGGTGGTGGGTGCCTGTAATCCCAGCTACTTGGGAGGCCTAAGACAGGAGAATCACTTGAACCTGGGAGGGTGGAGGTTGCAGTGAGCCACGATCATGCCACTATACTCCAGCCTGGGCAGCAAGAGTAAAACTGTCGCAAAAAAACAAAAACAAAAAAACATTATTTCTCCTGATTTGTACTCCCCTTTTGCAGGAGCAATGACTATCCTTGGCATTTTTCTTTTTGCCACCTTTAAAGGAATTAGCTATGTTTAAACCATCTATAGTCAGGAGTGGTTACCTTGGGCTGGGGGTGGGGAGGCAGGTGGAGTCTCATGGGGTTGAGGAGAAGCTACTGGCGGTGTTCCTGTTCTCAGGCTGGGTAGTGAGTTCCCAGGATGCACCAGGTATGACAAGCTAGGCAAGAGAGAAAGACCAGGTGTGTTGCCCAAATTATAGCATCTTCCAATCTGTTCAGTACTTGTGGTCCTGCACGCCTCTGTAAATCTGTACATATTCTAGTGAGAAACATCTAGTTATGAATCAAAGGACATTTATATTTCAAGTGGTATCTTTTGAACTATAACTTGCTTGGAGCCATAAGTTATTTGTTTTGTTTTGTTTTTTATGCTGAGGTCAGTTTTCCCCAACCATAAAATGGGAATAAATCCTACCCAGGAATAGAAGAATAGAAGATAAATTCCTCCTGTATCTCTGGCCAAGTGCATTTTATAAATGCAAAGGTTTATTGAGCAATTATTATTATTATTGGAGATGGAGTCTCGCTCTGTCACCCAGACTGGAGTGCAGTGGGACAATTTTGGCTCACTGCAACCTCTGCCTCCTGAGTTCAAGTGATTCTCCTTCCTCAGCCTCCTAACTGGGATTACAGGCACACGCCTCCACACCCGGCTAATTTTTTGTATTTTAATAGAGACAGGGTTTCACCATGTTGCCCAGGCTAGTCTCTAACACCTGAGCTCAGGCAATCTGCCTGCCTCAGCCTCCCAAAGTGCTGGGATTGCAGGTGTGAGCCACCGTGCCCGACCTGAACGATATTTCAATGGTCTTTCTCTGTCACCTCTGGGCTGGCTTGGTCCCTTAGGTTGTATCTGTGTACCCAGGCTTACAGCTTCTTGGCCAAAGCTTTACTAGATCAGAAAGACTAGAAATGCAGACATAGGCCACTGTCATCTAAAACCCCAAGCATAACTCCTAGTCTGTGTAGATTACCTGAATTGGTTAATGTCCGTTTCATTTTTTCCCTGTGGCCTGATGTGGGCAAATGAGCCTATCTGATCTTAGAGCTTCCCTCTAAGACCCCACCTGAGTCTCCTGCCTTCTTGGCTTTCCAAAGATGCCATCTTCTGATCAAGAACTAGAGGCAGGAGCCGGGCAGGGGGTTCATGCCTATAATCCCAACACTTTGGGAGGCCGAGATGGGAGGATCACTTGAGGTCAGGAGTTTGAGACCAGCCTGGCCAACATGGTGAAACCCTGTCTGTACTAAAAATACGAAAATTAGCTGGGTATGGTGGTGAGTGCCTGTAATCCCAGAACTTTGGGAGGCTGAGCGAGACAGGCGCATCATGAGGTCAAGAGATCGAGAACATCCTGGCCAACATGGTGAAACCTGTCTCTACTAAAAATATAAAAAATTAGCTGGGCGTGGTGGCACACACCTGTAGTCCCAGCTACTCAGGAGGCTGAGGCAGGAGAATCGCTTGAACCTGGGAGGCGGAGATTGCAGTGAGCTGAGATTGCGCCACTGCACTCCAGCCTGGGCGACAGAGTGAGGGGGGAAAGAAAGAGCTAGAGGCAGGTAGCCAAGGCATTCTATGTAAATTGTACATGCAGTCCTGGCTGTCACCAGCCTCCCTAGAAAGTGAACCAAGTTGGTGTCCTCTATTTAGGTTCTTGAGGATCTGTAGAGAATGGAAACATTCTTGTTCTGCAGGGAGAATTTAAAGTCCAGAAAGAGGCTGTCTGGATGGTGGCGAACTTTGCAACAGGGGCCACCATGGATCAGCTGATCCAGCTCGTCCACTCTGGGGTCCTGGAGCCACTGGTGAATCTGCTCACTGCCCCAGATGTTAAAATTGTTCTCATCATCCTTGATGTCATCTCTTGCATCCTCCAGGTGAGCCGTTCTGAACAGGTTGGTTTGTAAATAGCTGTCTCCAACTGGATACAAGCATTTAATGTGGCTCTTAAAATTCAAGTTGTACTTTGGGAGGCTGAGACAGGTGGATCACCTGAGGTCAGGAATTTGAGGCCAGCCTGGCCAACATAGTGAAACCCCGTCAAATTAGCCGGGAAAGGTAGTGCATGCCTGTATCCCAGCTACTTGGGAGGCTGAGGTGGGAGAATCGCTTGAAACCCAGGAGGCAGAGGTTGCAGTGAGCCAAGATAGTGCCACTGCACTCCAGCCTGGGCGACAGAGCCAGACTCCGTCTCAAAACAAAACCCAAGTTGGATTATTTCTCTTCCCCCAATACCTCTACCCTCCTCTGTCCATGTGTCCTGTGGATAAACACAAAAAGAGCCATCTCGAAGGACCATGGTCTTCGTTTTCTCAAACAAATGTCTATGTGCCAGATATTTTTTCAGATGCTCAGACTATGACAATGCAAAGTCCCTGCTGTAATGGACATTATGTATGAGGGGAGTGACAGAGAACAGACACATCAGGTAGGGAGTTATGGATAAAGTAAATCGGATAAAGGGGCAGTCACTAATAGTTCAGGGTGGGGAGTGGCTGTAGCTGTCTTTATAGAGACAGAGACAGAGAAAGACAGACGGAGAGAGAGACACAGACGGAGAGAGAGACACAGACGGAGAGAGAGACACAGACGGAGAGAGAGACACAGACGGAGAGAGAGACACAGACGGAGAGAGAGACACAGACGGAGAGAGAGACACAGACGGAGAGAGAGAGAGAGACACAGATGGAGAGAGAGACACAGACGGAGAGAGAGAGAGAGACACACACAGAGAGACACACACACAGAGAGAGAGAGACAGACGGGGAGAGAGAGACACAGACGGGGAGAGAGAGAGATGGGGAGAGAGAGAGACACAGACGGGGAGAGAGAGAGAGACACAGACGGGGAGAGAGAGATGGGGAGAGAGAGAGACACAGACGGGGAGAGAGAGAGAGACACAGACGGGGAGAGAGAGAGAGACAGACGGGGAGAGAGAGAGACACAGACGGGGAGAGAGAGAGAGACACAGACGGGGAGAGAGAGAGAGACACAGACGGGGAGAGAGAGAGAGACACGGGGAGAGAGAGAGACACAGACGGAGAGAGAGAGAGACACAGACAGAGACACAGACGGGGAGAGAGACACACACACAGATGGGGAGAGAGAGACAGAGACGGAGAGAGAGACGGGGAGAGAGAGATGGGGAGAGAGACAGAGACGGAGAGACGGAGAGATGGACAGAGACAGATGGACAGAGACAGAGACAGACGGAGACAGACGGAGACAGAGAGATAGAGACACAGAGAGAGAGAGACAGACAGAGATAGGATCTCTGCTCTGCCACCGAGGTTGGAGTGCTGTGATCCTCGCTCACTGCAGCCTTGATCTCCTGGGCTCAAGCAATCCTCCCACCTCAGCCACCTGAATCACTGGCACTACAGCCAGATGCCACCACACCTGGCCAATGTTTGTATTTTTAGTAGAGACAGGGTCTTGCTATATTGCCCAGGCTGTTCTCTAACTCCTGGGTTCAAGTCATCCTCCCGCCTCAGCCTCCCAAAGTGCTAGGATTACAGGTGTGAGCCACCATGCCTAGCCAAGAGGATTGGCTTCTGAGGAGGCTTACACGATGACCGGGAAGTCACTTGGACACATGGACCTTCTCCATTGGGCTGCCTGAGTGTCCTCACATCACGGCAGCTGGCTTCCTATGAGTAAGGGGTCTAAAAGCAAGGTGAAGGCCTCAGTGTCCTTCATGACGTGACCTTGGAGGTCACATTCTGTCACTTCCACAACATCCTATTGGTTACACAGGTCATCCCCATTCAATGTGGGTGGGGAACTACACAGGGTTTGAGCACCGGGGGTCAGGGATCATCAGGGCAGTTTTGGAGGCTAGCTAGGTTCATTTGGTTAGGGTCCTTTTAAAAAATTACTGTTTTTTGGCTGGGCATGGTGGCTTACACCTGTAATCCAGCACTTTGGGAGGCCGAGGTGTGCAGATCACCTGAGGTCAGGACTTCAAGACAAGCCTGAGCATTGTGAAACCCCATCTCTACAAAAAAATTAGCCAGGCATGGTGGCTCATGCCTGTAATCCCAGCTACTCGGGAGGCTGAGGCATGAGAATCACTTGAACCTGGGTGGTGGAGGTTGCAGTGAGCCAAGATCATGCCACTGCACTCCAGCTTGGGCAACAGAGCAAGAGTCTGTCTCTAAAAATAAATAAAAATATAAATAATATAAATATATATATATATTTTGAAACAGGATCTCACTCTGTCACCCAGGCTAGAATGCAGTGTTGTGATCTCAGCTCACTGCAGCCTCAACTTCCTAGGCTCAGGTGATCCTCCCACCTCAGCCTTCCAAGTAGATGGGATTACAGGCTTGTGCTACCACACCCAGCTAATTTTTGTATTTTAGCAGAGACAGGGTCTTGCTATGTTGCCTACACTGGTCTCAAAGTCCTGGGCTCAAGTGATCCTCTCACCTCGGCCTCCCAAAGTGCTGGGATTACAGGAATGGGCCACTGTGTCCAGCTTAGCTAAGGTTCTTTTATAGGTGACAAAACCATCTGAAAATCTTCAAAGTAACACCAAGGAGCTCCTTTTAGAAGTCCACTTTAAGCATCTTTTTAATGTAATTTTCTTGAATGATCTGAGTCAAGACTAGATTAGAAACTCAACCCCATGATACCCTGAAACTTGAGCAAAAGACACAGATAAAGAATAGATATTTGGGCCAAGTGCATTGGCTCATGCTTGTAATCCCAGCACTTTGGGAGGCTGAGGTGAGAGGACCACCTGAGGTTAGGAGTTCAAGACCAGCCTGGCCAACATGGTGAAACCCCATCTCTACAAAAATACAAAAAAGCCTGGCATGGCATGTACCTGTAGTTTCAGCAACTTGGGAAACTGAGGCAGGAGAATCTCTTGAACCTGGGAGGTGGGGAGAGTAGTGAGCCAAGATTACGCCACTGCACTCCAGCCTGGGCGATAGAGCGAGACTCTTTTTTTTTTTTTTTTTTTTTTTTTTTTTTTTTTTGAGACAAAGATATTTGGGCCAAATGCAGTGGCTCATACCTGTAATCCCAGCACTTTGGGAGGCCAAGGCAGGAAGATTGCTTGAGGCCAGGAGTTGGAGACTAATCTGGGTAATGCAGCAAGATCTTGTCTCTACACAAAATGTTAACAAAATTGTGATACCTTCTGAGTCTTCCCTGTGTATCTTCTTTATTAATTTTTTTTTGAGACTGAGTCTTATGCTGTCATCCAGGCTGGAGTGCAGTGGCGCAATGTCAGATCACTGCAACCTCTGCCTCCTGGTTCAAGCAATTCTTGTGCCTCAGCCTCCTGAGTAGCTGGAATTACAGGCACCTGCCACCACGCCCAACTAATTTTTGTATTTTTAGTAGAGACGAGGTTTCACCATGTTGGCCAGGCTGGTCTCAGACTCCTGACCTCAAGTGATCTGCCTGCCTCAGCCTCCCAAAGTGTTGGATTACAGGCATGAGACACTGCGCCCGGCCCTATATTTATGATATATGTCTATATATCGTGGATACCTAAAGTGGGAGGAAGATCATGTAATTTTCAACCAATTTGGGAAAAGTGAAATTGCAACTATCCATTCTGGAATGGTAGCCTTTGGTCTGCTTCCACTCGGGGCAGCTCCCTTGAGGGCTGACAGAGTCCCTATCCCCCAAAGGCTCCTGCCGGGGGTCTCATGTCCCCTTGTACTTGGTCACAGGCGGCAGAGAAACGGTCTGAGAAGGAAAACCTGTGTCTTCTGATAGAAGAACTTGGTGGGATCGATAGAATTGAGGCTTTACAGCTGCATGAGAACCGTCAAATTGGCCAGTCGGCTTTGAACATCATCGAGAAGCACTTTGGTGAGGTAAGTGACTTAGGAGCGTGGAGGAGTATCCAGGGGTCTTGGTGGGGCAGCTCTGCAGAGGGTCACCCTGCCGGGGCCTGGGCTGTTGCGTGTGGCAGGTGACTGGGCAGGTGGTCTTCACTCCTGCCACATCCTCTGAAGTTAATGTGTCTCGCCTATCCCTGCTGTATCGGGTCATCTTTGAGTAGTGACATCTTGGTGCCTGGAAGCTATTCTAATTCCTTGGGAGCTTGTCTGGCTGCCTCTGGCTTAAAACTTCACTTTACTGGTCTCCTTTTTGGGAGAGGTATGGCAGGGGAGAGGATTTGATGCTGAAGTGACTTTTTTTTTTTTTTTTTTTTTTTTTTGAGATGGTTTCACTCTGTTGCCCAGGCTGGAGGACAGAGGCGCCATCTCAGCTCACTGCAACTTCTGCCTTCCAGATTCAGTTGATTCTTGAGCCTCATTGACCCGAGAAGCTGGGATTAGAGAGATGTACTACGACGCCCAGCTAATCTTTAGTAGAGACAGGGTTTCCCTGTGTTAGCCAGGCTGGTCTCAAACTCCTGGCCTCAAGTGATCCACCCGCCTTGGCGTAATCCCAAAGTGCTGGGATCACAGGCGTGAGCCACCACACCCGGCCCGTCTCCACAACAGTTTTTATCTTCCCAAACTGAAACTCCCTACCCGTTAACTACAAAGTCCCCAACACACCTTTCCCCTAGCCCTTTTAGTAACCATCATTTTGCTTTCTGTCTCTATGAATTTGACTATTCTAGGGACCTCATGAGTGGAATTGTACAGTATTTGTCCTTTTGTGACTGATATATTTCCTCTTGGCATACCATCTTCAAGATTCATCCGTGTTGTAGCATGTCAGGATTGCTTTCCTTTTTAAGGCTAACACTCCATTGAATGTATATGCTGCATTATATATATTCATTTACCTGTCAATCGACATGTGAGTTTCTTCTACCATTTTGCTATGGTGAATACACTGCTATGAACATGGGTGTGTAAGCCTGTTAGAGTCCCTGCTTCCAATTTTTTTTTGTTTGTAAAGACAGGGTCCTGCTCTGTCACCCAGGCTGGAAGGCAATGGCCGCAATGGTTGCTCACTGTAGCCTTGACTTCCCTGGGCTCAAGCAATCCTCCCACCTCAGGCTCCCAAGTAGCTGGGACTACAGGCATGCACCACCATGCCGGCAGCTAACTTTTGTATTTTTTTTGTAGAGATGGGGTTTCACCATGTTGCCTAGGTTGGTCTAAAACTCCTGAGCTCAAGCAAGCCACCCGTCTCGGCCTCCCAAAGTGCCGGAATTACAGGTCTGTGCCACCGCACCTGGCCCAATTCTTTGGAGTATATACCTAGAGTGGAATTGCTAGATTACGTGGTAATTCCATTTTGAATTTTTGAAGAACTACCACGCTCTTTTCCACAGTAGATATACCATTTCACATCCCTACCAACAATGCATGAGGATTCCAATTTCTCCACACCCTTGCCGACACTTGTTATTTTCTAGGTGTTTTGGTAATAGCTAATCTCATGGGTATAAAGTGGTATCTCATTGTGGTTTGATTTGCACTTATATCAGAAATTTTTCTTTTCTTTCTTTCTTTCTTTCTTTTTTTTTTTTTTTGAGACGTAGTCTCGCTCAGCTGCCCAGGCTGGAGTGCAGTGGCGCGATCTTGGCTCACTGCAACCTCCACCTCCTGGGTTCACGTCATTCTCCTGCCTCAGCCTCCCAAGTAGCTGGGATTACAGGCGCCCACCACCATGTCCGGCTAATTTTTTGTACTTTTAGTAGAGACGGGGTTTCACCGTGTTAGCCAGGATGGTCTTGATCTCCTGACCTCGTGATCCGCCTGCCTCGGGCCTCCCAAAGTGCTGGGATTACAGGCGTGAGCCACCACGCCCAGCAGAAATTTTTCATATGAGGAAGGCAACCTCACATTTATTTCATGACCAGATCAACATGGGGCTAGGAGTTTACAGAGTGACACTTCTCTTAGGTGTCAAAGGTGACTTACCAGCAAAATAAAGGACCATACAATCAATATGACCAGGTGGATGGTGTGGTTAGCTGGGGCAGTTAGTCTTGATTTGGGACCAAGATGATGCTCTCGGCTGGGAGCAGTGGTTCATGTCTGTAATCTCAGCACTTTGGGAGGCTGAGGCAGATGGATCACGAGGTTAGGAGTTCAAGACCAGCCTGGCCAACATGGCGAAACCCTGTCTCTACTAAAAATACAAAATTAGTTGGGTGTGGTGGTTTGTGCCCGTAATCCCAGCTACTCAGGAGGCTGAGGCAGGAGAATAGCTTGAACCCCAGAGCAGAGGTTGCAGTGAGCCAAGATGGTGCCACTGTATTCCAGCCTGGGCAACAGAGCAAAACTCCATCTCCAAAATAAATAATAAATAAATAAATAAATAAATAAATAAATAAATAAAGCTCTCAAGCCAGGTGTGGTAGCTCATGCCTATAATTGCAGCACTTTGGGAAGCTAAGACAGGTGGATTGCTTGAGTCCAGGAGCTCCGAGACCAGCCTGGGCAACACAGTGAGAGCCCATATCTACAAAAAATACAAAAATTAGCCAGGTGTAATGGCATGTGCCTGTAATCCCAGTTACTCGGGAGGCTACAGTGGGAGGATTGCTTGAGTTGTGATTGTGCCACTGCTCTCCAACCTGGGCAATAGCACGAGACTGTCTTAAAATAGAAAAAAAATGCTCTCAAAGGAGACCAGACCTAGAATGGTGATAATGGTGATAAGCATTTTCCAGGTTAATGGTTCCTATGAAAACCTCATAAATAAGAAGCTCAGCTGGGTGCAGTGGCTCACACCTGTAATCCCAGCACTTTGGGGGAGGCCAAGGCGGGTGGATCACCTGAGGTCAGGAGTTCGAGACCAGCCTGGCCAACATGGTGAAACTCCATCTCTACTAAAAATACAAAAATTAGCTGGGTGTGGTGACGGGTGCTCATAATCCCAGCTACTCAGGAGGCTGAGGCAGCAGAATCACTTGAACCCAGAAAGCAGAGGTTGTAGTGAGCTGCAATCATGCCACTGTACTCCAGCCTGGGCGACAGAGTAAGACTCCATCTCAAAAAAAAAAAATAATAAATAAGAGACCTCTTTTAAAGGGGGTTTGATCCCTGGGGCTTGATCCAAGAACTCCAGGGTAAAGATTTCTGGACTAGAAGTAGTAACTATACCTATCATTTGCTTACTCATTGTCAGGACGGTGTTCTATGTCTATCAAAACTGCATTTAAAAACAAGCTACTCACAAAAGGACAAATACAATGCGATTCCACTTAGATTTGGTACCTGCAGTCATCAAATCTGTAGAGACAAAGTAGAATGGTGGTTGCCAGGTGCTGGGTGGAGGAGGGAATGAGGAGTGATTAAATACAGTGATCCCAACGTTTTTGACACTAGGGACCAGTTTTTGTGAAAGACAAATTTTCCACAGGCTGGGGGGTGAGGGGATGGTTTCGGGATGATTCAAGAGCATTACATTTATTGTGCACTTTATATTACTACATGGTAATATATAATGAAATAATTATACAGCTCATCGTAATGCAGAATCAGTGGGAACCCTGAGATCTTTTCCTGCAACTAGACGATCCCATCTGGGGGTGATGGGAGACAGTTGACAGATCATCAGGCACTAGATTCTCATAAGGAGCATGCAGCCTGGTTCCCTGGCATGCGCAGTTCACAATAGGGTTTGTGCTGCTATGAGAATCTAATGCTGCTGCTGGTCTGACAGGGAGGCAGAGCTCAGGTGGGAATGCGAGTGATGGGGAGTGGCTGTAAATACAGATGAAGCTTCGCTTGCTGGCCTGCTGCTCACCTTCTGCTGTGTGGCCCAGTTCCTAATAGGCCACGGATGCGGGGTTGGGGACCCCTGATGCAATAGGTACAAAGCTTCAGTTGTGCAAGATGAAAAAGTTCTAGAGGTGGGTGGTGGTGATGGTTGCGCAACAATGCGAATGTACTTAATTGCTACTAAGCTACCTGCTTAAACATGGTTAAGAGGGTCAATTTTGTTACAAGGTGCATCTTGCCAAATGTGCAGTGATAATGTGCTGAGAATCCTGGAGGTATAACAGTGTCTATTCTCTCCTGAAGGAAGAAGATGAGAGCCAAACTTTACTGAGCCAAGTCATAGACCAAGATTATGAATTTATAGATTATGAATGCTTAGCAAAAAAATAGCCAAGCTCCCTACCTCCTAAACCAACAACCCAGTGCTAAAGGATAACTTCTTTAAGAAGCAGCAGTCCTCTATCTTAGTGTAACCCAAATGTGAAGCTTTTAAAACTTGACATTAATAAAATGTTCAACACTTTCACGTTTCTCTATCTGAACTTCAGATAAACGACTTGCATCTTAAAACCATGTGGAATTCATCTCCTAAGAACATTTGTTTAGGCTGGGTGTGGTGGCTCACACCTGTAATCCCAGCACTTTGGGAGGC